>NC_000012.12:102611643-102914673 GCF_000001405.40 Homo sapiens | reverse complement strand
AGGAATATCTTTTGTCATTTCAAGGAAACTGGAAAGAAGAAGGCTCAGTATTCTTTAGTAGGAAGAAGACTTAAGTCAGAGACTCATCTGTACCTCTCTGGCAGGGTTTAAAAGGGGGAAGAGGAATAGAGGCTGCAAGAGATTGTGATTCATGGACAGTATGCAGAGATCAAATGACCTGGGTTCAGATCCTGGCTCCACTGCTAACTGTGTAACTATAGGCAAGTTCCTTAACCTCTCTAAGCCTTAATCTTGTCATCAATAAAAGGGGGCACTTGGTGCCTAATAAAACCTACCTCTTAGGTTGTTGCCAAATTACATGAGATAATCCAAATCAAGTGCTTATTATAATACCCAGAAATTATAGGCTCTAAATAAATGTTTATATAGGCTCTAAATAAATGAAGTTTTTTAGAAAGATAACATCATGATCAAAATGGGATATTTAACAGTTTAGTCTTCCATTTCATTTGAAGCTCCCTAAAATCACTCTTGCTGATAAATTTGTTTTTTCCTTCACACCTCAGTTTCATGGGATGTTTTGGCAAAAATCTGAATTTTCTGAATTGAAAGAATTTTTTGCTAAGGGTCATCAGTATTCATGCAGGGCTTGTTATTCTGAGTCACTAAGAGTTTCCTAACACAGCCTTCTCTCATTGAGATGATGTAACATCTATTCCATTAATTTCATTAACTTGCTTACAAGAGAGTAATTGTTCTGCAAATTTTTTTCTTCCCAGTTTTAGGTACCTGCTGCTTATTGTGGACACACATAGAATTTTATGTATTATTTTTCGACTTAGGCTAATGATTTAGCAAACTCTGGAATGTCAGCCCTAACCCCAACCTTGGTTTTCTGTCACATGCATGTAGTAAGTGCTAGATCCTGGACATTCTTTGAGATTTAGTTTAAGACTAAGTTTATTTTCTGATAGGTTATTTGTGTACTTTCATGGATTTTGTAACTCTTTTTCAACAATTGGATGTCTCAGATCTCAGCATATGGGAGCAAGTTAATGCTTCCTGAGATCTTTGCCAAAGGTCAAGAGGTCATTTTTGTGTATTTATAATTTTCCATCATTTTTATATACTTCTCAATATTCTTTTTAAACTATTCTTTTCCTTTTTTCATCCTCTGAATACTGTTTTGACAGATCTTGTTATTAGCATGCTTTCACGGATGAGAAAACTAAGAAAGCTGAATGATTTGCCCAAAGTAGTCCACCTGGAAAATGAAAGAGAGAGGATTCCAATCCAGGTCTTACGATTCAAAAGCCTGTGCATGTTCCATTTTTAGTACTTTCCACACTGTATTTCTCAATGTCTTTCTGGGACATTTTATAAATCATATTATATCACCTCTAAGGATCTTTCAGTTTGTTATATATGTGTCTATTAAGTTAGATTGTGAGCTCCTAAAAGATAAAGCATTGTCTTATTCATCTTTAAATTTCTCAGAGCCCAAATAGTGCCTGGAACCTAGTAGTTGCTCAATAAAAGGTATTGAATTTACAGGATTGAATGGTGACATCAATGAATAATTGAAGATTCCTTAAGCTGATAACTGACCCAGTAGCATCATTGATCATTTAATTGCCCTGGACTTACTTATTTTCCACCACACTACATATTTCTGTATAGAATATATATAGCTCATTGTATTGCAAGATTTAACTAGAAGAAAGAGTTCATGCTTGCTTTGTCCATGGAGGTTTAACAGGAATGAATTGCTAAACTGTGGAAAATGTTTTAAACAAATGCATCTTATCCTGTAGGAAACAAGCTATATTGAAGACAACTGCAATCAAAATGGTGCCATATCACTGATCTTCTCACTCAAAGAAGAAGTTGGTGCATTGGCCAAAGTATTGCGCTTATTTGAGGTCAGTGCTACAATCATGTTTGTCTTGGATAATGTCGTAGCAAACTTCCATGTTCTTTTCTAGTTAGATGCAATGAAAAGAACACAGGATCTGGAACAGGCAGATTTGAATTTGAGCTCAAGTTTTTACATTAACCAACTGTGTGACCTTAGTTAAGTCATTCAATCTCTCTGAGCTTCAGTTTTTCCATTCATAATATAGTGCTGATAATATGTGCCTTGTCAGTTTCAACAGGAACTTTGTGATGAAATAATGTGTTTTGTAAAATGCCTAATCATATGTGTGATTAGGCATGATTAACTATAAGTCATATGTGACACGTGATTACATTTCACATAACATGTAATCACATGTGTCACATGTGATTACAGTTAAAGAGTAAACAAGAAATAAATATTAATTCTTTTATTCACTAAATTAATATTGATTGTCTTCTATGTATAAGTGTAAAATAATATGCAAGACACCGTCCCTTTCTTCAAGTAGCTTAACCCAAAACTATGCTTTAGAAAATAGCTAATGTTCTTCAAGACATTGGTAAATGTCTTATGATTAAAGTGGTTCCATAATTAATAAACTTGGGAAATTCGGGCATATTATTTTACCTGATTTCTTTATTATAGGACTTTTAGAGTCTATAAAACTAATTATACTAAGTTGTTTACAGAGAGAAATGTATGTATTATTTTCCAAACTTACTTGACTGTGGATCCTTTTTATTTTAAGAACATGTATTCACATCTGGGAACAGAGTTTAGGAAACGTTGATTTGGGTGTTTGCTGGGCAGCCAAACTTCACAGAACTCCAAATAGGTTTCCTCAGCCAGATTCCTTCCGAGTACTATGCTAATATTTTTGGTGGGATTTTGTCCCACCTGAAAATACATTGCTTTATGCTAAGATTCCTGTGACCTCTCTAGCTGATTGGGAGGCAGGGGTAGCACATTGGTCAGGGCTGTGCACATACTTAGTGCTCAGTGTGTTTGGGCATGCAATCAACAAATCCTTTTGGGGCATGACTGGATACGATTAGATATCTTGTGAAAACCTATGATGTTCTCAGCACTGTGGGTGGGGAGGAAGATGGGGGACACATAGAAATTGTAAGGAAGAGAAACTGCCTCCTTTAGGATCTAACAGGGGAAGCAAATATTCTGAGCAGCTGGGGAGGGAAGGCAGAGCATGAGAAGTTATCTCAGTAAAAGGTAGCTTTATAGACATGATCTTATTCAGTCTAATGAAAATAACATGAGGTAGGAGCTATTTCTGCCCCCATTTTTCAGAGATAGAAACTGATGCTTAGAGGGGTTAGGTAAATGTGCCCAAGGTCAAACAGCTAGTAAATACGGAAGAAATCATTTAAACCCAGGCATTCTGAGTCTAGAACCTACATACACTCTTAACTGCTATTCAGTACTGCCCCAGACAGAACGGGCTTCATAGTTTGCAGGGCGCAGTGCAAAATGAAAACGTGGGGTCTCTTCCTCAATAACAGGAAATAATGCTGTTAAAAGTACTAAAATATATAACTTTATCCTTTCTTCTGTGGTCTCTCTCATGTCCTGTTATGGTGTTTTTGATTTGCCATTTAGTTGTGCTCTCCTCCCCTGGGCACCTTGGCCCTCTAACTGCTGGGTTCCCTGTCCAGCCAGGGCTGGGCTGACAGCCAAGCCCCTACCAAGGATGGGGAAATCCATCTTCCATTTCCGTGGACCTGCTGCACCAACCCACAGTGATGAGCTATCCCCCAAGAGATTGTAACCTCTGGAATGAGAATGGAAAGGAAGCTTGCCTGAAGCCAAATCACCCACCAAATCCCCTGCCAGATCTCCCAGGGTTGGCGGAGAGTGGCAGCAGAATATAAACTTCCCCCCAAAGCCCATGCCTCCTGGTCATGACTCTGGGCAAAGGGCAGTAGTGGTGGTGAGGTAAGACCAGGGAGGGGAAGGCTGCGTGGGTCCAGAGGGCCAACGTGCTTGAAAGCAACCCCTTAGAACCATGGCTGAGAAGGTAAGGAGAGGGCAAATGGTGTGATTACACATGAGCTGAGTCTCCAAATACCCAGCATGTGCTTCATTGTCCCACTGGACTTTGCTTATGAAACACAAATTCAAAAGTCGTTATTAAGAATTTCAACTCACGCCTGTAATCCCAGCACTTTGGGAGGCTGAGGCTGACGGATCACAAGGTCAGGAGATCGAGACCATCCTGGCTAACATGGTGAAACCCCGTCTGTACTAAAAATACAAAAAATTAGCCCGGCGTGGTGGTGGGTGCCTGTAGTCCCACCTATTTGGGAGGCCAAGGCAGGAGAATGGCGTGAACCCTGGAGGCGGAGCTTGCAGTGAGCCCGGATCGTGCCACTGCACTCTAGCCTGGGTGACAGAGCAAGACTCCCTCCCCAAAAAAAAAAAAAAAGGAATTTCAAGGAGGTTGCAAAGAACATGAAACCCCAAGTGTGATTCCTGTGGTATGACAGTGGTTGCATATCCCAGAAGCTGGCCCTGACCTCAGACCTCTTTTATCAAGCTTTCCCTGAATTAATTACAATCTTCTCAGTGTTCCCAAAGCACTTCTTACTTTTAACTGCAGCACTTCCTTGCGTGCTCAGCATATACATTATGTCTAGCCCTGAGGATGGTTTCTTCAAGAAGAGAACCTTGTCTCAGTCATGTTTATATCCTCAACAGAACCTGAGTTTTATATATGTTGTGTTCAATTAAGAATGAAATTCAATCTAAAGAAAATTTTTTACCTTAATAAATATTTTTAAGTTAAAAAAATATTTTAAAAGTATCTTTTCACTTTTTGAGCCAATTAATTTTGTTTTTTGAGACAGAGTCTTACTCTGTCACACAGGCTGGAGTGTAGTGGTGCGATCTCAGCTCACTGCAACCTCCGCCTCCCAGGTTCAGGCGATTCTCATGCCTCAGCCTCCCCAGTAGCTGGGACTACAGGCACATGCCACCATGCCCAGCTAATTTTTATAATTTTAGTAGAGACAGGGTTTCACCATGTTGCCCAAGCTGATCTGGAACTCCTGGACTCAAGTCATCTGCCTGCCTTGGCCTCCCAAAGTGCTGGGATTACAGGCGTGAGCTACCAGCCAGGGCCAATTAATTTTTACCCTGAGTTTTTAAATATAATTAAATCTTGTGATCAAATATATGAATAAGTAGAGAAAAGATAGATCTCCTATTTAGAGTTCCAAATAATTTAAGTAGTGGGTTTTTATAGTGACTTTTTTTCCAAAAAGTACCACATGGAAGGGGGAGAAGAGTTTCTTTACAGTGGAGAAATATGACAAAGACACCTCAGCCATGTGACCAAAATCAACATTATTCAAAAAGAAACTGAATATTAAAACAAACCTTTCCTTAATAGTAAAAAAAAATTAAAATTAAAATTAACATCATCAGTGATGTCATGTTGATGGTATGCATTCTTGGTAGGATGAAAATGGCACATTACCCCTGTGGTCTTCCTCCACACAATCCATAACCTCCATCTAACCATGAGAGAAAAAATCAAATGAATCCTAATTGAGGAACATTATCCAAAATACATGACCATTACTCCTGAAAACTCTCAGGGTCATCAAAAACAAGTACTGTCTGAGCGACTGTCACAGCCGAGAGGAGCTTAAAGAGGCATGAAGACTAGGGCCAGGCACGGTGGCTCACGTCTGTAATCCCAGCACTTTGAGAGGCTGAGGCGGGAGTATCACCTGAGGTCAGGAGTTTAAGACCAGCCTGGCCAACATGGTGAAACCCGGTCTTTACTAAAAACACAAAAAAATTAGCTGGGCATGGTGGCAGCTACTTGGGAGGCTGAGGCAGGAGAATTGCTTGAACCAGGGAGACAGAGGTTGCAGAAAGCTGAGATCACGCCATTGCACTCCAGCCTGAGCAGCGAGAGTGAAACTCTGTCTCAAAAAAAAAAAAAAAAAAAAAGAGACATGAGGACTAAATGTAACGTGGTATTTTGAATGGGATCCTAGAACAGACAAAGGACTTTAGATATAAACTAAAGAAATTTGAATAAAGTATGGTCTTTCGTTTATAACGTGCATCAATATTGGTTCATTAATTGTAACCTATGTTCCACATTAATGTAAGATGTTCATATGTTCATAATGGGGGACACTGAGTCCAGGTTATGTGGAAACTCTGTGCTATCATTTCTATTTTTTCATAAATCAAAATTATTCTTTAAAAACTGCCTTAAAAAATTAAACCTGGGGGAGGAGAATGTATGTCTGAGTGAGAGCAAGCGAGCAATGGGTGTAGAGAAGAGAGACAGCATTTTCTGAGCAACAAACTGTCCATGAGAAAGAATATATCTGTAAAATGCACCTATGTAACTTTTTAGCTTTTATATTAGATAATCAGCATTTTCTCCTTGAGAGGTTGCCCCTTAGGCCTAAGTCAGAGTTAATAGATTAAATAATAGTAAATGAACAGAATGTTTTCAACCTAATAAATAAACGACAAGTAACTAAATTACCAGAATTGGATGGAATGCACTCAAGACATGTGTGTTTGTGTGTGTGTGTGTGTGTGTGTGTGTCGGGGCTGCAGGGGGTGGTAGGGAGGGGGGCGCATGCATGTATGTGAACTCTGGGTGAACTCTCTGAAGCATTATCCAGAATCTCAACTGCACAGGTCAGTAAGTGATGTTATTACACCCATTTTACAGAAGAGGAAACAGAGGTCACTGTATTGGGTGATTGAAGAAGGGTTGTTAGTGAGTATTGATTTTTTTTTTTCCAAACATACTTCAGAAGTTGCTGTATAAATTGTATAGGCCAGTATACTTCTCGCCTTAGTAACAGCCTGGCAAAATGTTAAAATCACTCAAAGTGCTGAGTTAAGGCTGGGCATGGTGGCTCACACCTGTAGTCCCAGCACTTTGGAAGGCCAAGGCGGGCAGATCACTTGAGGCCAGGAGTTCAAACCAGCCTGGCCAAAATGGCGAATCCCCATCACTACTAAAAATACAAAAATTATCTGGGCGTGATGGCGCATACTTGTAATCCCAGCTACTAAGGTGGCTGAGGCATGAGAATTGCTTGAACCCAGGAGGCAGAGTTTGAAGTTAGCTAAGATCACCCCACTGCACTCCAGCCTGGGCAACAGAGTGAGACTCTGTCCGCCCCCTCCCTCCCCACAAAAAAAAAAAGAAAAGAAAAGAAGGAAAAAGATGCTACGTTAAGAGAGAGAATCAAATTCTAGTATTTGTGGAACCGCATTATGCAATGAGCTGGGCACATATGACTCTTCATTTAATCCGCATTAAACTAAGTGAAGGTGGTACTCTCACTTTATGGATGAGGGAACTGAGGTTCAGAGCGGTTGAGTAATTTGCTCAAGATCACACAGCTAATGTGCAGTGGAAATGGCATTGAACTCTGAATCTCAGATTCCGAAGCCCATGATCTTTCTATTACACCCCACACCTCTGCCAAATACAGCTATCCCTGAACATCTGAATCACTCTGGAGTTTTTTAAAAAATGCAAATATCCTGGTCCCAGTCTCTCATTCTTGGGGTGAGGGGGCAAAAGTACCTGTCTCTGGGTATTTTTTCTTTCATATTGAAAAATGCATTTAAATGCAAGACAATTAACTACTAATATTCCTTCCATCTATTATCAACCGCTGTTAACATTTGGACATATCACTTTCATTTTTTCCTGTGTCATTGCAGTTTCAAATATTACAAATTAACATATCATTTCTTAAGAAAAAAATTAGAAGATAAAGCTACAGTCTTTTCTCATCTCTCCTCTATCCTGATCATTCTAATTCTACAAACTTTCTAGCCAAGACAGCATCATTATGAGTTTAGCATATTTCCTTCCAGTCCTTTGGAAAAGTATGTTGATATTGACAAGTGTCATGCTATGCACATTGGTCTGCAGCCTCTTTCAGTAAGCACAATGGAGTGGCCAAGAGGATGGACTCCATGGATGCAGGGCTGTGGCTTAGAGAGGGTGACTTGACTTCTCTGTGCCTCAGTTCCTCATCTGTAAAATGGAAATAGTAATCGTATCTGCTTCATAGGGTAGTTCTAAAGATTAAATCACTTAATGCATGTGATCTAAAGATTAAATCACTTAATGCATGTGATCTAAAGATTAAATCACTTAATGTGCCCTCAGAATATTTATTAACTGTTAAGTAAGAATTACTATATATATATTTTGTGAATGCAACATTTAAAAAATGTATACATGCTGATACATATAGATCAGGTTCATAACTTTTAACCTCTGAAGTATAGTTCTTAATATCTGTGTATCATATTTTATTTATCATCCCTCTATTTTTGGCATCCATGGTGTTTTCTAGTTTCTATAGTCACAGACAATTCTGCAGTATTTTGTTCAATTTTTTTGGTAAGTAATATGCAAAAATTTCTTTAGGGTAGATACCTAGAAGTGGAATCTGGTCGTAGGATATGGACATTTTTAGTTTTAATCAGAACTACAAAGTTTTTCTCCAAATGTCCTGTAAGAATTTATACTCCCACTGGTTCAACATGAGAATACTCATTTCTCTATACATTTAAGAATATATGCTTATTATTGCCTTTAATCTTGAACAATATAATGAGTGAAATATGGTAATTTGTTGATTTAATGTTCATTTTTCTGACTATTAGTGAGATGTAGGTCATATTTCATAACATTTATAATTTGTCTTTTTGTAAATTGTGATTTGTCTACACATTGTATTTTTTGTGGCAAATGTGCCTTTTTCTTACCGATTTTTTGACATTTTATATACTCTGAATACTGTTATGTGTGTTACAAAGATTTTCTCCCAGTCTTTCTCATTTTACTTGGGTTTATGGTATAATTTGTCATACTGAAATTTAAAATTCTGATATAATCAATACTTTCAGTCATTTTTTCATGTGTTTTGGATTTTTGTTTATTCTTGAATTTTTTTTTTTTTTTTTAAATTCCACTGGTGACTCTGATGCCAAGTCGGGAATGAGAACCATTGTTCTAAGCTATTGCCCGGGAAGGGGTTCTTGCTGTGCATGAGAGACTGTGTTATCACTTCACATGAATTAAGTCATATTTAATACTCATCACAGTGCTGTGGGGAGTCAGCGATGCCATACTGATCTTAGAGAGGAGGAAACTAAACCTCAGAGACTCAGTAGCTTGTCTAAGGTAGACAAGGTGGTAGGACTTCAGAAATTGACCTAGGTCTATTATGCTAAAACCTCCGGCCTTATATTTTTTTTAATCAGAGAAAAACCAATTGTTATGAGAAAGCAGAATGACACAGCAGTTATTTTGCATCTCTTTTTGTTGTAAAGAGAACGATCTTTAAACTGGGAATGTTGAAACAAAATATTGAGAGCCAAGAGAAGCTTGGCTGGTAGATCTTGGTACCCTGTCCTTGGACTAGTGACTTCACCCCATCACCTATCTGTTACTTACAAGGGGGTGAATCAGGGAGCTATTTGGGGCCAAGGTTTTATGAGAAATCAAGAGATCACTATTTGCCCGTAGAAGAATTCATATCTTTGGTTCCAAACATTATAGTAGCCCCATGTTATGACATAAAGAGTAGGAGGAATATAGGCTTGATATTGGGCATCTAAATCCCAGATCTACCAGTGATTGACTTACTGGTCTTGCTATGCCTGGTGTGACTCTGAGGCCACAGAAGATGCTCACACAATTTTTATTCCTTTACCCCTTTCACGTGTTTTATTTTACCCCATCAGGAATCTTTGAGAAAGCGTGAAGATGAGAAAGATGTTGGAAGACTAGGGAGAGTAGAAAGCTTTTATTTTAAAGTGTTGTTTTTTGTTTTAATGAAAATCTAGAATGAATGACTTGTATTGTTTGTGAATACTTACAGAAAAATGGCAATGAGCAATAAGAGCTGGGGTTGAGCCATTCGCCAGAAGAAAAGTAGCTTGGTAGAGCAGGGGGACTGTGGTGTGCATAGTCTACTCGGGTGTTTACATCTCTCCCAACATCTTTGTGAATGAAATGGAGAAGCAAGCCATAGATGAAAATACGGATGAGACCTTTAAGCTGTGCAGTTTACAACACATTTCTGGACCCTATAAAATGAAATTAAAGGAAATAAGTGGCAAAACAAATGAAATAATCTAGACTATACTTTAGAGCAGTGTTTCCCAAATAATATTCTGTCAAAATCTGTATGATAGTAGGTATTTTATCAGAAAAGAATTCCAAGGGTCATTATATCTGAAAAATTCCACATCTAGGTTTTAGAGAGCCATAGTGCACATGAACTTATTAAAGACTCTGAGAAGTTCTGTAGGGAGGAAACCTGTTCAATGTAATCTCACTCAGCATTTCCTATATGTATTTACCATGGGACCCTGTTTAGGGAAGATCTCTTAATATCTTCCAGGCACTAGTGTTCCACTAAACTCATGCTGTTTTAGAGTTATGAACTCCAAACTATCAGTGATAACCTAGGTTTGGGGTCCTGAGGGATGGAATGGCATTGGGGTTAAGGATATACCATCTAGAGTCAAACCGTTTGGATTCAGAACCCAGTTGCACAACCTGTGAGCTTGAAGACCTCAAGAAAAGTATTTAACTTCTTAGTGGCTAGGTTTCCTCATTCTAAAAATTAAGATAAGAAGTAGAAGTTCTAGTGAATTGGGGCCAAATGATTAGGAGTATACCAAAACCCTTACCTGCTAACCTACAACATCCCACTGACCTCAGTAGATTGTTCCAACTTTCAATTATTTATGCATTGGTTTAAACATTTTCTGTAGTGCTCTATATTTTTAGCCTCTACTAGCTCATGTCCATGCCTTTTAGGAAAATACTCTCCTGAGAGTCTTTACTGTAAGTGGCTTAGTAATGGGCTACAAAATGAGAAGCAGGCTCCTGGGGGAAGTACACTGTTCACCTTACCACATATTCTCTAGGGAAGGGAACAAGCAAACAAGCAGATGTACAGAGCTCTGAGCTCCAAGGTCATCTCTGACGTATGTGGGTAGGTTCAAAGACAGCATCATTCAATTGATGAAGACACAGAGGCTCAGACTAAACAAGCTTCCAGGAGCTAGACACTTAGAGACAAAAACTGCTTCAGAATTTACCTTCCATTTTTACAGTAGACAGACCTTTTGGAAGCAAATGGGAAAGGCACAGTATCTATTAGTCATACCCACTTTTTTGTGCCCTACTCCTGCCTAGGGGATCCACTCCTCCCCCTCATCAGATATTCAATGATCTCATCAGATACCCAGTGATCATGACCTCATCAGATATTCAGAGATCAATGACCTCATCAGATATTCAATGATCACAGAGGTTGTGGCCTATTGATAGCATATGAGTTGTGATTATTGCTCCATACATAAGGTTGTTTTTTTTTGTTTGTTTTTTGTGTGTGTGTGTGTTTTTTTTTTTTGAGACAGAATCTCACTCTATCCCCCAGGCTACAGTGCATTGGTACGATCTCAGCCCACCTCAACCTCCACCTCCCTGGTTCAAGAGACTCTCTTGCCTCAGCTTCCTGAGTAGCTGGGATTACAGGCACCTGCCACTATGCCTGGCTAATTTTTGTATTTTTAGTTGAGACGGGGTTTCACTATGTTGGCCAGGCTGTTCTCGAACTCCTGACCTCAGGTGATCCACCTGCCTTGGCCTCCCAGGGTGCTGGGATTACAGGCGTGAGCCACCGTGCCCAGCCCACAGGGTCTTTTTGACCTAGAATATTTTACCAATTTGGTGGTATAGGAAAAGAAACACAAAGAAAAGACAGTTCTTTTCTCTAAAGGCGTGAGCTGAGCCAGATTAAGCTGCAACCCTGGCTTTCTCCTGCAAGGAGTCTCCCCTGAGTTAGGCAGCCCCAGCCACCTGGAAGGGAGGGTGGGGGAAGAAATAATCTCATGAAGTGGGAGGTGACTGAAAGAAAAAATGTCCAAAGAATCACACAGGAGACATGCCAAGAGGAAGCAAGAGTGAGATCCCAAAAGATGGTCTTTGGGGTGAGAATCCCATGGAAGGTCCAGCTTGAACCTCTCCAAGATCTCCTCCTCCAGACTAGAGTGGGGGATAATCTTGAGCTCCCTGTAGAATTTAATTGTGCTGCTCATACTTTCTTGAATATTTCTGGTTTCCTGTAAATGCCAGTGGGTTTAATTTCCATATTGTTGGTCAACTGGGGCATTGCTGGCCCTCCCAGAAGAGGAAATCAGTGAAACATGTAAGAAGTTCCATCAGTATCTCCTTGCGACTTCTCCAACCTTTGCAACTACCGTATCTCACCCCAAATACTGTTGTTGCCCCAGACAGTTCCTGTCTTGTCCCACTACAGTCTAGTCTTAAAACAGCTGCCAGAATGTGTCTTTTAAAACATGAATCAAATGATACCTCTCTTCTGCCTAATTACCTCTCATAGCTTCTTATATCACTCAGAGTGAAAACCAAACAAAGTTCAGGTAATGGCCAAAATGGCCTTCCATGATCTATTCCTGGTAACTTCTCTGCCTGGTGTCTTCACACCCCCGCTTCCTGCTCACTCTGCCCCAGTCACACCGGTCTCCTTGTTGGTCTGCCCTCACATTGTGCATTCTCTTACTCCAGGACCCTTGCACTGGCTGTTCCCTCACGTTTTTCTCCCTCACTGATTTCAGGTTCATGCTTAAAGGTTACCTGTTTATTTTTTTATGACTTCGTGGCTGCATTGTTTAAAAATAGCACCCCCATGCACAATGGTGTAGCCAGTCCCTCTTTCCTGCTTCATCTTTCTCCATGGTGCTGACCACCATCTGAAGACTGTATATTTTACTTATTTACCATAACTACTGTTTGTCTCCTCCTTTGAGAACATAAAGCTCCACAAGGGCAGAGATTTTTTTTTCTGCTTTTCCCACTGTTACACTCCAGCACCTAGAACAGTGGTTAACACAAAAATGGTGCTTAACTGAGTGAATTATTGAATGGTCCTGTCTATTTACCTAAGACCAGTGATTTAGGGCATTTTTTGTAAATGTCTTTGATGTTGTCCCCAGCAACCTCTGAAATAGGCCAGGACATAACTTCACTTAAGTTTACTCCAAGATAACAGCACATAGTGGTCCAAGAAGTTCTCCCTTGCCAGTCTATTCTCATCTCAAAAGATGCCTAGGCTTTCCTTCTTTTTGAAGTGTGCTCTCAAAAAAAAAATTAAAAAAAAGAGCTGAGAAAAATTTAGGGTAAAACAAATATTGAAGGATAAAATGACACATAAAATGTGATGTGCTCCATCTTTCAGAGAAATGGGTATCTATACCAAGTTGAGGAGGCAGAGTATAAGGAGTACCTACTGAATATATATTAATGAAGACAAAAATTATTAGGTGCAGACAAAAATTGTTGGGTGCTTTTGCTTTTTTAAACTCTCATTAAGCTGCCAGGTAAAATTATCTTTATTTTAAACACAGAATACCAACTTCAGAATGGCCAATTAATATATCCAAAGGTAGTGAGTAGCAGAACCAGAATTTGAACCCAGATAGCCCACATACTTGCAAGATACCATTATCTCTTGTCAGTGAATAAGATAGAGGAGGAGGAGGAGACGGGGCGCCCAGTATGCAGTCAAAAGAAGATCCAGAAAGACAAGCCAACTTTTCACCATTATGAACTCTGTTTCTATAGTTTTATTTACTTGTGACCAATCCCCCTTTAGAAAGGCTTTCTTAAAGGATAGGAGAAGAAAGTGGTTTCTGGTGAATCCTTAGAAAAATTGGTGATTCATTTCACCTTGCCTATATCTTCTGTTTGAATCCTGATTAGCAAGGTTTTATGCTGCCATCTTTTATGCATAAATTAAATATTAGACAAATCGTGAAATTGTTTTTGAAAAGTTCAAGCCTTTATTGCCTTCCCCGAGATGCCCACTTGGAGTAATATCAAGAGTGCTTTCTTTATCCCTCAGCAAAGATGTGGTGAGCGTATATGGGTCAATTTGTAAACCTACACAAACCTCTTGTTGAAAAGTAAAAATTCATTTGTTAAAAGTATGATCCTAATCAGGCTTGTAAATTAACTTTTGAGGCTCTCTTAGCAATCAAAATTATTGGTTTCTAAGGATCCATACTAGTAAATTAGAAAGACGCCAATAAGGAAATTACATGCCAAACTGGAGGGTTATTTTTTAACAAATTGACTCAAAGGGAAAGAAATGATTTAAACAATTCAGCTCTATGTTCAGTGTGTAATTAACCAGAAACTTCACTCATATAAGACTTTTGCCAAGTAAGTAGCAGTTACATAACTCCCACACCCCACCCCCCATTTGTCAGCCCGGGCATAATTTTTTAAACATTTTTTAATAATCCCATACCTATATCTATTATAAGTATTTACCCCAATGGTTATCATTATAACCATTTAACAGATAAAGTTAAGTTTTTATTATAAAAGTAATAAATGTGTCTGGGCACAGTGGCTCACGCCTGTAATCCCGGCACTTTGGGAGGCTGAGGCAGGCGGATCACGAAGTCAGGAGATCAAGACCATCCTGGTTAACACGGTGAAACCTCATCTCTACTAAAAATACAGAAAATTAGCCAGGCGTGGTGACAGGTGCCAGTAGTCCCAGCTACTCATGAGGCTGAGGCAGGAGAATGGCATGAACCTGGGAGGCGGAGCTTGCAGTGAGCCGAGATCACGCCACTGCACTCCAGCCTGGGCGACAGAGCAAGACTCCATCTCAAAAAAAAAAAAAAAAAAGCAATAAATGTTTCTAGGAAACTTGAACTATGATTTTAAAAAAAGAGAAAGAAGGAAACAAAATCATCCCTAAGCCCTTCATCTAGAGACCGCCACTGCACTCATGTCTTGAAGTGCTTACTGACACGTTTTTTAATACATGTTGTTGTTTTTGTTACTCACTTTTTTTTTTTTTTTTTTTTTTTTTTTTTGAGACGGAGTCTCGCTCTGTCGCCCAGGCTGGAGTGCAGTGGCGGGATCTCGGCTCACTGCAAGCTCCGCCTCCCGGGTTCACGCCATTCTCCTGCCTCAGCCTCCCAAGTAGCTGGGACTACAGGCGCCCGCCACTACGCCCGGCTAATTTTTTGTATTTTTAGTAGAGACGGGGTTTCACCGTTTTAGCTGGGATGGTCTCGATCTCCTGACCTCGTGATCCGCCCGCCTCGGCCTCCCAAAGTGCTGGGATTACAGGCGTGAGCCACCGCGCCCGGCCGTTACTCACTTTTTAATGATTGCCTAATCTTCCATTGTGTAATTATACCACAGTCCACTTCATCATTCCTCTATTATGGGAGTTTAGTTAGCTTAGAAGTTTTGGTGAAATGCTATGTGAATTTTCCCATAAGTTAAATCTCTAGCACTAGAAAAACTGAGTCATAAAACATAAATTGTTTTATTGTTATCCTCAAAGCTGTGGAAGTGGATGCTTCCAGGGGTGGGGTATGAGTGATGAGCACTGTATCCTATGGTCTGCTTCCCAGAACTTCTTCTTTGCTCCCCTCCCTTCCAAAACTCTCCCACAAATAAGCGTGCCAGAGGTGTGTCCATTCTCGGTTCTTGGATTTGCTGTGCTCTCAGCTCTACATAAGGCAGGGATTGGTTATGTCTCCTTTTGAAGTTTCATCTTAGGTAAATAGTAGGTGGAACCTACCCATTCTCTTTATTCCTGAGCCAAGAAGGATGACATTGCTCTTTGCTTTGTTTAACAAGTAATCTCTGTTTGCCAGAGAAAGCTTCAGATCTATCTATATCTCTCTGGCATTACCTCCTCACTATTCTCTCTCTCCCTAGTGGGGTCCCCTCTGTGGGTTTCCCTAGCCACAGCCCTCAGGGGTGTGTTGTCTGCAGTTGGAGCCATAAATAATGGCTGCACCGTGAGCCTGTTTGAGGTTACTTATTATATTTACTACACCCAGAGGTTTTAATTATTTGTGTTTGACATAATGGTAGTAATAATAATCAAAGTTGATATTTGTGGAGTGCTCACTGTATGTATGCCTGGCAGGAAAGGCAGTGTGGTTAAAAAACTAATGACTGAAATTAGAAAAAAAATGGGCCTCGCTCTCTAGCTACTTGCGGCCAAGCACCTTCATCTCTGATTTTATTTTTTTATGTCTCCCTTAACCTTTTCAAAGGATTGTTGGGATGGTCACAGAAAAGAATTCTATACTATAAAGTGTTACTTAAGTATGAAAAGGCATCACTACAGTTCTTTTGAACCTTATACCGTTAATGATCAAGGCAAAAGATACACCTCTTCAACTACAAGTTCAGTGAATTTTAATTTTTTGAAATTTTAGAGTTATTTAGTTATATTTTCAGATACTTTCTGTCCATTTAAATATTGGAATAACCCCTATTATGTGTTTGTTTGTTTTAATAAAGTGTATATGATACTCCTTGGTTTTCTCCAAAATAAATAGCATTACTAAGGAAATCACATACTTTCTGACTAAGTAGCAGATGATTTGCTGGGCATTTATGTTAGAGGACCAACTAAAATAAATGACTTTGTTTTTGTAATAACCATAAGAGCTAAAATATCCCATCTAAAGACACTGAAATTGAGAAGCTGTAGTAAATAATCATTATTTTCACATTTTTATGGCATTTAATGAAAGCAGCTTCCCAGCTCTTTGCACGAATGTGGGAGTGGGATGCTTCCATGCTTAGCAAGTGCTTCCAGCAGGAAAACACTGACTGATGACTGCAGGTTGAAATCTTTGTGTTGGGGGTTCAGTGTATTTTAGTAGACTTTGCCAAGTGTTGCTGCTGACCAACATTCATTTTTTAGTTCATTTCTGCTTCAGAACCAGTGTAAAGAGTCCAGGTTTTACAAGAAAACTGTGGCATAATTACAGATGAGCTCCAGTCCCCCACAGCCCATTCTTGGAAAGGGACAAGAGAGTTGTAAATAAAACTCTTGAGTCATCCAGCCTAATATTTTTTAGAGGATGCATTTGGACAAATTATACAACCCACCTTGTGCTTCTTATTTATGTCTGGTGATTTTGCACCTAGCACTCAGCAGATGCCATAGTAATCCAGAGGAGTCCAAGGAATTTGGTTCTACAATTAGGGACATTTGAGACATCAAGCAAACTCTGATACTCAGGCAGTTATTGCCTTTGAGAAAGAAGTTATTGCCTTTTTTCTGATAATGCATCACAGCTACATTCCTTAAAAACTCTAAGACTATTTATACTTGTGATGTTCCAACATTTTTTGAGAGCATTTTAAAAATTGTTTTTTCACTGAGGTGTTTAAGAATAGCCAAGAATAAATGTCAGTTTGAATTATATATATATATATATATATATATATACACACACACACACATATATATGAGAGTTAATATGAAAATATAAAAAATTATTACAAATCAGTAAAAAATCTCTATAATAAGAAAATGGTATAAACTGATAATTCATAAAAGAAATGCAAATGGCCACTAAACCTAGGAAAAATGTTTAGTGTCATCAGCAGTTAAATAAAAAATTGAACAATGAGTTATTTGCTGTTTTCATCTGTCAAGTCAAGAATATTGAAAATCCTTAAAGGTGGTACAGGTGAGAAACATGGATCCTCTAGTGGGAAGATAGAAGAGATGAGTATAGACTTTCTGGAAGGCAATGGGACAATATATAGAGAATCTTTAAAGGGTAGTTTCTGATTAAACAATTTGACCCCTAGGCATTTATTCTGAGAAATCAGTTAGACAAGTAGGCAAAACTTTATGTATATTGCTGACCGTTATTTCTAGTGGCAGAAAAACAAGAAGCAACATACCCATCACTAGGGTATTGGTTAAAGAATTTATGACCACATCTGTGCTGCGGATCATCAGGCAGCCACTAAAAATGGTCTGATGAGGGTACGAATGGCTAATGTAAAAGCAGGAAATATCTTATTCATCCTTGCATTGTCCAAGTACCTAGCCTGGCCCATGATATTTGATTTAAAGACGATATTCCTCAGGGAGATATGATGTGCTCTTTTTTTCCCGTTGGATTCCTGAAATTCTCTTTATTTAGCCACATAGACAACAGAGTAATAGTCAAATCTGAGGGTGGCATGGAATATGATGGACTTTTTCCATTTTCCTACCCACAAACTCTTCTCATATCCTTGGATAATTTTGATCCTTTTGAGGTGATTATAGAAGACGTCCTGAATGTAATATCTTCTTACCATTTCCACTCCCACCAACATAGACATAGCCACCTTCACGTCTTGTCTGCATTTCAGCAATGGCCTCTTGACAGGACTTGCTTGGTCTATCTTATCCCTTAAAGTTTATTCTCAACATAGAAATTAGACTGGTCCTTTTAAGCCTATGAGATCATATTCTTCCTCTGCTCAAAATCTTGCAAAGATCCCTATTTCTTTCAGAATCAAAACCATAATTCTTAAAATGGCCTGCAATGACCCTGTGATTATTCTGACACTGTCTCCTGTTATTTTCCCCTTGACCTCATCCACTCTCATCAACCCACCTTGTGGCTGTCTCTTCAACAGGCCAGGCATGCTGCCACCTTCCGGCCTTCACCTCTCTCAACTCCTTTAGGACTGTACATAAATCTTGCCATCCCAATGAGGCCCCATGTGCCTGCCCTATTTAGTCCTGCAATCTGCCCTCACCCTGTCTCAGGAATGCCCATTTGCTTCCCCCTGCTCTGTGTTGCATTTTTGCCTTAGTCTTTCTCATGATAACATGCACAAATGAGTTTCTGTTTGTTGTTTGTATCCCCTCAACTTGAATGTAAGCTTTATAAAGGAAAGCATCTTTATTTTGTTCACTGGTGGATCCCAAGCCGCTAGAAGGATGATTGGCCACTGTTGGGTGTTACAAATGTATATATTTATTGAATACCTTGAATGGAAAGTAATTTTATATACATATATATATATATATATATATTTTTTTTTTTTTTTTGAGACAGAGTCTCGCTCTGTCGCCCAGGCTGGAGTGCAGTGGCGCGATCTTGGCTCACTGCAACTTCCACCTCCGTGGTTCAAGCAATTCCCCTGTCTCAGCCTCCCAAGTAGCTGGGATTGGGATTACAGGCACACACCACCATGCCCAGCTAATTCTTTTGTGTTTTCAGTAGAGACAGGGTTTCACCATGTTGGCCAGACTTGTCTCCAACTCCTGACCTCAGGCAATCTGCCCACCTCGGCCCCTCAAAGTGCTGGGATTACAGGCGTGAGCCACAGCGCCAGGCCTATATAAATATATTAGTGGTAATTATATTAGATAATTTTTACTGAGCATTTACTATGTGCCAAGTGGTGCACATGTATCATATCATCCAACACTCCCAATGAACTTATGAAGCAGGTATAATTAAGACCAGCAAGTTACAGATGGAAAAACTGAGGAATGGAAACATGAAAGTACATCGTCTCACAAGCAATAAATTTAGATATTAGATATAAATCAAATAAGTCTGACCCCCTATTCAAGCAGAACAATGTTGCTTCTATATTATTTATTTATTGTAATTCCATAGAATTTCGTTTGGAAAGTGGGGGTGTTTCCTATGTAAATATTTTTGGCAGCCACTGTCCTAAATATTTTAACCAAATCAAAATCTTATAGTGGCAATTCTAGGCCTTTAGCAGATTTTCATGTGATTAAATTGTGACATGTGAACTAACTGCCCCACCTCCTGCCACTTAGTACTTGGTTTTAAAGAAGAAAAAGTAAACAACTTTTGCAAATTTAAGGACTTTTTTATACTCTTATAAAAATAATTGTATTCTTGAACTCTCCATTTTGTTGCGTTAGGTTTTCCTGTTCTGGTTCTGCATCTTTGGCCTGCGTTAGTTCCAGTGACTGTCTCCTCACCCTCCCCATTCTCTCTTCTAGGAGAATGATGTAAACCTGACCCACATTGAATCTAGACCTTCTCGTTTAAAGAAAGATGAGTATGAATTTTTCACCCATTTGGATAAACGTAGCCTGCCTGCTCTGACAAACATCATCAAGATCTTGAGGCATGACATTGGTGCCACTGTCCATGAGCTTTCACGAGATAAGAAGAAAGACACAGGTAAGAATTAGAGGAATTTTGCAACATAAGTAACTCCACACTGTCTTCATAAAATAACAGCAATATACATATTTAACAGCATATTTAAATATATGTATATTTAATATATATTGCTGTTATTTTGCGGAAGCAAAATTAATATATATGTATTGGAAATAATGCCTTGGAAGACTGTTTGGGGGATTAAATGAGTGGACATAGGTTGGGGACCTAGGCAAGTGCCTGGTATATTTTAGACATATAGTGAATTTTAGTTATTTTTCCCCTTCCTAAAGATAGCTATTTCTTTTTTCTTTTTTTTTTTTACTTTATAAGCTTTTAATTTTTATTTATTTTTATTTTTCTCTCTCTTTTTTCTTTTGACTTTTATTTTAAATTCAGGGTTATATGTACAGGTTTGTTACACGGGTAAATTGTGTGTCATGGGAATTTGGTATACAGATAATTTTGTCACCCAGGTAATCAGCATAATACCCAATAAGTAGTATCTAATTTTCAACAAAACCCATGAAAGCAAGCAATGAAGAAAGGAATTCCTAGTCAATAAATACTGCTGGGATAACTCGAAAGCCATATGCAGAAAATTGAAACTGGACCACTGCCTTTTACCATATACAAAAATCAACTCAAGATGATTGAATGGATTTTTGAATCTCTCCACTCCAACCAAAGGGATCTCTTCAAGTCCTTTTTGTAACATGCCAATTCCAGAGCTGGAGACACCTGGCTCCTTGTTACTAGGGCTTTCATTGTCATTTTCCATCTTCTTATCTGTCTCTTCTTCTCATACAATCTCCTTGTGGGCAGGTAGACTCTCTTACCTATATTTATATCCTCAGAGTTTAGCACACTGCTTGGTACACAGGTGCTCTGCACATATTTCTGAGTGAATGACTAATATAGGAGTTGTCAAAACTTGCATTGTCCCATTATTTACGTACTGAAATGCTACTCATCCTCCGGGGAGGAAAAGGGTGGTAGAGTATAGAAATTATAAGTGTGGGCTTGAAGTTGAATAGACTGTGGTTCAAGTCCTACTTCTTCCACATATTGAGTTTGATACCCTGACAAATTGCTTTAACTGCCCTGACCTCAATTTTTCATAGGGCTTTTGTGAGGATTAAATGAAGTCATACATAAACAGTGCTTAGAACAGTGCCTGGTGCACTGTAGGGCTGGACAAATGATAGCATGTGGTTGTTATTATGATTATGATTAGCCTGAAAGCAATACAGAGGAAGAAGGTGACTGCTTTTTAGGGCCTCAAGCATATTCAAATGAACCATTTTTTAATAGACTTTTTATTTTATTTTTTATTTTTATTTTTATTTTTTTAGACAGAATTTCGTTCTTGTTGCCCAGGCTGGAGTGCAATGGTGCGATCTCAGCTCACTGCAACCTCTGCCTCCTGGGTTCAGGCAATTCTCCTGCCTCAACCTCTTGAGTAGCTGGGATTACAGGCATGCCCCACCACGCCTGGCTAATTTTTGTATTTTCCATAGAGACGGGATTTCACCATGTTTGTCAAGCTGGTCTCAAACTCTCGACCTCAGGTGAACCACCCGCCTCAGCCTCCCAAAGTGTTGGGATTACAGGCATGAGCCACTGTGCCTGGCCTTAATAGACTTTTTAAAAGAGCAGTATTAGGTTTACAGAAAAACTGCACAGAAAGTACAGAGAGTTCCCAGGTCTTTCATCCCTACCTCAGTTTCTTCTATTAACATCTTGCATTTGTGTGGTATTTTTTTTTAGAACTGATGAGCCGATATTGATATATTATCACTAATTGAAGTCCATAGTTTATATTCGGGATCATGCTTTGTATTTTACAGTTTTATTGGTTTTGACAAATGCGTAATGTCATGTATCTACCATTTCAATGTCATACAGAATAGTTTCATTGCCCTAAAAAATGCCCTGTGCTCCAGCTATTCATTCCTTCTTCTTTACAGACTCCTTCCAGCAACCACTGCTCTTTTTGCTAGCTCCATAGTTTTGCTTTTTCAAGAATGTCACATAGTTGAAATCATACAGTATGTAGCCTTTTCAGACTGGCTTCCTCCATTTAGCAATACATATTTACAAATCCTCCATGTCTTTCTGTGACTTGATAGCTCATTTCTTTTTGTTCCTGAATAATATTCCATGGTCAAGATGTACCACAGTTTGTTTATTCATTCACCTATTGAAGGACATCTTGGTTGCTTCCAATTTTTGATGATTATGAATAAAGCTGTGAATAAACATTTATGTGCAGTTTTTTTGTGTGAAGATAAGTTTTCAACTGATTCAAGTAAATACCTAAGAATGTGATTGCTGAGGTTAACTTCTTTAAAAAATTATTTTTTTTCTACTGTAAAATCGAGTTTCTTTCAAAAACACTTGGAAAGACTTTGGGTCAAGAGGAGTTCAGGCACCATAGCTGAAAGAAGCATTTGAATAGGCAGAGATGCTTTAAAATGAGACAAGATCCACCCCGTAAAACAGGCCACTGAAACATTTTTTAAAAGGTAGCTCCATGGCCTTTCTAGGAGACTCATCTCTGCCTTCATTCTCCTGTAGGTATAACCAAGGCAAGGAAAGCCCACTCCAGTGTTCTGGCCTTGTGGAGAGTGGACAGCCATGCAGATGGGCTCAGGTCCCTGGAGGGCAGGCACTTGGAATTCCTCCCTGGATTAGTCCTATCCTGCCTTCTTTCCTTTTCAGCCTCCCAAGCTGCTTCCCCAATGACTGCCCTCCCTTGCTTTTTTCCGGCCACCTGCTCTCAACAGGAGCTGCAGACCCTTTGGACAAAGGGCCTGCCAGATCCTGGGGCAATTCAGCCTCTGGTTGGAGCAGGTGGAGGCTGGGCCAGCTGGGGCCATGAGGAAGGAAATCAAAGCAATTGACAGGCAGACAGCCAGCCCCTGGAGGAGCCAGGGAATATATAGTAAACCAGCTGGAGAGCCGGCAGCCTGAACTGGAGGCTCAGAAAGGAGGTTCTTAGTGGGGACATTGAGGGGGAGTTAAGAGTGCAGATTCAGGAAGCACGGCGACCACACTCGGTGTGACTTTGAGCAAATCATTGACCCTTGCAGTCTCCCACTGTATCAAAGGGGAGTCACAAGAGCCTCTGCCTTATAGGATTGGTGAAATCACACAAGTGAAGCACTGGGAACAGAGCAGAGCATGTTTAATTAAGGACTTAAAGTTATTCTCTATTCTTACCATTATCATCATTATTATTATAAACACTGGCATGAGCACAAGAGCGACCAAAATGCAGCCTGTACACAGCTACTTTTTCAGAGTCTGGCAACTGGAAAATGACCTGAGAGGTCATGCAGCCCTACAGACCCCTTCATTTTTCATTGTGAAAACAGAGGCTGTGACTTGCCTTAAGGCAAACAGTGGGTTCTGGGGGGTCATGCGCAAGGGTGTGTTGAGAGCAGCTCTGTGCCGGGCACAGTGCTAGGAAAGAAAGGGTCAATCTGCCTGTTCTTAAGGAGCTCACAGCCTGGCAAAGGGGAAGACACACCCAGGTAAGTAGAATAGAGGGACAGGTGCTGTGACAAAGACAGGGTTGGTGTGATTCCGCCTGTTCTCCACTCATGTTTAGCTCTGAGGATCCAGGAAGTAAGAAAGTAAAAAAGCTAATGTTTTCCTTTTTTTGAGATGGAGCCTCACTCTGTCGCCCAGGCTGGAGTACAGTGGCACAATCTCTGCTCACTGCAACCTCCGCCTCTCGGGTTCAAGCCATTCTCCTGCCTCAGCCTCCCCGAGTAGCTGAGATTACAGGCACATGACACCACGCCCGGCTAATTTTTATATTTTTAGTAGAGACGGGGTTTCGCCATGTTGTTCAGGCTGGTCTCACACTCCTGACCTCAGGTGATCCGCCCACCTCGGCCTCCCAAAGTGCTGAGATTACAAGTGTGAGCCACAGTGCCCGGCCTAAAAAGTTAATGTTTTCACATAGAGGCATCATGTAATAAAAGTTGGGTTTATTGGAGCCTGGAGGAAGCACAGATTCAATTCCCTAATGGGGCTTCTCGCTTTCTTGCTCAAAATGTCAAAGTTGTTGATATTTGAAGTGGGATGACATTTTCCCTAGGGAAGAAAAACTAGCTAAGACCAACCCTTTAAAATAACATGTGTTTTGTGACCCTTATTTCTTCAGATGATTGGTCACCCAATCCCATAGTGGCTGCCCCCACCTGACCTTACCATACCTGTAATGAGAGAGCTGATGTTGACATGCCACGACCTGGCATCTGCCAAGAAAGACTCTTTGGGTTTCTGTGGTAGTTTCCGTGAAGTGGGGTCTGGGCCAAGAAACAGGTTTTTCTTAAGGGGAACAACCATTCCTTTGCAAAGTTGCCCTTTCTATAGGACTCAGTGGGAGAACAGTCAGAGGAAGAAAAGCATTGTAGTAGATCTGAACCTTTGATTCTTTCTCCGGACAAAATGCCCTTTTTATTGTGGGGCTCAGATCTCAGAGGCGAGTCTGACAGCAGGTTCAAGTAGGAGATCTGAACCCCTCAAATCAATTAAGCTAAACTACTTTCCACTCTAGTTTTTAAACCATTCAAAAAGCCATGTGGGTGATAGAAAATAAAAGTTTTTCAGTTTCTTAATTGCGAAAGTTCCCCACCCAAAACAGCTTAAGAGAAGGTTAATTACAGCGACATGGTAAAGAAACCCCAACCTTCTCAAATGCCTCCTGGAGAAGCTGATGTGAATTTAATAGGATTTTAATCCAGAGAGTCTTTTGAATACTTGAGGTCTATTCTCCTGCTACCCTCTTTCCTGATGACTTCAAATCCTTCTTCAACCCAACATGAAAGAGCATTAATATCTTTCATCGATCAATCTACTAATCCTTTTACCTTTCCCTTTGAGTCGACTGCATGACATTACATTTAGTGGGGGCTAGAAAATTCCTACGTGGAGAGAGATTGCAGCCAGGAGAAGCAGACAGACACAATGTCTTGGGTAGACAGAAGTTAGGAACATCACCATTTGAGAAATATGTTTGCAGTTATTTTCCAAGAGCAGATAAATATCTGTTGGGTTTTGTTTAATCTATGGTGATTATAAGGGTCCTGGTGGGGAAGAAAAGTGAGTTCAAATTGCCAGAACAACTACTGGTTCTGTGGAAAGCAGAAAGACCTATCTGCCTGTCTATCTATCTATCTATCTATCTGTCTATCTATCTATCCGTCTATCTATCCATCATCTATCATCTACACCTGTCTATCTATCATCTATCTACCTATCTATCTGTCCATCAATCATCTATCATCTATCTATCTATCTATCTATCTATCTATCTATCTATCTATCTATCTATGTTGTCTGGGAACACTTATGATTACTGTGAGAAGACAAAAGCAACATCATTATAGTCATTCCTTCCCTCTTGTTGCCCCTCCTTGCCTTCTTGAGTTTCTTCTGCTTCAACATTGCTGACCTGAAGAACTGTGCTGAGTAAAGCTGACATTTCAGATCAATTGGGGTTGAAGGGAGGATAGGATTCCTTAGAGGGCTCTGAAAAGCCCCTGGGATTGTGGGCAAGATAATACATGGGTGTGCATGCATAATTTTTAGGAGACAAGATTTTTCAAAGGGGCTATGGTTCCCAAAGAGTTAAGAATTTTTAGAGAGAAGCCGCTTAGGGCTGGAAGGGAATCCATCTGGTTAGAGTTTTTCCCCACTCCCACCACCTGCACTTTTCTTTCCTCTCTCCTTTCCTCTGCTTGGCTTTTCTGTCTCCACCTTCCCATTGCCCTCTTCTCAGTTCTAAACCTTCTCCCGTGCATTTCACTTTGTGCATTCCATGTGTGCCTTTCACAGCTGTAGATGTATGTGGCTCTGTGTCTGCAGGAGACCAAGTATCTGCATGTTTGCAAAAACACACAGGATTGGCTGTCTTTTTCAGTCTTTACCTGGATGCTTGCTGGATGCACTGATGTAGCACTAAGTCCTGGCAGCTGGGGAGGTCACTCGTTTCAGCAAACTGCCTCACTGAGACAAGCAGACTCCAGCTGAGAGGATCAGCCCATTCAGGGGGAGGTGACACCAACCCAGGAGTGGGAAGCAGAGTCCCTTCATATCCTTGGTAGACTGTCTGCTCCCTGCAGTCAGTCACAGGCAACTCTATTCATTGGCAAAGGAAGATCCTGAGCAAATGCTATTTCTGCAGCCCATCTAGTTTGCCAGGTCACAGAGCTTCAAGCTCAGGAAGATTACAAAATTATAAGGAGGCTCTCATTCTAAGAGGAATCCCTCAGTGATATGCCACACCCAGTGTTTTCCAAATTCTTTCGCATTAGGTTATCTCATTTAAGCTTTGCAACAACCAACTCAGGCAGCTAAAGCAAACATAGTATTATTCTTGTTTTCAATATTAGAAAACAAGTCAGAAAGGTATAATTAAAAGGTTGCATGGATTTTCCAGTTCAATTCCTGGGCTGTAGCTGTTCGGCCAAGTTGCTTTCCCTCTTTAGGCCTCAATTTTCTCATCTGCAAATGAAGAAATCCAGGTACCAGTGTGGTTGTGTGGATTATATGATATAATTTGCATAAAGTGCCTAGCGTGTAGGGCCCATGCAAAAGGTTACAAGTAAACTTACCCTTAAGTCTCTCATAAGGGTACACAATGAATCTTAGGGTTGAGCAAGTCCAAACTCCCAAAACTCCTGAAGTTTGATAAACAAAGGCAACCGTGAAATGCCATTTGGGTCAGTCCAAAAGATTGTGAAAGGTAGAAAAATTTAGACTGGGAATACATTTTCTCTGTGTGACAGGTGTGTTCTCTCAATTGAAGAAGGAAGTAAAAGGACATGGAATGACTAACTAAATATCACTTTGCCATCATGCTGGATTGAGGGAGTATTGTCGTGATGCACTAAGGGCCATGAATTTAGAGTCAAGAGCCAGGATTTGGGTCTCCATTTTGTACACTACTAGCTAGGTTTGAATTCCATCTGACACCCTTCCAGATGGATGACCGCTTCTCCTTCATCTGTGAAATGGAGCAAAGACCCACTCTCCCAATTCCTGTGGCTCATGGAGGGGATTATGTGGAGTACCCTGTGCATAAGGGTGCTTGAAAGATCAAATTGGACTTGCTTGAGTTGAATAGGCCCTTGATCTTAGACATCCTTAAGTTTCAATAGGGAGAGCTCTCTATGATCTATAACCCCAGCCAATAACAGGTCACTTGTCACCACCAGCTCCGTGGACATAGACACTTAGCAGGCCAATAATAATATATAAAGAGTTGGTGGCAGCCACCACCTCATTGAAGCCAGGCTTACCTAGCAGCCACGGAGACAACTTCATGTGTGGGATTGTATGAGGGTCCCTGTGAATGATCTCTCATTTCCAAATATTTTTTGTGCTTAACATCATCCACTTGACTTTGTGCTAGATTGCACATGGCACTGGCATATGAGATAGAAGGTCAGCTTTTCATGCAGCTTTTCTTTCTCCTTCCCTTCTTTCTTCCTCGTTCCTTCCCTACTTCCACCATCCTCTTTCCTCCTTGCTTCCTTCTTTCTTCTTTCCCTTTTTTCTTCTCATCTTCCTTTCTCTTGTACCATTCTGACAATACTCAAAACCAATAGCCTCTCTTTTTTTCATCCTCTTCGACATTTTTGTAGCATTTGATACAAATATCCCCCAGGAATTCTCTCTTTCCTTAGCATGTTATGAATTATGTGGCCCTTACTTTTTAAAAACCTTGACTGTTGGGATTTTCTTCCTTCTCTTACTACTCCTTCTCAAACAGCACAGAGTCAGCGTTGCCAACTTCCTCTCTCATTCACATCTATCTCCTAATTCAGTTGATCATTTATGCTACCGATATTGATTGAGTGCCCACTCGGTGTCAGCCACATGATAGGATGCAATAGTGAAAAAGACAGACATGGTGCCTAGACCCATGCATTTTGTAATCTAGTAGGTTGTGGCTACATGGCATAATACATGGCAATGATAGAGAAGATGGCATGCCTCAGTAGTCTTAGGAGGTGCACCAAGGCACTGAGCCCAGGCGTGGGGTCAGTTGATGAGAAGAAGGGGAGCAGGGCCAAATAAGTGCTCCTGGAGTGACATAACCAATACATGGAGGAGGCTTTAGATGTCTTCTGTTTGACCCAATGTTGCTTGACCATAACTAGGGTTGTCAGTGACAGGTAACCAGATCTCAATGCAATGGTGAGCTCTCAGAAGACAGAATTAGATATTTGGGGATATGGGGGCCAACCTGCCAATGGATAATGTTTATGAGATACATAGTATCTTAAAAAGGATATTGGGAGGGTAGTTGTAATTTAGGTGGGTGGTTGGAATAAATAGCCCTACAGGTTATTTTATTTATTCATAATTCCACTCATATCTATTCACTCACTCCCTCCGCTTATTAAGCACAGTTTCACTCTTTACTTCATGTGTGAGATCCCTTTTATTCATCTGGTTTGGGGATTCTTATTTTTCCATGTGAACAGAGAGAACAGATGCTTTGTCCTAAAATCACCACTCCTGACTTCTGACCACTGCTGTCTCCAGGAGGCAGAGGGTAATAGCTGGGCATCATCAGCCAGCCTTTGGCTCATCATTCTTGCCAAGAGCTTCCTGAAGAGCATTCCTTCTCCAGAAAGAAAGTAGAAGCTACTTAAAAGAGAAGAATAAAACCCTCAAAAGTCTTCCTCCTGCAGGATGTTGGCATGCCATCTCTTCTTCCTTTGTGGGAGCTGTGGAGATCAGCACACAGGGACTGCTTCTCTGGGGGGCTGGAGGCCATTGCCTAAGAGGAGACATCCGGGAGCCTGGGAGGAGGTGGTGAAAACAGCCTTCTATTTCAGACCCAAGAAACCAGGATTTATTGCTCTCTCTGAGACAGGCTGGAGGCAAGCCTGGGTGCCTTGCTGGCTAACCCCTGGGGCTGGTGAACATCGGGTGGAGGGAGGGGCTAAGATTGGACTCAGCCTGCACCTTGAACTGCTGTAAATTGAATGGGCCTCCTCTGACCCACTGGCCAGGAAGCAGGCTCTGGCCAGGCCTGGGGGGTCTTTTGCTCAGTGGTGCTCCTGAGCCAGCCACCCCTTGGCGTCCCGGCTGAGCAGTTGACCCCGACTTAATGGGACCACTACGTGGGTGTCCAGGGCCAGCTCTCCAGCGGGCTGCTTCCTTTGGAGCCAAATCAATATTTATTAATGATCTGCCCCCACCGGGTGCCTCCGCTCCACAGAGGGCCTCTGTTGCCCCAGCCTGCCCAAGTCATTCATTAACCGCGGAGCCCAGCCGCCCGCCGGAGAGGCTGTTAAGGGGCTCACAGAGGCCAGCCCACCGGCCGAGGTATTTGGCAAGGCCATTAATGAGCTAATCTGATTTAACTTTTCAAAACGGAGGCCTGGGTCGCTGGGGTCAGTCTCTATTTCCAGCTTTGTGAGAGAGACCGGGTAGGGGGAAGGGACCTGCAGCCTTCACTAAAGAAAATAAGGGGTATGTGAAGAGAACTTAGGTTAAAAAGTGACTATCCCTAAATCCAGGGATGCTCAGGATGGGGCAGACTCAAGGCTGTCCTAGGGATCTTCTTCAAGCACCTTTAGAGCCTTAGTTTGTCACGCTTCCTTTCCTTCTCAAGGTGGGAGAAAAGGAATCTAAAATTTAAAAGCACCCCTTCACCACCACCACACCTTTATTCTAAGCCCAGCATTGCTTTTTGGTGAAGTGCATCGGCTGCAAAATTGTTCTTTCGGCTCAGCTAGCTCAGTGATCTTGAGCAAATCACTTTGTCTCTTTGAGCCTATTTGCTCATCAGTGAACAGCAATAATGTCTACCACCTGGGACTGTTTTGCGAATTAAAGGAGATGATGAAAGTAAAGCACTTAGCACAGTATCTGGTGCATAATAAGCGCTCAAGAAAATGTAACTTTAGAGGAAAAAGGGTAGTCCTACCTTTTTGCCTGGGAAAAATCAGAAGAGCCCAGGTGCAGAGGTTAGAGACATAAGCATGGACTGGCTTGGCCTCTAGTGGCCTCTGGGACCACTATCTTAGTCAGACAAGCAACTCTGGAGTTTATTATGAGGCTCAGGTGCAAGGACTGATGCCACAGATGCACCTGTTTTGGGTCAGTTTCTTCCCACCCCAAAGAAGGAGGCAGGCAAGTGCTCAGCACCTTGCCCATTTCACAGATGCAAAGCCAGAGACGCAGGAATTAAGTAGTTTGCTCAGACTTCCATGTTGTGTGGGTGGGAAAGATGAGACTTGAACTCAGACCTGCTGGCTTCAAACCCAGGATGTGCACACCCTTTGCACAATGTAAAGAGTCAGCACATGTGTCAAGGCTCGGCACTGAGTTTGTCTGGGGTCCTCTGTGGTCTCTCCTGAGGTCCTCACATTGCCTGCTTCACAACTCTGCAAGCTGGGAAGTGAGCCACATCAGGGATCGACCCCCAGTCCCCAACACCCAGCACCCAGGTGCCTCTCCCTGGTCTTGTTCCTCAGGCTTTGTCCCTGCTCTCCAACATGACAGCTGGTGAATTTCTCTTAATGGTTAGGTCTGACCTGGGTCCTCATCCTACCCTAGAAGACAAATAGGCTGCACCCAAGGGCATTAACTTTATGTAAGGGAATAGATCAAATGTGGAGCTGGGCTGCTGCCTGGAGGAAGTGAGCACCAGAGCTTCTCACCCTTTCTCACTTGTCCTTCTATAATGATAATACCACTATCAGATACTTAGAAGCACTTGTGTGCCAGACACCATTCTAAGAACTCTTCATACATGAGTTCATTTTAATCCTCCCATCAACCCTCTGAAGGACGTACTATTAGTATAGCTATTTTGTAAATGGGAAACTAGGGAACAGAGGGCTTAAGTAATTTGCACAAAGTTCCAAAGTAGAGATTGGAGCTAGGTGGTCTGGCTCCAAAGTGTGTATGATGAGTCCCCAGGCTTTGCCACTTCTCTGGCCTGGCTGTGTTTTGGACCTTTTCTTGAAGATGATGGGGTCCTGAAGCCACCAAAGGCCCCTGGACTCAGGTGAGCACCCTGCAGCCTCGCAGTGCTACCTCGGGGTCCCTCACAGCCTCTGCGACAAGGTGCAGAGCTCAGAGGTCTGGGATGTGGTGAGCTGTTTTGATCTTTGTCTTCTTTTTACAAAGACTTGAATCCTCTGAGTCTTGGCAACTTTCTCAAGTTCTTCAAATTTTTTGTTTTCGTTTTGTTTTATTTTGTCTTGTTTCTCCTACCAAGAGGGCTGAATGAAGCCAGGTGGCCCGATAAGAATTTTCCTCTGGAGAAGGAAAAAGTCACCCAGAGCTAGAAATATGCTGGTTCTGCTGCCCTCTGGCGTTCGCTGAGCGCCAGCCAGCCTGCACAGCCCTGAGTCAAGGTGGTGCACCCTGACTGAGGTCTGTGGGGAAGAATGTTGTTTCTCTGGTGGGAGGAGAAAGGAAAATGAGGCTGTGCATTTGGGAGCTGAACAAATGTAGTGACTGTACTTCTGAAAAATAAATGAGGTTGACACATTGATTGAAGTGGAGCTGACTTTTCAAGTATCATCTGGCCAGCCTCAGCCCTTCAGAGGATCCCACAGGTCTCTGAATATGAAACTCAAAAGGGTTTGCTGCGCCGATAAATCTAATACCCACATGTTACAGAAACTAAAGCCCAAGATTAGAAACCTCTTAATACCCAAGCTGGACAGAGAACCAGCTTCCTGATCCCAATCTCTGTTCTTTCCTCCTCCCTCCTCCTCTTCTTCCTCCTCCTCCTCCTTTAATCATCATCATTAAAATCTTTGTCATATTAATGGTTAACATTGATAAAACACATATTATGGGCCACTGTGCTAAGATGTGTCATATTGCTGCAGCATTTAATTCATCCAATAATACGGAAAGAGCATTTTAATTCATTTTGTGAATAAGGAAACTAAGGCTCCAGGAGATAAGACACTTGCCAGTTACACAACGAAATAAGTGGTAGAGACTTTCTAGGCTTGCTGGAAAACTTTCCACTCTGCTCTCTGCTATGATAAGCTAAGGATACAGTAGAAAAAAATTTTATATATATATATATATATATATATATATATATAGTGTATATATATGCATATATATACAGATATATATAGTATGTGTGTATACGTGTATGTGTATATATACATACACACATATGTAACTCACAGCTGAGCAGTAATACTGTCTACTATGTGCCAGTATTGTTTTCCATAAATCACGCATATTAACTCATTTAACATCATGTTGTTCTTATAAAGCAATACTTTCTAGTACTACTATTATCACCATTTCAAAGATAGGAAGAGTGAGGCACAAAGAGATGTAATAACTTTTCCTGGGCTCATAGATAGTAAATGCAGAGATAAGATTCAAACCTGGGCTGTCTGGCTGTTTTAAGACTCTTAACCATTGCTGGACTGACTATTCATGACACAAATAGGAAACCAACTCTGGACTAGGGCCAGATCCTGAGTATCCCAGATTTCATTGAGCCATGCCAAGGCAATTTCAAGTCACCAGGGTCTTCCCTCTGGGGTCTAGAGGCAGAGGATTTCATAGTAAATAGCATGTTGTCTTTAACATCAAAAGGACAAGAGGTAAGAGTTGGCAAGGATGCGGAGAAGAGAGAACCCTTGTACTCTGCTGGTGGGGATGTCAGTTGGCACAGCCATTATGGAAAACAGCATGAAAGTTTCTCAAACAATTAAAATATAGCTACCATACTTTCCAGAAATCTCATGTCTGAGTATATACTCAAAGGAAATGAAATCAGTATGTCAAAGAGATATCTGCACCCCCTGTTCATTGCAGTATTATTCACAACAGCCAAGGGAAACAACCTACATATCTATCAACAGGTGGATGAATGAAGAAAATGCGATACCCTCCTGACACACACACAATGGAATATTATTCAGCCATGAAAAAAGAAATATTGTCATTTGGGAGAACATGGGTGAACCCTAAGAGCATTATGCCAAGTGAAATAAGCCAGACACAGAAAGACAAATACTGCTTGATCTCACTTATATCCAATTCAAAATGTGTTGAATTTATAGAAGCAGAGAGTAGAATGGTGGTTGCCAGGGGGTAGGGTGATGAGAGAAATTGGGAGATGGTCAAGGGTACAAAGTTTCAGTCATAAGATGAGCAAGTACTGGGGGGTCAAATGTACTGCATGGTGACTATTGTTAATCACACTTTACTGTGTACTTGAAATTTGCTCAGAGAGATCTCAAGTGTCCTTGTCCCACTCCATACCCGCACAGGAAAAATGACTACATGAGATGATGAATATGTTCATTAACTTGATCATGGTAACCATGATGTATGCATTTATTAAATAATTACATTGTATTTATAATTTTATAATATAAATATATATGTGTTATATAAAATATATGCAATAGGTCAGGTGCAGTGACTTACACCTGTAATCCCAGAACTTTGGGAGGCCGAGGTGGGCAGATCATGAGGTCAGGAGTTCGAGACCAGCCTGGCCAACATGGCGAAATCCTGTCTCTACTAAAAGTACAAAAATTAGCCGAGTGTGGTGGCACGCACCTGTATTCCCAGCTACTTGGGAGGCTGAGGCAGGAAAATTGCTTGAACCCGGGAGGCGTAGGTTGCAGTGAGCCGAGACAACAACACTGCACTCCAGCCTGGGTGATAGAGCAAGACTCTGTCTCAAATAAATAAATTAAATTAATAAATAATAAAATATATGCAATATATACAAATATAATTATGTAAATATAAATTATACAATTTTATGCAATTGTAATTTTATATTATAAATATATATGCATTTTTTATTGTTCAATTATACCCCAATAAAGATGGAATTTTTTAAAAAGAATTTAAAAAAGAGCATCCCCATCACTTTCCATTTCCTTATGCTTCTTTATTCTTCTTCTTCAAGAATTTCCTGACATTGTCATGTATTTACATTTATTTATTGCTTATCTCGTGTTGTCCCTGCCAGAATGTAAGCACCACTAGGATGGTGACTCCCTTGTATGCACCCCACAATGCTTTGTGCTTGGTACGCAGGAGGTGCTCAGTACATATTTGTGGAATCTCCTTTGGTCATTCTAAATGTCCCCTAAGTAAGAAGGGGTTGCAGCAAGAAAGGACTTGTTCTGCCTTATTTCTGGGGGCAGCAGTTACTGCCAGAATTATGAACGATTCCCAGGCAAAAGAGAGATGATGAATGAGTGGAGGCAGGCTACCTCCGCAGTGTGGGGATGAGATTATCCATGGTCCTGAACATAGAGGAAAGAGTCAGGCCCCCTTGTCCAGGTGGGTGCCATTCATTGAAACCCCTTGGTGGCAATGTCCTGGAGAAGCAAGAAAGATCTTTTAGAAGATGCTGAGCCCTGGGTGACTCTAAAGTGCTGATTCCTTTCTCAAGCCCATGCAAACCTGGGTGGGAAACAACTCCCATTCTTGGCACTGACAACAGAGGTTCAGTGTACAACGCAAATGCTGGACCCACTGAGGAAGGAGAGCTTGGGGAGGAGTGTAGGTGACAAGGCGGGAAGCCACGTTCCTCACCAAATGAACAGAGCATGGTATTGAGTCATCCGAGACTCCAAAGTTTCAGCAGTTGGGACCAAGGAGGTCTATCAAGAGACTTGCCCTCATTGTTCCTCAGTTTCTTCATCTGTAAAACGGGATAATAATAATACCTACCTCAAAGGACTGTTGCAGAAATTGAAGGGGGTAGCATATGTGAAATGTTTAGGGCAGTGTCCAACACACAGCAAGTACGACAGAAGTGTTACCTGGAGTGATGGCTGCAGCATCTGCCTCTGTTCTTGCTGTCCATAGGGAGCCAATCTGGAAAAGAGGGCTGTGCTTTAGGGGCATGGAAACTTCTGGGCAGGAAATCTGGCTTCACAGTCAGCCCTCCTTATCAGTATGCTCTGCCACCTTCCCATGATTGGCAAGATGCATTGACGATCAAGACCAGAGGCCAGAGAGTCAGCTGGACCTGCATTTGAATCCTGACTCCACTGTTTCTTAGCAGTGTGTGTTTGAGTTTGCACTAAACCTCTCTGTACCTCAGTGTCCTCGTCTTTAAAATGGGAACATTAATAGTACCCCCCCCCCACAGGTAAAATATTTAGAACACCATTCAGTGTTAGTTTTATTGCTAACATGGGTGGTAGAGAGCCTAGGTTCCTCAGCTCTGCAGAAACAAGGGTCTAAATGGACCTTTATGAACTGCTGGAATCAGCTCTCCTTGTTTTGCTGGAATGCAGCTGCTGCTCCTCCTGAGGCTCCTGTTTAGATCACGGAGGGAATTTCCCCAGATTGGCCACTAGATAGCACACATGCTCTTTCCTGCCCCATCTAAGCAGGTCAGAATCATGAATCATGGGTGTCAGATTGAAAGTCACGTTTTATGTACCAGACGCTGAGCGGCGCCCTTTGCTTGTTTCTCATCACTGCCCACAGCAATCCTCAGATTCAAGTAGCTACTCCACCAGAAATGCTCCACCAGAAGTGCCTGGCACGTAGGAAGGCTTCAAAAACACGTTTGCTGTTCTTCCTATAGTTGTGTATCCCAGTTGTTTATTCCTCCTCCTCCCGGAGGAGGAACTGAGACACAGAGAGGATAAGTAGGCAGATGGAACCCGGATTCTAAGCCAGACCGCATGCTGATTGGAAGTTCAGCATCTTCCCCTCGACCTCATTTCAGGGGAAGTTCTGGAAGCCTTGCACTCACTTCAGGGTTCCCACCACGTCTATTTTGGCTCTCTGGATTCTTTTTGAATCTACCACTTTCTTACTCCTGGTGTGATCTCAAATCAGCTATTTAAGCTTTTAGAGCCCCAGTTTCTTACCCGCGCAAGAGGGGTTATCATGCCTTCCTTATTTTGAAGGTACGTCAGAAATAGCAACTGTACCAAAGCAGGCACTCTGGATGGTGGTTACTGCTGTCAATACCTTAAATGTTAACACAACCAGGGTGAATCCATTACTTCCCTTCTTTCTTCCCTCCTTTTCTTTCTTCCTTCCTTCCTTATCTTGTTTTCTCCCTCCTTTCTTTCCTTTTCTTCCCTCCCTCTCTTCCCTCTTCCTTCCCTCCTTCTTTTTCTCTTTATGCCCGGTACAACAAAGTACCCATGGTTTCTGCCCTCATGAAACTTACGGTCCAAAATGCCCTTGTCTCTGTTCATTCCTGGGAAAATTTCACCTGCAATGTATCTTGTTTCCTGTAACCCACAGGGATGTCGGTGCTGCCACCTGCCCTTCTCCCTGGGCCCCTCTCTCTGCAAGACCCAGGTGTTGTAGTCCACCCCACTCAAGCCCAACCCCTTCCCCACTACACTGGCTCAGAAGCAAGTCTGAAATCCTTTAGGTGCTGCAAGGCATCTTCAGATCCCAACTATCTGACTCTGTTCACTCTGCTTCAACAACGGCTTTCTAACTGGCTTTGCGATCGAAAGATTTTGCTGCAGTGCCTGGGGCCTTTGGGAGGGAAACACATAATGGGAAGATGGGTTCTCATGAGCTCATTTACAGTAGAACAGTCTGGTTTTATATAATTTATATTTTGGGCCTATATGTAATATTCTGCTGCTAATGGCCGGACGCAGTGGCTCATGCCTGTAATCCCAGCACTTTGGGAGGCCAAGGGGGTGGGTCACCTGAGGTCAAAAGTTTGAGACCAGCCTGGTCAACATGGTAGAACTCTGCCTCTACCTAAACTACAAAAATTGGGCAGGCATGATGGCGTGCACCTGTAATCCCAGCTACTCGGGAGGCTGAGGCAGGAGAGTCACTTGAACCCAGGAGGCAGAGGTTTCAGTGAGCCAAGATCACATGCAACTGTACTCCAGCCTGGGTGACAGAAGGGAAAAAAATTCTGCTGCTAAAGAAAACCATCAAAGAAAACTACCATGACGGGTGGGAGGGAGATGAGTTTTGAGATAATTCAGAGAACATCTCCAGGAAAGAGAATGTATTTGGGAATGGGTTTTAAAACCGGTTTCTAAGGAAAATGGAGTTTAACTTTTGAACGATAGTAATTTGGGGGTTATCTGGAAGCCAGCCCACTTGCCATCACCATTGGCTGGGATCCCCACTTCTGATCTCAGCAAGGCCTTTGGCCATGTTCTGCCAATCTGTACTCAGGACGTTGCCTTCTCTGTGTTTCAGTGCCCTGGTTCCCAAGAACCATTCAAGAGCTGGACAGATTTGCCAATCAGATTCTCAGCTATGGAGCGGAACTGGATGCTGACCACCCTGTGAGTCCATGGCCCGTAGGATGAGATTTTTTCAGTGCCTCTCCTCCACTCCCCTCCCTTCCTCTTACCTTCTCTACTTGGAGCAATGTACTTGTTCACTTGTTCAACAAACACTTATTGTGTTCCTATTTACACGAGGGCTGGGAAAAATTAGCAAGACTTTATTGTCATCATCATTATCATGGTCATTATTTTTGTAGGAGCAAATATAAATCACTGTCCAGAAACTATTGTCTCTATATACTAGGTCTGTGTATGCACAAACACACACACAGATGCAAATCATCATTGTTTCTGCCTGTGTACATCTATGGAGGTTTAAGTCAAGTGCTTGGTAAACAGCAACCTGTACTAACAACTCTGCCAACTGCAGGGGGCAGCGGGGAGTGGCGACGTTGAAACTGAATCTTAAAAACTGAGTAGGAGATGCGGGTCAGATAAGGAACGGAGAGGGCTTATGGCTGAAAGAACAGTGTATGAGAATACCGAGAGTCTTGGAAGCATCCACAATACTGTGGGAATGACTGGTTGGTGCATTAAGTATGAGAATGAGAGATGTGGCTGGGGCAGTGGGTTGGGATCAGATTGTAAAAGGGCTAATGGACCAGAAAGAGGAACACGGACTGGGCCTGTGTCTTGCAGCCATGGGGGCAGGTCCTTTAATGGTTTTTGAGTAGAGGGCCGGGGTGGGGGATATTTCATCGTTCCCTCTACTCTGGGGCAGAGGGTCTGGGGAGGAACAGCCCAGGCTGCGGTGGCTCAGGGCCAGGTCTCACAGCCTCCATCGGTGGGAAGGGCCACCGTCCTGTTGCCTGCCCTTTATTCTCTGCCAGGCAAATGACTCCTTCATCTTTAAATGACTTGCAGCCATTTACATCGGTGAAGGTTGAGCAGAACGCAGAGGAAGCATTTACACTTCCACAGGAGTCTGTTTTCTCCTCACATTTATGTGGGTCTTTATAATCAGCAAAGAATGTTCGCAAAGGCGCTTTTCAGGAGGCAAAGCAGATGCTTCCATCTTACAGAACTAGTGAGGCCCGAGGAGCCTGATGACTTTTCTAAGGCCCGGTGCTAAACTGTGAGTCCTGAGAGCTCATGGTGCCTGAAGACAAAGGCCTAGCTAGTGGCAGAAATCCAGGCTCTTTTACAGAGGCCAAAGGCAAGCTATTTCAGGGGCAAGCTGGCCTTTTGAAATATGAATGATTGATGCTTCTTCTAATTCAAATTGTAAAACCAATTATAGTGGGCTTGAAAACACAGAGGGGCATGAGGAGGAAGATGAAAAGCAACCATAATTTCAGTTATTTCTATTTTTCTCTCTGGACAGTTCTGCATTTTTCAAATAATGAGAAAGCATATATCAACAGAAACAAAGGTGAATTTCCTCCAATCTCCCAGACTTCCAAACAGAAAAAAAAAAATCACCTATTATCACACTATTCTAAAATAATCAATAAATCAATATTAATATTTGGGTGTGCCTCCATCCTTCCTCCTTTCTCGCTCTGTCTATATATATATGTATATATATATATGGTGTATATATATGCACACAAATATGTGTGTGTGTGTTTGTGTGTATTAACTGTCACAACTTACTAACCAGCACCCAATTGCAAACGTGTAGGAAGTTTGAGTCTCACCTATGTATTTTCACGTGAACTTCCAATGGCTGCCTTGAATATTAGTTGTGAAATTAAACTAAGTTATATTTAAACTGAGGATAGGAATTAAATTTAAAGCTCCTAGTGTATATTACTTAAATACTCTCTCTCCCCGAAAAGTAAAGGTAAATGTGGGGACTTTTGACCCCCATTCCATCCTATATACCATGTAGCCTACTCCCAGGAGCCCTGGGGCGCCAAGGTTGCTCCAGGTGGGATTCTGCTCTGTGTACCCGTTCAACAGATCTCTGTCTGGGGCCTCTTAGCCATCAACTCTGTCAGCAAAGCATCTCCAAAGATACTGGTTCTCAGAAAAGCTGTCTGTTCACCTCTGACCCATCCAAGGGGTCTGCCCAGCAGGGCGTTATTCTCCTCTTACCAAACTCCTGTCTTCCTGCCCCAAACCGGCATTCTTCCCATTCGTTTCACTCCCTTTTCATTTGGGACAGTGGAAGACTCCAATGCAAAGAGATGGACATTTTTCTCCCTGTATCCTCAAGTCCCCTCCAAAGCAGCTGGCACTGGCTTTAAAACTCTCTGGAATGCATTGGTTTTTAAAAGCCACATCTTTGACTCCCTGCCCTCTCAATGTTATGAATTTTATTGTAAAAATACAACATATCAGGTACACAGTTCCCTGAAGACGAGGCGCCAGGCTCTCTCTGTTCCTTTCATTTCTCATCAGATCCCAGGGACGTGGGCCAAGGACAAAACAAACCCTCCAGCGTGCTTTCCCAGAGACCCCGGGGCCCACAGGCCTGGCCTCAGTGTGTGAGTGCAAACAGACACCAGCACAAGGAGTGGTGCAGTCAGCGGGTGTTCTTCTCGAAAGGACCCTCTGTTCTCTCTGTCCCGTTGCATCCTGTGTGATCTCTTTGTCCCTGAACCCGGCCCTTGGCAGTATGCATGGATGTGTGACCCAATATCTCTCATCAGGTCCTCCAAAGCAGTCACTTTGAAAAATGAAGTAAAGGAAGGACTGTTTCCAAGACAGAGGGAAAATGGCCTCTGCCTTTCAGTTTTAGCTAAGTGGGAAAATGAAATAGGGAAGCTAGATTTCCTGGTGACCATCTTGCCTCCTTTCCCCTTCTTTCCCAGTCTCCTTCCTTTCCTTTCCCCTTTCCCACCTTGCTTTCTTTTTTTCCAAAATCTTTTAGTTAACTAATGATATTAGGAGCTAATGCTTCTTGAGCAGGGGCTGTGTGCCAGGCACAATGCTAAATGCTTGGCATTCCTTTTTTAATTTGAATATTATCACCACCGTATGAGGGCTGTACATCTCATTTTCAGATAAGAAATCTCAGAGGGAGAGGGCCGTGTAACATCATCTGTGTGTGAACTATGTCTCAGGCCATATAAAAGAAAGGAGGTTGAAGTGACAGATGACATGATCCCTGCCCTCCAGGGGCCTGTGGTTGTACAGTAGAGAGAGAAGGGGTGTTGACTGTTCTCAAAGCAGTGCAGGAGGGAGCTGGAATAGTAACTGCAAACTTGGCAGGCAGAATCCAACTGGTTCTATTTAATTTCCATTTCCAAAATTTACTCCCCTTTCTGTCCATGTTGTTCCCTTTACCTGACATGTTTTTTCTTGCCAACCCACCTGTTATTTCCCCACTTGGAAACCTCTATTCATCTAAGGTCTAAATCATATATGTTGCCTCCCTAAAGCCTTCCTCCTGTCTCTTCCAAGACTTAAGTTTCTCACACTGTTACTATCTCAGAGATGGCAACAATCACATTGTGTTTATACTTTGGGTACAGAGTATCAGATCACAATAAGTTTACTTCTTCATGACTTATAACCTCATGGGAGGCACAAGATATATATATGCAAGTGAAAGGGCCATATGCATGTTTCCGAAACTGTAGTTTATGAAAAATATCCCATGATCAAAGAGAGAAACTCTGTATTCTATAACCCTACTTTAAGTATGCAAATTCCATTATCTCATTAGAAACTTTGGAAAATCCTGCAAAAATGAAACCCAGTCAATGCAATGTTTCCTAAAACTTACTTACCCACGGAACTCTTTTTAATGAAATACCTAGCAACATTATCTTATCGTGAGTGGTAGTTTTCCATGGAATACAGTTGGGATAATAACTAGTATATAATTATATAATAATAACTCAAAAAAGTGCATAAATGCCAGGTTTCATGAGTCAGATAGCATGTGCTATCATTTCTAAGGTCACTGTGTACTGGAATGGTTAGGGAGGACTTCTAGAAAGAGGAAGATCTGAGTCTAGCCCTCTAGCAACCAGAGCAGGCTAACTGCTCAGCAAAAACCCCCAGATCTCCGTGGCCAACCCAATAAAAGTTCACTTCCAATGTGGGTCAGTAAGGAAACTGCTCCACAAAGTCTTTCAGAACCAAGCCTCCTTCCACCAATGGCTGTACCCTCCTTCAACTCCTTGGAGCCCACTCATTCTGCCAGTGGATGGGAGAAGAGAGAGTGAGAATTGCTTCTGGGAAGTTTTCATGGGCCATGTCTGGAGATGACTCACATCCCTTCAATCAAATTCCATTGAGTAGAGCTCAGTCACGTGCCCACTACTAACTGCAAAGAAGATGGGGGAAAATAGTTTAGCAACGTTCTCTGAACAAAGGAGAGAGGACAGATCTTGGGGAGCACCAGCAACCTCTGCCACATAGACCCCCAACTCCAGAGCTACCTATTCCAGTTTACCTGGCAGCTGCACTGGAGTCTAGGCTACAGATCTACAATAGAGGGGGCTTCTTAGTGAAGAAAATATCAGCCAACACAACTGTCCTTCTGTGGATATTTCTACTTCTTGACCCAAGTCTTTGAAACTACATGGTTTTTTTTAATGGAGTTTCACTCTTGCTGCCCAGGCTGGAGTACAATGGTGCAATCTCAGCTCACTGCAACCTCCACCTCCTGGGTTCAAGTGATTCTCCTGCCTCAGCCTCCCACATAGCTGGGATTACAGGTGTGTGCCACCACACCCAGCTAATTTTTGTATTTTTAGTAGAGATGGGGTTTCGTCATGTTGGCCAAGCTGGTCTCAAACTCCTGATCTCAGGTGATCCGCTCGCCTCAGCCTCCCAAAATGCTGGGATTATGGGCATGAGCCACCACACCAGGCCTGAAACTGTTTTTAACCTTTCAAGGTGTGGGCATCAAGTTTTCCTGCTCTCCTGTAGGAAATTTCTTCTTCAGCAAATTGCCCAATAACAAGACTATATTTTTCAATACTTTTCTCCTTTTCTCTTCCTTTTGCCCACCTAATTTTCTCCACCTGAGGCCCTGTCAGAGTTCCTTCTAAGAGTCAGTCAGCTAGTTGAGTCATCAAAGACTTGTTGCATTCTTACTAAATTGCTCTATCCAAGCATAATTTGTGAAAAGTTAAAAACATAACTGTCATGCAGGTATATAGTGAACACCTGTCAAAGATCCATTTAACTCACTATTGAGGGAACCAGCAAGATGACAAAGATAGTGCAGAAAAGATACAAGAGACGAAAGTACACGTGGTCATCGGAAAATAGAAAGCCAGAATAAGGTCACAAAGATGGATGCACAAGTGATTAATGTTCCATAAGACAATAAAGCCATAATTATGTGTCTTAACCTTTCTACTAGGCAGAAACAACTTACAATTTGATAATAAAATGAATATTTTGCAACTTATTGGTCTTCTAAAAAGCCAGCATCTACTTTGAAGTGATTGTAACTTTATAAGTAGTAAATATATGTCCCCTTAGAGCACAGAGTGAGCTTGTGAGACAATGATCTCATATGACATTTAAAAGGCACACAGTAATTTTTTTGCCCTAGGTTTTGCAAATATATATATATATATATATATATATATATATATATTTTTTTTTTTTTTTTTTTTTTTTTTTTGAGGCAGAGTTTTGCTCTTGTCACCCAGGCTGGAGTGCAATGGCATGATCTCAGCTCACTGCAACCTCTGCCTCCCAGGTTCAAGCAGTTCTCCTGCCTCAGCCTCCCGAGTAGCTGGGATTACAGGCATGCGCCACCACGCCTGACTAATTTTGTATTTTTAGCAGAGACAGGATTTCACTATGTGGGCCAGGCTGGTCTTGAACTCCTGACCTCAGGCGATCTGCCCACCTTGGACTCCCAAAGTGCTGGGATTACAGGCATGAGCCACTGCACCTGGCCTGTTTTGCATAATTTTTGAACAGCTTCTACTTGGGGATATGCTGAGTGTGCTATGCCCTGAAAATCCAGTGATATGTAAAAGAGTTTCCTGAGTTTAATCATTATTAACATATGTGAGACCATCTGAAACGAGAAACATACAACACACTGAGAGAAACCAATAAACTTTGGAAAAATCCAGGAAGACAGAAAGAACAGATAGTGACTTATTGGTCTAAACGAGTGGGGAAGAGGGTCCCACTCAGAGGGTAGAACACGTGTGAAGGCCTTGATGTGGGAAAGAGCATGGTGTGTTTAAGGAATTAAAGCAAGACCAGTGCACTCTGCAGCATCATAGGAAGGCCAGAGTGAGTCAGCACAGGGCTGGACACATAGACAGAGCTGGATCATGTAAAGCCTTGTGGACTGTGCTAAATATTTTGGACAATAGTCTAATAGCAATGAGAAGCCCTTGAAGGGCTTTTGAAGAGGCAAGTGGCCTCACCAGACTTGCACTTTATAAATATAATTTGGGATGAAGTGGAGGGGGTGAGAGGCCACTTACCCAGCAGCTACAATAGTCAGGCAAGAAATGGTGGTGGTCGAATGCAGGTGCAGCAGTGAGAATGAAGTAGGAAGGACAGACTCAGATGTTTGAATGGTAGAATGGGCAGAAATTGATTGCTGGATGTGAAGGAAGAGAGAAGGGGGAAGTAAAACAATAACTCCTGGCTTATGGGCTTGGGCAACTAGGTACATACATTTTTCCAGAATAGGCTTCTTGGCCAATTGTAGGGTGAGCAAAGGGATTGGGCATGGTCGGTGCTCCCCTAGTCTACTGTTTGCAAGTCCTCCTTGACCAATGTCTATAGGATGGGAATGGCAGCTACTTAATAAATGCCAGTTTGAACCTTTTGTCTTCTGTGTTCCATCCTTCCCCCAGTTGTCATGAAACATTATGAAAAATGCAAAAAGCCTCTTGTTATTGGCCTAGCTGAAATATACACAGCAAGGTAAGAATTCTGTAGATGTTGGTTTAAAAGCCCCTTGTGGCTGGTGGGGATCACTGACCCATTCCAGAGTACATCTTTTTTATATTCTGAGCCAGACTTCTCTGTCTTTGGATTTCCTGCCATTTTGCACAAATGCATCATGCTTTGAGCAACTACAATGTGCTCAGAATTTTGCTTAATGTGCTGCCGACATTACCTGACTTAAACTGTACAACACTGTGAAGCAGGTAGGATTGACAGTCTTATTTTACTGATGAGGAAACTAAGGCTCTGAGAGATAAACTGGCCACTCCCAGGCCATGCTCCTTGTGAATAAATGAATTAGTATTCCAACACAGCTTTTCTGACTTTAAAACCTGTGTTCTCACTAGCCTAAAGAGAGCACTTCTGAGGTTTAACCTTAGCTATGATATTAGGAAATGATGGAATAAATATCTCAGTCTACAAGAATACTCAAGACTTTTCCATATATGTAGTTACCCTCTCCCCTAAACCCACCCACACACACAAATTATACCTCTCAATACATGCAGACTTCAGTTGATGTCATGACTTGCATCCTGTAGAACTCTCTCGACTTTCTCCCGTCTTCTATCCCCTCCCCTCCCCCTCACCACTCCTTCACCAACAATATATTTTCCTGTCAAAACATACTTGGTTACATGCAGTGCAACTAAAATTGCTGCTATTAGTTTAATTGAGACAGGGTGATTATAAATAAATTACATGCAGTGCTACTGAAATTGCTGCTATTAGTCTAAATTGAGACAGGGTGATCAGTCATCACCAACTGTGATTTGATTCAGAATGTACTCCACATGGACGGCTACAGAGGCCCTGTGGTCGTCTGGTAGCCCAAGGAATGCAAGGCCAGATCCCCAAGAGGCTGGGCGTCAGGCCACAGAGCTCTCTGACCACTGGTAACTGAGAAAGCAAAACTCCCTGCAACCTGGTTGGTTGGGGCCCCTTGCAGGCTGATAATGAACTTAGAAACCAGGAGCTGGAAAGGGTCATGGTTAGAAACCTTCCCACATGGAAGATCTGTATAGTGCATTATCTGTGTGTGTGTTCCTGTATACCAATGTGTGAATCTCCTGCTACTTCACTAAAATGATTTGAGATGGATATTTAATACTATTTTCTTTTTTTTATTCTAAAAGAAACCCGTTCTCACATTAGAAAACTTGAAAAGCATAAATAGTTTTCAAGAATACAACTGTTAGTGTTACTTATTTTTCCCACTACCTGGAGGTAACACTTGTTAGAGTTTGGTGTATTTCTTTAATCATTTTATTTATATACTTACATATTTCCTCTGACATAATTGATATATGACATAATTGACATAATTGATAATATCAACTGGGTATACAGTATTACATTAGCTTTTATTTTCACAAGTAGAAAATCTTTAAACCACCTAGGCAAGGTACATGAAAGATAAACAATAAAGGCAAATGGGGGTAAGAACTGTTCATGGATATCTCATTCCTAGAAGCAGCATGATGAAGTGGAAATCCACGGATTGAAGGAATTCTCTTTTCTTCCTGGATTCCTACTTCAGTGCTCAAATCTCAACTTGCCAGCCTAGGGAGGACCACAAAATCCAAATGGAGGTGCTAGTTCTGTAGTTTTGGGCCTTTAGGCAAATGGCTCCATGGGCTTCATATTCTTCAAGTCTAGACCAAAATATAGAAATGGACCTTTCTACAAGGTGCCTTACAGGGTCAAAAGTCTACATATTATCCTTAGGGCCTGGAGAAAAACTATTCACTACTAACTATTAAATAAGAATGGCAAGTGAGAATGACTGTAACAATCAAACCTTAATGACTGACCAATATTACATGTTTATTTTGAGCCCCAAGTATGGAGATATGGACAAATAAATGTTCTTTGTTTAGTCCAGTAGACAGGTTTCTAAAATGGTGTGTTACTGATATTTGGAAAGTAAATCATGGTGCCCAGTTTTATTTTTTTTTTTTAACCACATCATCTCAAACCAACTTACCTTCACCCAGTAGAAACGAGGCACAACAGTAGTTTTAAGTACTCAGATTCCTAAGCTTTCTAATCTGTAATTAACGATTAAAAACCATTCAGTGCTCTAGGGAAAGGAAGAGTTATACTTTGCAATAACCGTGTCATAAAATCTTTTCTAAACAGAGTAATCACATTATTTATCTGGGATTTAGATTTGGAGTAAAAAAAAATGTGTAGTAGTTTTACTTCACTTTTCAAGTGTGAAACATTTGGATGTTTCTATTTTTCAAAATATATTCCCGGAAATAAACTAATTAACTCCTATCTTCCCTCCCTTCCTTTCTTCCAACAAGTGTCTGTAGTTTTTTCCTGTGTGCCAGAATCAATGCCGCAGATTCTCAGAACAAATTACATTATATTACATTGCCCTCTGTGTCTTTACAATTACTGGTAGGCCCTGATATATATATATATATATATATATATATACACATATATGTATATATATGTGTATATATATATATATATATATATATATACACATATATGTATATATATGTGTATATATATATATATACACACACACATATATGTATATATATGTGTATATATATACATATATATAGGTGTATATACATGTATATATGTATATATGTATATACATATATACATGTAATATACATCTATATATACATGTATATATACATCTATATATGTATATACATGTATATATACATCTATATATGTATATACATGTATATATACATCTATATATGTATATACATGTATATATACATCTATATATGTATATACATAGAGAGAGAGAGGGGGAGAGAGAGAGAGAGAGAAAGAGAGAGAGAGAAAACTCTCCCAAAACAAAAATTCAACCAATCAAGCAACCAAAACAAAAAACAAATCTAAAAATCAGGGAATATTTCTCTTTTTAAAAGTCTCCTTTAAACATTACACTCTGTGACATAAGCTTTTGTTTTGAATTCACTACTGCCTTGGTTTGGAGGGACAGTGGAGCAGAGAAATTGTGAGCTAAAGTGGTGGATGGCATGGCTTACTGGGAAAGGCTTGGAAGAACCACAGCAGAGTTCTACGGAAATGATATCAGTCTCTTGTCTTACCAAAATTTAGACTGCAATCAACTGTTTTTGGAAAATTGTCTTTCAATCAGTTGGAATCCCATTTCCACCCCAAACACTCAAAGACACACTTAGCCTCCTTTCACTCGGAAATGTGCTGCTTACAAATCACTGGGAAAAGGCTGCCTGTGAATCAGCTTCAGAGGAGACTCCATTATCATCCTTTTTAGGTCCTGAGACAGACTCTCAGTTAGCTAGGCCCCTGCCAGATTGTAAAGGCTGACAATTACTGATGGTGATCCAAATCCCAGCCTCACCGTCACTATGGATCCACTTCTCTGAACCACCATTTATTCCGGAAAGAACAGGATAATCATACTCATCGAACTCGCAAGTTTGTTGTGAGAATTATATGTAAAATCAGTTCCTAGTACTCACAAACTGGCACATAGTATGTATTTAATCAATGGTATTTTTAAAAATTGCAAGAGCAATAAGCATGTGCCTGCTCGTCTATCAAGAAATTAAAAGGTAGAGCTAGACACAAACCTTAATCAGGAATTAAATGGATATTGTACATCTTCATCATAGACATCCATCCTATGAACTTTGCTTAGTTTAGCAAGTGTGTCAGTCAGATATGCTGTAGATGAGGTTTCTTTAAGAACAGATCATGCACATTGGAATCCACAGCAAGGAGGCTCATGCTAAATCAAAGAAGTTACTAATAAGGTGTCACTCACAATATCTGGTAGGAGAGCTAAGTTTAACCGAGACTTTAGTTTTAGGGTATAACCAAGGGAAGGAGACATGCACTGTCATGGCTTGAGAGCCCCCATTCAAAGCATTCATAAAGGTACCAGACCTCTTCCTATGAAGCCTTGAAAAATCAGGTGTCTCTTTTCTCCTAGGGTTTTAAAGATCCTGTGTACCGTGCAAGACGGAAGCAGTTTGCTGACATTGCCTACAACTACCGCCAGTAAGTCTGCCTTGCTTGTTGAGGGGAAGAGAGAAAAACACACCCCTAGCCTGCTTCTCCCTTGCCCTCATCCAGTTGAGGATGGAAAATACCAGCATGAAGAGTCCTGCCTTCTGTGTGTGCATGTGTTCATGTGCATGCGTGTATGTGTGTGTGGGGGTGTGTTTAAACCCTCCCTTTAATAACACATGATAAAAAATGATTGCTGCTAGACAAAACAAAATTACCCACTGTGCGGGGGCCCTGCTCTCTCCCAAGCTTTGTTGTCTAATTACGCAGTGGTGTCTGCAGTAATTAGAAAAGGCCTCGGTCCTGAATAAAACAGCCTCCGGTCTTCTCTACATTAAACAGGGAAGAAGGAAAAAGAGAATCATTTACATTCAAGAAGGAGCTGGCTGCTTTACTGAAATAATGAATCATTCAAGATTTCAGGCCAGCCAAACTTCAGCTTTCTACTTTTATCTGGTCTGACCCAGCTGTGAAGGACAATTTTAGGATGGTTTTTTTTTTTTCCTGTCTGGGGTTCTGTGTTCCTCCCCTACCCTATTTTAGCCAAAAGAAAATGCAAATATAAAACATGTTTGAGAAGACAACAGCTTTGCTCCTTTGAGTCTTAAGGAACTACAGAAATGCCACCATGGGAAACTTAGTGTTTTGACAAGTGCTGTTACTGAGTTAAGGGATTAAGAAAAGACATGCACAAGAAGAAACTTAAAATTTGTCCAGAATGCTCATGGCATAGTACTTTGACAGCTTTGATAGAATCTCAGGGAGATGGAGAAGATGATGGGCCTTTCTATACTGAATACAAAGTTACTTTCAACATGGAAAAACCTCCGGAAAAAGAGAGAGAAAGCTTTTCTGAATGACTTTTGGTAGTGGAAGAATTCAAAAATGTGCTGTCTTTAGTCAGATCTAAGCCCATCTGGGCCTTGGATCCTGCTGAGCAGGATTCACAGAAGATGGTGACCTCCCTTTCCTGACTCCACCTTTGCCCCAGCTCAGTCAGGTGGACACCATCAAAGCAGGTACAGGCAAAAGTCCTTCAGATAGTCAGCAATAACAGATCATACTTATTATCTTCTTGCTGTGTGTCTGGGGGCTTTGGTGAATGCTTTGTATATATCATTTTGTTTAGCCTCAATAATAACTTCTCATTTTTCTGATGGGGTAATCAAAGCTTACAAAGGTTAAGTAAGTTGCCAACATCATGTAGCTAGTATGTGACATAATCAGGTTTTAAACTCAGGTTTGTTGAATTCTAAGGGTATTTTTAGCCACTCTTCTGAGTGTCTGGGGACTCCTAGAGTCTAGAGACTGCACTTCATATAATCAAGGAGGAGGTGCTTAGAAAGTACATTCACTTACTTCTGGGTTGCTGGGATTTGGGGAGAGCGGAGACAGATCCTCCTCAACCTCCTTCTCATAGAAATGTGAAACCTTATGAAGAAGAGTGAAATTGGTGAATCACCTCACAATCCTGGATGTTAATCAGTTAACTTGGTTACTGAAAATCATCTATAGATAGCTGGACTCTCAGAAGTACGTTAAAATTTTTTAGTCAATTTCTCACCTTTTATAGATGAATCCCACATGATTAACTAACTGATGTGCCGAAGGTCATGTAGCTAGTAAAGGGCTCGCCTTTTTAAAAAATTAAAAGCCTATTTCAGACTTGACTTTATCTCATCTCATTTAAGCTTTCGGTGCTCTTTTTACCATGTCTTTCTTCTTCAAAATAGTCTCTTACTTCAGGGTCTGATATAGTTCATCCTTGTTTTTTTTTTTTTGCAGATTCTATTTTGCGAATTTGCCTACTTGCTTAAGTGTATTTGTGACCCCAAAATCGATACTCACTGTACACTTTCACAGTCATTCCCAGACTAGCACAGAGAGGAGAAAAAATTTGATTCTACTGAGGTGTATATCTCCAACTGAGGTCAAAGAAGGCAACACTCTACCTTTCTGTTTCTACCCTCATTTTGTCAACATGTGTCCTTTACATGGTCTGTTTAGTGTCACATTTTTAACATTTTTGTGCTTTCGTTTGTGATTTTGCTTTTTAAAAATTGACCAAGGTCTCACTCAGTTAGGAAGCGGCAGGGTTAGAATTGAGATTCTCCTGCTTTTCCCAGGAAAGCAGTAAACTGCTGAGCCACTGCTATCAAGCTTGGGATGAGCAGCCCCAATAACTGCATAAAGGGGATACTGCGGTCACTGCTTTAGACTTCAGGGGCTGGTGCGAATCAGATTAACCTGCAGAAAAGCAGAATCAGAATCTCAAATAGTTATGTTCAAGCTAAATGGAAGACTCCAGAGTGAAGCACCGAGGCCTCATCTCCTCAGGTTTTCATTTAGATGTCACCTTCTCAGCCATGCCCTCTCTACACCCTATGTAAAATTGAAACCCCACTCTGAAACTCCCTATACCTTTGCCCCTTTTTTCTCTATAGCATTTGTCATCATCTAACGGAGTTGTGTTGGCTTTCTGTCTGCCTCTACTAGAAATGTGGACTCCATGAGGGCAGGGGTAATTGACTGTTTTGTCACAGTGCTCAATTAACATTTGTTGAATGAATGAATGAATCCAAGAGACCATATAAAAGTAAAGATTCAAAATGGTGAATTGGAGGCAGAGCCAGGAATTGTGTCTAGAATCATCTAGAAGGCTGCTACAGCAGGTTTTGATGATATTACTGGAGTGGAAGTTGGGCTTTTAAGTTTTATCTAGGAATAGATAAAACGGATCATAGGAGCTTATATTTTTCATCTGCAAAACAACTCAAACATAAAGGAGAGCTCTACTGGATACTATAAATGAAGAGTTTAAGGCGGGTAGTTTAGGCTCAGGCAGGTCCAGGATTCAGCATCTCATTATTTGCCTCTCTGACTCTAGTGTCCTTTGCTTTGGCCTTGCTTTCAGACATTGGCCTCATTTCTCTTGGAGAGGGAATCTAGCACCTCTAGGCTGATACGCCAACTCAATTAGAGGTCCTGTCTATTTCCAACAAAGTCAACCACAGTTCTGGCATTGAGTCCACTGACTCTGATTAGGACATAGTCCCATCTCTCAGCCAGGCACAATGCAGGAGAATGAGGGATTTCAATTGGCTTAGTCTGGTCACATGCCCACTTCTGAAGGTAGGAGTGGAGTCTCTCCTCACCTGAACCTCACAGACTGAGAGGGGAGAAAGGTGCTTTACTGATGAATGGGGAACAGATGTTGAGTCCCTAGAACAGCAGGTGTCAACCAGCAGAACATCTTGGTGCTCAGGATGTTACCATTTCTTGAAATTTGTTGCAGGAATAACAGATGCCTTTCTTTTAAAATGAGAATCAGTCATAATGGTAATGATCAATTATCCAATTGTTAGGATTTGTCAGTACTAATACTAGGTACTTTATACATAGTATTAGACTTAAATTTATCCACACCATACAGGTACTTATGTTTAGCCCACGTAGCAGCTGCACAGATTGAGGCTCAGAGAGGTTTACTAAATTGCCTGAGCTGATACAGCTAGGGAATGGCAGGGCCAAGGATTGAACAGTCTCTGTCTGTTTCCAAAGTCTGTTTGTCTCCTGTATCAGTGCTTAGTCTCGATAATGGCGCGTTCTTGGGCAAGAGCTTACCTGATTTTTTTTTTTTCACCATCATTGCTGGCTACCACAAGACCTTCTGAACTTGCCTGGCTTTCAATAATACTTAAGCAAAATGCTATCTTTTTGCCTAATCCCTGTCACTCGTCTGTAGACAATAACAAAGACTGTGCTCTAATGTGTTTGGATGAGGTACAATTCTGAAAGGGCAAGAAAGACCTAATCTGGAGCCTAATGATGATCCATAATTCTGAGATCAACAGTCTCACTTTGTCCCAGACTCTGTGTTCCTGTTAGAGAAATAGGCCTGCAGCCTAGGGGACAGTCACTGATCTTTGAAGTCAGGCTTTATTTGGTTTACATCTGTTTGTGCTGTTCCGAACACAGTTCATTCCCAGGTGGTTTTCAAAAGGACTTTTTTTTTAAAATCTTTAATTTAGCTTTCATTTTAAGTTCAAGGGTACATGGGCAGGTATTTACATATAGGTAAACTTGTGTCATGGGGGTTTGTTTTACAGACTATTTCATCACTCAGGTATTAAGCCTAGCACCCATTAGTTATTTTTCCTGATCCTCTCCCTCCTCCCACCCTCCACCCTTCATTAGACTCAGTGTGTGTTGTTCCCCTCTATGTGTCTGTATGTTCTCACCATTTAGCTCCCACTTACAAGTGAGAACATGTGGTCTTTGGTTTTCTCTTCCATTAGTTTGCTAAGGATAATGGCCTCCAGCTCCATCCATGTTCCTGCAAAGGACATGATGTCATTTTTTATGGCCACATAGTATTCCATGGTGTATATGTACAACATTTTCTTTATCCAGTCCACCACTGATGGGCAATGAAGTTGATTCCATGTCTGTGCTATCGTGAATAGTGCTGCAGTGAACATATGCGTGTATGTGTCTTTATGATAGAATGATTTATATTCCTTTGGGTATGTACCTCATAATAGGATTGCTGGGTCAAATGGTATTTCTGTTTTTAGGTCTTTGAGGAATTGCCACAGTCTTTCTTTTTTTTTTTTTTTTATACTTTAAGTTCTAGGGTACATGTGCACAACGTGCAGGTTTGTTACATATGTATACATGTGCCATGTTGGTGTGCTGCACCCATTAACTTGTCAGGTATATCTCCTAATGCTATCCCTCCCCCTTCCCCCAACCCCACAACAGGCCCGTGTGTGATGTTCCCCTTCCTGTGTCCAAGTGTTCTCATTGTTCAATTCCCACCTATGAGTGAGAACATGCAGTGTTTGGTTTTCTGTCCCTGCGATAGTTTGCTGAGAATGATGGTTTCCAGTTTCACCCATGTCCCTATAAAGGACATGAACTCATCCTTTTTTATGGCTGCATAGTATTCCATGGTGTATATGTGCCACATTTTCTTAATCCAGTCTATCACTGATGGACATTTGGGTTGGTTCCAAGTCTTTACTATTATGAATAGTGCTGCAATAAACATATGTGTGCATGTGTCTTTATAGCAGCATGATTTATAATCCTTTGGGTATATACCCAGTAATGGGATGGCTGTGTCAAATGGTAGTTCTAGTTATAGATCCTTGAGGAATTGCCACACTGTCTTCCACAATGGTTGAACCAGTTTACAGTCCCACCAACAGTATAAAAGTGTTCCTATTTCTCCATATCCTCTCCAGCACCTGTTGTTTCCTGACTTTTTAATGATCGCCATTCTAACTGGTGTGAGATGGTATCTCACTGTGGTTTTGATTTGCATTTCTCTGATGGCCAGTGATGATGAGCATTTTTTCATGTGTCTGTTGGCTGCATAAATGTCTTCTTTTGAGAAGTGTCTGTTCATATCCTTTGCCCATTTTTTGATGGGGTTGTTTTTTTCTTGTAAATTTGTTTGAGTTCTTTGTAGATTCTGGATATTATCCCTTTGTCAGATGAGTAGATTGCAAAAATTTTCTCCCATTCTGTCAGTTGCCTGTTCACTCTGATGGTAGTTTCTTTTGCTGTGCAGAAGCTCTTTAGTTTAATTATATCCCATTTGTCAATTTCGGCTTTTGTTGCCATTGCTTTTGGTGTTTAAGACATGAAGTCCTTGCCCATGCCTATGTCCTGAATGGTATTACCTAAGTTTTCTTCTAGGGTTTTTATGGTTTTAGGTCTAACATTTAAGTCTTTAATCCATCTTGAATTAATTTTTGTATAAGGTGTAAGGAAGGGATCCAGTTTCAGCTTTCTACACGTGGCTAGCCAATTTTCCCAGCACCATTTATTAAATAGGGAATCCTTTCCCCATTTCTTGTTTTTGTCAGGTTTGTCAAAGATCAGTTGGTTGTAGATGTGTGGTATTATTAATGAGGGCTCTGTTTTGTTCCATTGGTGTATACCTCTGTTTTGATACCAGTACCATGCTGTTTTGGTTACTGTAGCCTTGTAGTATAGTTTGAAGGCAGGTAGTGTGATGCCTCCAGCTTTGTTCTTTTGGCTTAGGATTGTCTTGGCAATGCGGGCTATTTTTGGTTCCATATGAACTTTAAAGTAGTTTTTTCCAATTCTGTGAAGAAAGTCATTGGTAGCTTCATGGGGATAGCATTAAATCTATAAATTACCTTGGGCAGTATGGCCATTTTCACGACATTGATTCTTCCTGTCCATGAGCATGGAATGTTCTTCCATTTGTCTGTGTTCTCTTTTATTTCTTTGAACAGTGGTTCAACTACAAGTTCTCCTTGAAGAGGTCCTTCACATCCCTTGTAAGTTGGATTCCTAGGTATTTTATTCTCTTTGAAGCAATTGTGAATGGGAGTTCCCTCATGATTTGGCTCTCTGTTTGTCTGTTATTGGTGTATAAGAATGCTTGTGATTTTTGCACATTGATTTTGTATCCTGAGACTTTGCTGAAGTTGATTATCAGCTTAAGGAGATTTTGGGCTGAGACAATGGGGTTTTCTAAATATACAATCATGTCATCTGCAAACAGGGACAATTTGATTTCCTCTTTTCCTAATTGAATACCGTTTATTTCTTTCTGCTGCCCGATTGCCCTGACCAGAACTTCCAACACTATGTTGAATAGGAGTAGTGAGAGAGGGCATCCCTGTCTTGTGCCAGGTTTCAAAGGGAAGGGAATGCTTCCAGCTTTTGCCCATTCAGTATGATATTGGCTGTGGGTTTGTCATAAATAGCTCTTATTATTTTGAGATACATCCCATCAATACCTAATTTATTGAGAGTTTTTAGCATGAAAGGCTGTTGAATTTTGTCAAAGGCCTTCTCTGCATCTATTGAGATAATCATGTGGTTTTTGTCTTTGGTTCTGTTTATATGCTGGATTACATTTATTGATTTGTGTATGTTGAACCAGCCTTGCATCCCAGGGATGAAGCCCACTTGATCGTGGTGGATAAGCTTTTTGATGTGCTGCTGGATTCGGTTTGCCAGTATTTTATTGAGGATTTTTGCATTGATGTTCATCAGGGATATTGGTCTGAAATTCTCTTTTTTGTTGTGTCTCTGCCAGGCTTTGGTATCAGGATGATGCTGGCCTCATAAAATGAGTTAGGGAGGATTCCCTCTTTTTCTATTGATTGGAATAGTTTCAGAAGGAATGGTACCAGCTCCTCCTTGTACCTCTGGTAGAATTCGGCTATGAATCCATCTGGTCCTGTACTTTTTTTGGTGGGTAGGCTATTAATTATTGCCTCAATTTCAGAGCCTGTTATTGGTCTATTCAGGGATTCAACTTCTTCCTGGTTTAGTCTTGGGAGGGTGTATGTGTCCAGGAATTTATCTATTTCTTCTAGATTTTCTAGTTTATTTGCATAGAGGTGTTTATAGTATTCTTGATGGTAGTTTGTATTTCTGTGGGATCGGTGGTGATATCCCCTTTATCATTTTTTATTGTGTCTATTTAATTTTTCTCTCTTTTCTTCTTTATTAGTCTTGCTAGCAGTCTATCAATTTTGTCGATCTTTTCAAAAAAACCAGCTCCTGGATTCATTGATTTTTTGAAGGTTTTTTTGTGTCTCTATCTCCTTCAGTTCTGCTCTGATCTCAGTTATTTCTTGCCTTCTGCTGGCTTTTGAATGTGTTTGTTCTTGCTTCTCTAGTTCTTTCCATTGTGATGTTAGTGTATCAGTTTTAAATCTTTCCTGCTTTCTCTTGTGGGCATTTAGTGCTATAAATTTCCCTCTACACACTGCCTTAAATGTGTCCCAGAGATTCTGGTATGTTGTGTCTTTGTTCTCATTGGTTTCAAAGAACGTCTTTATCTCTGCCTTCATTTCGTTATGTACCCAGGAGTCATTCAGGAGCAGGTTCTTCAGTTTCCATGTAGTTGAGTGGTTTTGAGTGAGTTTCTTAATCCTGAGCTCTAGTTTGATTGCACTGTGGTCTGAGAGACAGTTTGTTATATTTTCTGTTCTTTCACATTTGCTGAGGAGTGCTTTACTTCCAACTATGTGGTCAATTTTGGAATGAGTGCAATGTGGTGAGAAGAATGTATATTCTGTTGATTTGGAGTGGAGAGTTCTGTAGATGTCTGTTAGGTCCGCTTGGTGCAGAGCTGAGTTCAATTCCTGGACATCCTTGTTAACTTTCTTTCTTGTTGATCTGTCTAATGTTGACAGTGGGGTGTTAAACGCTCTCATTACTATTGTGTGGGAGTCTAAGTCTCTTTGTAGGTCTCTAACGACTTGCTTTATGAATCTGGGTGCTCCTGTATTGGGTGCATATACATTTAGGATAGTTAGCTCTTCTTGTTGAATTGATCCCTTTACCATTGTGTAGTGACCTTCTTTGTCTCTTTTTATCATTGTTGGTTTAAAGTCTGTTTTATCAGAGACTAGGATTGCAACCCCTGCCTTTTTTCATTTTCCATTTGCTTGATAGATCTTCCTCCATCCCTTTATTTTGGGCCTATGTGTGTCTCTGCACGTGAGATGGGTCTCCTGAATACAGCACACTGATACGTCTTGACTCTTTATCCAATTTGCCAGTCTGTGTCTTTTAATTGGAGCATTTAGCCCCATTTACATTTAAGGTTAATATTGTTATGTGTGAATTTGATCCTGTCATTATGATGTTAGCTGGTTATTTTGCTCGTTAGTTGATGCAGTTTCTTCCCGGAATCAATGGTCTTTACAATTTGGCATGTTTTTGCAGTGGCTGGTACCAGTTGTTCCTTTCCATGTTTAGTGCTTCCTTCAGGAGCTCTTGTAGGGCAGGCATGGTGGTGACAAAATCTCTCAGCATTTGCTTGTCTGTAAAGGATTTTATTTCTCCTTCACTTATGAAGCTTAGTTTGTCTGGATATGAAATTCTGAGTTGAAATTCCTTTTCTTTAAGAATGTTGAATATTGGCCCCCACTCTCTTCTGGCTGGTAGAGTTTCTGCCGAGAGATCAGCTGTTAGTCTGATGGGCTTCCCTTTGTGGGTAACCTGACCTTTCTCTCTGGCTGCCCTTAACATTTTTTTCCTTCATTTCAACTTTGGCGAATCTGACAATTATGTGTCTTGGAGTTGCTCTTCTCGAGGAGTATCTTTGTGGCATTCTCTGTATTTCCTGAATTTGAATGTTGGCCTGCCTTGCTAGGTTGGGGAAGTTCTCCTGGATAGTATCCTTCAGAGTGTTTTCCAACTTGGTTCCATTCTCCCCGTCACTTTCAGGTACACCGATCAGATGTAGATTTGGTCTTTTCACATAGTACCATATTTCTTGGAGGCTTTGTTCATTTCTTTTTACTCTTTTTTCTCTAAACTTCTCACTTCATTTCATTCATTTGATCTTCAATCACTGATACCCTTTCTTCCAGTTGGTTGAATCAGCTACTGAAGCTTGTGCATTTGTCACGTAGTTCTCGTGCCATGGTTTTCAGCTCCATCAGGTCATTTAAGGACTTCTCTACATTGTTTATTCTAGTTAGCCATTCATCTAATCTTTTTTCAAGGTTTTTAGCTTCTTTGCAATGGGTTCGAACTTCCTCCTTTAGCTCAGAGAAGTTTTATCGTCTGAAGCCTTCTTCTCTCATCAAAGTCATTCTCTGTCCAGCTTTGTTCCATTGCTGGCGAGGAGCTGTGTTCCTTTGGACGGGGAGAGGTGCTCTGATTTTTAGAATTTTCAGCTTTTCTGCTCTGTTTTTTCCCCATCTTTGTGGTTTTATCTACCTTTGGTCTTTGATGATGGTGACACACAGATGGGGTTTTGGTGTGGATGTCCTTTTTGTTTGTTAGTTTTCCTTCTAACAGTCAGGACCCTCAGCTGCAGATCTGTTGGAGTTGGCTGGAGGTCCACTCCAGACCCTGTTTGCCTGGGTGTCAGCAGCGGAGGCTGCAGAACAGCAAATATTTCTGAACACCAAATGTTGCTGCCTGATCATTCCTCTGGAAGCTTTGTCTCAGAGGGGTACCCGGCCGTGTGCGGTGTCAGTCTGCCCCTGCTGGGGGGTGCCTCCCAGTTAGGCTACTCGGGGGTCAGGGACTCACTTGAGAAGGCAGTCTGTACGTTCTCAGATCTCAAACTCCATGCTGGGAGAACCACTACTCTCTTCAAAGCTGTCAGACAGGGACATTTAAGTCTGCAGAGGTTTCTGCTGCCTTTTGTTTGGCTATGCACTGCCCCCAGAGGTGGAGTCTACAGAGGCAGGCAGGCCTCCTTGAGCTGTGGTGGGCTCCACCCAGTTTGAGCTTCCCGGACTTTTAAAACTAACGACTTTTAAACTATAGTTTGCATCAGAGTCACCTGGGGAGCTTACTAGAATCCAGATATGTGAGCCTTCCCTTCCCCAAGAGATTCAGGATCTATGCGGCCTGGCATATGTACTTGAACAAGCTCAGTGAAGAGAAGGTATGAGGCATTTTATACCTTAGCATGGATTTATATATTTATTTTCTCTCCTTTGTTCCAATATTTATTTATTATCCTTGATCTAGAACTTATTTATTTAGTTTTCTAATTGACAAATAAAAATTGTATATAATTTTTAATTATATACAATTATATAATTGTATATAATTATATAATTGTATATAAAATATGGTGTACAACATGATGTTTTGATATATGTATACAATGTGGAATCTTAATTAGTATGTATTTAAATACCTTTATAACTTCCCAGGAGCAGAAATATCAAACCCAATAAGTGCATGCCTACCAAACAAAGGGGATCTCAGATTCGTGGCCTACATATTAAATCCAGTTTAGCCCACTGGTTTAATTGCTTTAGCTAACACCATAAAAATACACTGTGTTGCTTTAACTTAGATGCCCTGGTTTAGAAAGGGAATATATTCTCCTGCCAGCCCCCATTCTCCTTATTGCCAATCTCTGCAACTTTACAGCTTTGTGATACCTGACTGGCCCGTGCAGGTAAGTGAATTTCTACCCCAGGTAAGCAATTAGAGAATTAGAAGAGTAGAAAAACCAAGTGATTTCCCGAAAGTGAGAGCAAATCCTCATTGTAGCCTGTATCACTGCTTAACCAAATCACCCTTTCATGTGGGAAATCAAAACAACAATGTTTCCTATATCAAGATGTGGAATTTTTCTCTTTCAAATAATGTATGAAATTCACTGTAGCAAGTGATGGCAGCTCACAGGTTCTGGTCCCCGACTCCCTCTGCTAACCTAACCTGCGTTCTGCTGTGCCCCTGCCCTGCTTGAGACACCTATTTTGTGCCTGTATTCTAGTGGGCAGCCCATCCCTCGAGTGGAATACATGGAGGAAGAAAAGAAAACATGGGGCACAGTGTTCAAGACTCTGAAGTCCTTGTATAAAACCCATGCTTGCTATGAGTACAATCACATTTTTCCACTTCTTGAAAAGTACTGTGGCTTCCATGAAGATAACATTCCCCAGCTGGAAGACGTTTCTCAGTTCCTGCAGAGTAAGTCCACATCAGGGTCAATGGCCCTGCAGAAAGTTGGGGGAGGATTGAGGCAGAGGAGAGGGAAGGGGAAGACAAGTATGTGGAGGCAAGTATGAAAGCATGTGCTTGTAGGAATGCATGCAGGTTGATTCCTCCAGGAAGAACTAAATTTCACTGTGCTCTGCCTTCCCTCCAGCCCCTACTGTGTTTATCCACTTTCATTCAATCAAACACCTGAGGCTGTGGATTTTGCCGTGTACCTGTCCCTGAAAAGTATTTTCTTTCACACTTAAAGCCCAAGGTGCTTCACTGAGGTTTTTTTTTGTTTTGTTTTGTTTTGTTTGCCCTGTAGTTCCTGCTGTGTTATGAGTTAGGAGTGTGTGTTTGTGTAAGAAATGTGCTATTTTCGGGGATGGTGCCAAGAGCCCTGAGCTCTGAGTCTGTGCATCTGGTATGAATCCTGCCTTCAATCCTCTCCAGCTGAGTAAACCTGCCTCAGTTTTGTCATCTGTCAAATGGACACTGTATCAACTCTTTAGCTTTTCCCATAGGGAAATTATGAGAATGAAGTAAGGTGCTGCATATGGAAACAACCAGCACAGTCTTGCATATACAGCAGGTATTCAGTGAATTTGGACTGAATTGAAATCTGAGTAGCTTAATAGGTAAGTACATTGAGTCGCAAGCCTCTCTGTACAGTATATCCAGGTGAAATGGGTGTTACTCTTTCTGTCAAGAGGATGTTAATTTAGCAAAAACAAAATAATGAACTAGCACATATTGAACACCTACTGTGTGCCAGGTAGAATAAGCAGAAGTGGGGAGACAGACTACAGGTTACAAAATTTTCTATATATCAGAGCTGTGCAGAGATGGGCCACTGTGGGGGCAATGAGCCAGGGAAATTACTTGGCAGGAAGGGAAGTTGTAGCCAGGACAGTTTGGGGGTGAGTTAGATGACCTTTTGGGTCCCTTCCATTAGAAAGTCTTTGCTTCTTAGATAAAGAAGGGAGTAAGGGTCCAAGCAGAGTGTGCTTCAGCCTGAAGACACAGAGAACATGGGGGCAAGAGGCAAGGGGATCTCAAAGACTTCTTTAGCTAATTACTTCCATTGCCATGGCCAATAATAAGAATAATAAAACAGTAATACTAGCAGTTGGGAAGCTACATAATAGTAATTAAGAGAACAGACTTTGAAGCTAGACTGCCTGTGGCTGTGACCTTGAATAAAACCTTTAACCTATCTCTGTCTCAGCTTTCCCATCGGTAAAGTGGGCATAATAAAAGTGTCTACTTCATAGGGCTATTGTGGGGATTAGTAGCATATCTAAAGTAGCTTAAAACAGTGTCTTACATACAGTAGGTCAAATATAGTGTTAGCTATTATTACCATTATCACTGTCACTATCCTTATCCTCCAAAGTTTGCAACAAACTGAGAGACAGATACAGGAACCATAGAGATGGTGATCAGAGGTCAGCTTTAAAATTGAGCGATTTAGAGAATGTGATATAGATATGCACACAAATGGACTTGCTAATATTTTACCCCTTAATTAGGTAAACTTACCTGCCAATTCATAGAGCATAGTCCATTGCATGGCCAAGAGCAGACTGGAATGAGGTCCTCTGTGAACAATCAAGAGAGAAAGAGCAGTACAGAAAGAGTTAAATTGACAATATTCATATTCTCTTCCCAAATGCTCCAGTCAGACAGGTCACTGCTACTTATGGGGTAGACTGTGTGAGGTGCAGTACAGAAGCTGGAAGCACTCTATCCATACTCTTCCCTTCTGGGAAATGAGGTTCAAATTCCCTCTTCACTCTAGAAGCAGGAGAAGTAGGGAATCATTGTTCCACCCTAACAAATGGTAATGAAAGCTAAATTTATTGCATGTTTCCAATGTGCTAGGCTCTGTGCTAAGTACTTTGTATTCATTAGCTCTTTTTATTCTTGGAACATTTCTAAGAAGTATCTATCCACATTATGCAGATGAGGAAACTGAGGCTCAGAAATGGGAATTTACTTGATCCAGATCACCTAGCTAGAAAGCAGCGAGGCAGACATCTGAAGCCAAGTCTGCCTAGCGTCAAAGCCTATGTCCCTGGGCAGTTATGTGTACTACTCCACTACCTAAAGGTCTCCTAGTGCCTCTGACTCAGTGGTGATGAGCTTTGAGTTTTCTTTCTTCTTTTCATCCCAGCTTGCACTGGTTTCCGCCTCCGACCTGTGGCTGGCCTGCTTTCCTCTCGGGATTTCTTGGGTGGCCTGGCCTTCCGAGTCTTCCACTGCACACAGTACATCAGACATGGATCCAAGCCCATGTATACCCCCGAACCGTGAGTACTGTCCTCCAGCTACCAGTTGCCAGGCACAATGAGCGCCATCTTTTCCTGCTGCAAGAATGAGGTTTGGGTTCATTGCTGGCTGGTCCACAGGACTAGTTGTCTAGACTGTTTGCTGGTAGTACTAAAAACAATTCATCTATTCTGGAGATTTGCTCCATCCAAGTAGATAGACCAGACTGATTGGAGATTTGGTCATCCTGTGATCCAATAACTCAGAACTCCCTTGGCAGTGAGAATGAGAGATCCCAATCAAGTTCCAAAGTCAAAGCTACGAAGTTGCAAATGAGAACAGGAACAAGTGGCAGCCAAGCTATCTCAATACTTCCTAAGTATACATCTAGATTACTCTTATCTTTCTTTGCCTAGATTGTGTATTGGGTAGAGGTAGAGAATTGCAGCCATTATGCTTCTTACTTGGGTGTTTCGTTATCCCCTTAGTCTGATAAAACTTATGCAACTTATAAAAAAATTAATGGAACATCCAAAATTGTTTTTCCTTGCCCATAAAGTTCATTGCTACAAATCCAAAAAGACCTGTTCCAAATGGACATAGCACATACAGTGTTAAATAAATGTAGGTTTTCTTCCCTCACTGCTGTCCACCTCCAGACTAACAGAAGAGCAGCACTGTTTTTGTTTTAGTTCCCAGTGGAATAGCTGAGCATATTGTATCTGCCCAGGGAAGTCAATACCAGGGAGAAGACAGGATGAGAAGTGTTCATGACTCATAGCTCACTTAGGTATATGGGAGCATGTCCACAGGAATATTAGCTCTTCTGCCTGGTACCCCACTGGGGATACTCTTAAGACCCTTGGCTGCTGTGCCCTACCCTGCACCTGTCTCTTATTTTTCCTTCCTTTTCTTCTTTTTACCTTGTACCCTGCCTTTTATGATCCCAACCTCTGCATATCACTTATTCCTGGGAGAGGGATCATAAGCCTAAAAGAGTTATTTCCATTCTTTCTGCCCATTCCTCATGTAGAAAGACTGAGTCTGGCTTGGCTTAAACCTCCTCCCCTCCGAGCTCTCTGTGCTTTCTGTCTTTCAGTGACATCTGCCATGAGCTGTTGGGACATGTGCCCTTGTTTTCAGATCGCAGCTTTGCCCAGTTTTCCCAGGTAAGGAATGGATTTTTTAGCCTTCTAGTTATAGGTCTGTGACCTGAATTTCTCAAATGAGTTGAGCCCAGGGAGGGGTCCTCATGCCCTCTGCAAGAGCGGAAACCAGGTACAGTTCTATGATCCCACCTGAAATGGGTGTGTGGTTCTGGGAAGCTAAATACCCATTTCGGAGATCAAGCATGGGGTTGGTGAATCACTCATCCTCTGAATCATATGTGTGTTCTTCAGTGTACTAATCTCATTTTTCCTGCTAGAGCCTTTCATCCATGAAAGCCTCCCTGATTCCCATGCAGGAACTACCTCACCTTCTTCCAATCTCTTAGTACATTCCCCTTACCTTTTCAGGGCTGTTGCAACTTTCTACCTTGTCAGGCAGTTATTTGTGTATATGCTTGAATTAAGTGAGGTGACATTTGCCAAGAATCCAATGCTGATACCCTGACTTAGAGTTAACAAAGAAAAAAATGAGCTGAATATCTTATCACCATCATCAAAGCTGCAACCCTGCAACCTAGAATTTCATTCATCTTTCACAGTGGTTAACAAGCTCAAAAAAAAGCTTTCTTTTTCTTTTTCTTTCTTTTTTTTTTCTTTTAAGGCAAGGTCTCACTCTGTCACCCAGGCTGGACTGGAGTGCAGTGGTATAATCACGGTTCACTGCAGCCTCAGACTTCTGGGCTCAAACAATCCTCCCACCTCAGCCTCCTGAGTGGCTGGGACTACAAGCACATACTTTCATGCCTGGCTGAATGTTTTAATTTTTGTGGAGACAGAGTCTCACTACATTGCTGAGGCTGACCTCAAACTCTTGGCCTCAATCCTCCCATCTCACCCTCCCAAAGTGCTAAGATTACAGGCAAGAGCCACCACACCTGGCCAAAAAAGAAAGTTTTGGGCTGAGTAAAATAATGCTACCAATTCTCTCCAGGCACTGAGAGGCAGCCTAAAACCATGGTTTGGTAGCTGGGATCATGAGAAGGTTGAATGGTGTTCTGATGTACCTAGGCTCCAACCCTGCCACTAACCAGCTGTGTGACCTGGGGTTACATTATCAGCCACCCTGTGCCTCAGTTTTAATAAAAGTGGATCAGTCAAAAGCCCTCTCCACCAGTCATCTTCCTCACAAAGAAGCACAAGAATCAAATGGAATGACCTATGAGCAAATGCTGAGCCAAGTATTGGGATTTCAGAATAATGGGATTGTGTGTGAATTTAATGGGCATTTTCCCTCAGCTGGCAGAAATAAACATTCCCACTGTCAAATAAAGAAGCTACCACTAAATATTTGAAACAAACAAACAAAAAAGTGGAATTTATTGCTTGCTAAGTGAGGGAAAACTGTACTTGTAAGATGCAGCCTCTCTAAACAAAAGGAAAATTACTTTTATGTGAGGTTTGGGGAATTATGGAGTTCAAAGATCGTTGGACTTTTGGAAGTGGAAGTGTTTCGGGATTAGTTGAACTTTAACTGTAGAAGCATCACCAATGACATTCAGAAGTGTGGTTACTGCTGCCAAGATATCTTTGATTGCTTGGGACAGTTTTAAAATCTGGATTTGTTACTGTGGCCAAAAAACAATCAGATTTTTCCTTGAAGAATAGGAACCTTTTATTCTTACCACCAGAAGTTAGTTTACGAAGTCAGAGGCTAAGTGGCAGTCCTCCTTAAGCCATTTCCACTTTGGGGAACCCCACAGAAGAGTGGACAGTTGCTCAAGTCAACAAACAGGAGCTCTTGGGGCATCAGTGTCACATGGTTCCAACTTTGATCTGGACAGTTCCAAGGCAGCAAGTCATGTTGAAAGTTTCCTGAGAACATTCCTTTTTGATCAGAGGCAGGACTTGCTTCCCACTACAGTACAGGATGGAGTGGGGCTGGAGCACAGGGAATGTGGGGCCCCCCTTGTTGTAGGCAAACTCTAGGCTCACAAAGAATGGTGACTAAGAGAACAAGGCGCCATTTTGGTCTTGGATTTATCAGTGGTTTCTAGTTGAATTGAGAGAGCAGATCCAGGCTAAGAATTTGAATTTGGTTCACTCTAAATCAGAAAGTATTTTATAAGCCTAATCTGAACCAGGCTCTGGACTTGGCCCAGGGAGTGATATAGAGATGCAGACCATGTAGCTTCTTGCTTCAAAGTGGGTCTAATCATAGTCTTCATCTCTGTCTACAAGCACTCCTCTGGTGATCTCACTCAATTTCATGGCTTTAAATACCATCTCTACTCTGATGACGGACACATTTACATCTGCAGCCAAGACTTCAATCCCCAAATTCAGACTTGCATATTGAATTGCCTATTCAACATCTCCCCTTGGATGTCTATAAGACATCTCTAACATCCTATCCAAAACTGAGTTCTGGATCTTCCTTCTCAAACCTTCTCCAGCACAGCTTTTTCTATTATCAGTTCATAGGAATTCCGCCCTTCCAGCTGATCAAACCATAAGCACTTTGGGACATTACCAACTCCTTTTTCTCTTAACCCCACAGCCAATCTTTCAGAAAATCCTGTGTGTTCTACCTTCAAAATATGTGTAGAGTCTGACCATTTCAATTATGTCTACTGCTACCAACTTGGTCTCAGCCACTATCATTTCTCATCCTAGTGACTGCGGTAGCCTCCTCAGTGGCCCCCTCTAGTGGTCTCTACCCTGGACCCCTCCAGTCTCCATGTGTTCTGTCTACACTCAGCCTCTCCAGTCTCCTGGTGTCCCATTTACTCTCAACCTCTCCAGTGTCCTGGTGTCCCGTCTACACTCAGCCTCTCCAGTCTCCTTGTGTTCTGTCTACCCTCCACCTCTCCAGTCTCCTGGTGTCCCTTTAACCCTCAGCCTTTCGGTGCCCTGGTATTGTGTCTACACTCAGCCTCTCCAGTCTCCTGGTGTCCTGTTTACCCTCTACCTCTCCAGTCTCCTGGTGACCTGTCTACCCTCAACCTCTCCAGTCTCCTGGTGTCCTGTCTACTCTCCGCCTCTCCAGTGTCCTGGTGTCCTGTCTACACTCAGCCTCTCCATTCTCCTGGTGTCCTGTTTACCCTCTACCTCTCCAGTGTCCTGGTGTCTTGTCTACCCTCAACCTCTCCAGTCTCCTGATGTCCTGTCTACACTCAGCCTCTCCAGTCTCCTGGTGTCCTGTCTACCCTCCACCTCTCCAGTCTCCTGGTGTCCTGTCTATCCTCAACCTCTCCAGTCTCCTGGTGTCCTGTCTACCCTCCACCTCTCCAGTCTCCTGGTGTCCTGTCTATCCTCAACCTCTCCAGTCTCCTGGTGTCCCATCTACACTCAGCCTTTCTAGTGTCCTGGTGTCCCGTCTACCCTCCACCTCTTCAGTCTCCTGGTATCCTGTCTACCCTCCACCTCTCCAGTCTCCTGGTGTCCTGTCTACACTTAACCTCTCCAGTCTCCTGGTGTCCTGTCTATCCTCAACCCCTTCAGTCTCCTTGTTCCCTGTCTACCCTCCAGTCTCCTGGTGTCCTACTCTACCCTCAACCCCTACCATCTCTTGGTGTCCTGCCTCTACCCTCAACTGCTACCATCTATTCTCATACAGCAGGCAGAAGGAGTGCTTGGTAACACAAGTGAGATCATGACCATCTATCTGCTCATTACCCTGCAATGGCTCCTGTTTCACTGAAAGGAAAAACTCAAGCCCTAAAACATCTAAAAATATTCTACATGATCTGGCTCTGGATCCCTCTTTGATATCACCTGCCACTGCCCCCTCACTAATTCTTCTCCAGCCACATTGGTTCCTCCCTGTGTCTTGACCCAAACAACGCTGCCTTTTCTTGGGAAAGAAATGCAAGCTTTTGCACTGGCTATATGCTTGGCCAACAGTGTGCTTCCCTCAGAAGTCAGTATAACCAACAACTCCACTTCCTTCAAGTCTGTGCTCAAATATGACCTTCTCAATGATGCTTACCCTGGAACCCTATTTAAAATTGAAGTCTCCCCTGAATCCCCTGGAGCTCTTAGTCCCTCTTGTTTATTTCTTCTTTTGTTTCTTCTTTCCAAAGAACTTATATTCTTCTAACATAGTTATGTATATGTTCATTATTTATTGTCTGTCTCCACTAAAACTCACAAGATGTCTTTACTGATTTTATACACTGCCTGGCACATCAAATGAACTTAATAAATATTTTGAGAGTGAATTAATATATACAGTAGGAAAGACACATACACACAAGGCAGGCTGCAGTAAGTGCTGTAAAAGAGACAATGAGACAGTAGAGGAATTCTGCAACAGAAGCTGTGGTGAGAATTAATCTATGATGTGTTAGACTCTCCAGCTATATATATGCCTGGACCGATGTCACCACTTATCTGCAGTTCTCCTGTGATGTTTCCAGGGTACATGATTAAGACTCATTTAACATTCCAGGAATATTCTGCTGATGAATAATCACTGAGCTGGAGTCAAGAGAAGAAGCTTTAGATACTAACCGACCCTGTGATCATGAGCAAGTCACTTCCCTTCTCTGTGCCTCAATTTCCTCACTTATAAAGTGAAAACAAAGGGCCAAGTGAGGGTGGAAGGATCCCCCTACCCTGGAGATCTGTGATTCTATAACATATGGGCAGGAAAGACTTGATAACACACTCAGGGTCTATGTGGGCTGTTCTGAAGGCATCTGGCCACCCATCACCTTTTTATGGCCAAGTACTAGGTTGGTTCTGTGGTTCCAATTACAGGAACAGAACAGGTTCTATTTTCCCCCAATTACAGGAAATTGGCCTTGCCTCTCTGGGTGCACCTGATGAATACATTGAAAAGCTCGCCACAGTAAGTCCCTTCTCTCCCTGGGTGGATGGTGGAGTGCTATAGGCTATGGCCCTCAGGTCTTTGAAACTTTCCTACTCCCCTGGAAGCCAGGTTATCTGGGGAAAAAAATCAGAATGTGGTGGGTTACATTTGCACAAGTGAAACTTCACATTTTGATAGATTTCTCCTTAATAATTTGATTTTGAAATCAGCTACCTACAGATGTTTACATCTCTTAAATTTTAAGCAGTATCTTGAACCCACCAACAGGCTATAATAGTAGCCCTTGAAAACCCTTGGCATAAAGTGTGTGTATGAAGTAATCTGGATCCAGAGCTTTGAACATGGAATGTTTACATCTCTACTTTTCACACCAGAGCATACATTAGGATCTTTTCTTTCTCAGACATGAGGGAGAAATGGGGGTGGGCTTTCCCCTTCTTGCTGAACACTTTCCTCTCCTGAGTATATCTGATGACACTTGTCCACTGGGGCTATAGAAGCAATTCTACATAGCAGGTGATTTCCTTCCTTCATACTCGTTTCTAATTTTAGTACATCCCACCCCAGCCACTAGCCACATTGCCTGTCCTGGAAGTTGAAAAATAAACATTTATAATTGAATTGTGGACTGCCAATGAGTGCAAATCTATTATTAAGATATATCAGTTTAGAAGCTTATGAACTCGTTCCATCAAAAGGCTAAAAACTCCCAGAAGGTTATCTTCTCACTGACAGCTGCTTTCAGGTGCTGGACAAGTGGCTTTTTCTTCCTCATCTCTAACAATGGGATGCAATAGCTCATATCTTGCCCATCTCAAAGGCAACTAAAAATTTAACTATTTAAATTGAATTATTTAAATTTTTGTGAACATGGGTTTTTAAATGCCAGAGGCTACAGAGATACAAGGAGCGGCTTTCAAAGAAGTTACAGAGCTAGATAGAATTTCTCATCTCTACAAAGAAAATAAACTTGGAAGTCAAAGCATCATGTTATCTGCCATAACAATATTAAAATGACTTATCACCAATGCGACTTTTCTAAAAAATTGTTACTGATTGAAAAAATGTTACTGATTGGTTGAGGAACAGTCCTGGATTCTTGCTGCCCTTAATTTGCTGTGTAACTACATGCATGTTGCCTTACCTTCCTGGGCTGAAGACTCCTCACCTGTATGTGAGGAGGTCAGACTGACTGAGCTCTGACAGCCCTCCCAGGTTTAACATTTTCTAGTCCAATAAACAGATGTAACTAATAACCTACCCCTAATTCTCCAAAACTGTGACTGTCTCCAGCAGCTAACTGAGCTCTGGGTTCCTCTTAGCCCCAGAACCCCAATATTCTTTTTTTCAGGCCAACTCTCTAGGACATATTGAACTGTCAGTTATTGAAAGAAAAGTACTTGGTTATTTGCATAAATGCAGTAGTTGACTTCAGAAACATCCCCAAGTTTTAGCATGGATGATGGGACATTCTCCTCACTGATTCTATCACTACCCAGTCTGCTACCTCCCACTGTTGTGCCTAATGAGCTCTGCCAGCTTCAGAGCATCTGAGGAACATCTCAGTCTAGTTGACACCACAGAGAAAAAAACAAAAGAGATGGAGGAGTTCCTGTCATATGGAGAACATATTGTTGGGAGCCTCCTTTTGGGGCTTCTTAGTACCTCCTGATATTTTCCATCATGCTTTACATTCAGCCAGCACTCAACAGGTGACTAGATAGAGTGAGACACAGGACACAGAGACGTGATCACAGGTCATGCTGATTCAGAGAACAAACCTGCACAGGCTTCTACCTGGGCAATCCTGTCCATGGCACTGGGGCAGTTGCTGCCTTCTCCTTCTTTGAGGTGTGTACTAGTCAAAGATCTCCAGAGAGAAAGAACCAGTGAGATATATATAGAGAGAGAAAGAGAGAGAGGGAAATCTGAGAGGGGACTTATTAGGGGAATTGGCTTACACAGTTATCAAGGCTGAGAGGTCCCACGATATGCTGCCTGCAAGCTGGAGAACCTGAAAAGTCAGTGGCGTAGATTAGTCAAAGTTCAAAAGCCTCAGAACCATGGAAGTTGATGGTATAGCTCTCAGTCTGAGACCAAAGGCCTGAGAACCCCTGGGTGGTGGTTGGGTGCGAGTCCCAGAATCCAAAGGCCAGAAAGCCTGGAGTTCTGATGTCTAAGGGTAGGAGAAACAGGGTGTCCTGGTTCCAAGAGAGATAGAATACGTATGTGGCTTTCCTCTGCCTTTTTCTTCCATCTGGGATTCCAGCCCATTGGGTGGTTCCCGCCCACAATGAGGAAAGATCTTCCCCACTCAGTCCACTGACTCACATGCCAATCCCCTCCAGAAACACCCTCATAGACATAGACACACCCCAAAATAATGCTTTACTATCTATTCAGGTATCCCTTCATCCAGTCAAGGTGACACATAAAATTAACCATCATAGAGTGTGCTCTCAGATTGACTTTCCATTCCAGATTTACTGGTTTACTGTGGAGTTTGGGCTCTGCAAACAAGGAGACTCCATAAAGGCATATGGTGCTGGGCTCCTGTCATCCTTTGGTGAATTACAGGTATGACCTTCACAGGAACCAAGGATAGATTTAAAAGTGGTGGGTACAGAAAACCATTATTGTGCTTTCAATATTGTTGAAACCCTATTTGTATCCGTTTTGATATGCAACCTGGGAACTCATTCTCCAGTGATTGGTACCTTAGCAGCTATGATTTGATGATGGCTGTGGGTTTTACAGATAGAAATGGAATTGCAAGTACACATATCTCTGGGGAGAAGGGGCCTCCTGATTCCAAGGCTGACCTATGCATGCAGCCTTGTGAGTATGCAAACACATGCCAGAAAGTGTGGTTGGCTCCCACGTCATCTATTGACCACCTTACTTGAAAGTAATTGGAATGAATTACTCCTTTCTCCCTTGGCTGTAGGTTTTAGATGAGCTATGAAGGGTAGAACCTAGTATGTGCAAAGTAATTTGGCTCACAGCATTTGGGCTGTGATGTAGAAGGAATCGGGGTGAGATGAGAGAAGGGGCACAAATGGCCTATGGGATGCAGCAGGGAATACTGATCCTGATTTAACAGTGATAATAACTTTTCACTTGGGGCCTACAGTACTGCTTATCAGAGAAGCCAAAGCTTCTCCCCCTGGAGCTGGAGAAGACAGCCATCCAAAATTACACTGTCACGGAGTTCCAGCCCCTCTATTACGTGGCAGAGAGTTTTAATGATGCCAAGGAGAAAGTAAGGTGAGGTGGTGACAAAGGTGAGCCACTAGCTCTGGGGGCCTCCTGACTGGTGCCACTCATCTGTGGGTGGTTGGCCAGGAGAGTGGACTCCAATGTCTACAGCAACTTTGTACCATAGACAGTTTCTCTCCCATGTTCTCCACCCTCCTTTTCTTCCGTTCTCTGTTGGAAGGTTGGGCATGCTGACCTTTGCACACACCCCTGCCACCTGGTCCCTGTTCAACGCAACCACCAAGTCAAGACACTGAACCCTCCTGCATACAGAGTGGCCACAGAAGTCTCCCCACAAAATCAAAGAAGTCTTATAACCTAGGAAGTCCTTTCTTCACTTTCTTCTCCCAAACACCTACAAAATTTGCTTCCTCCTTTGTGTCTTTACCCAAATTTAATCTCTATATGTCTTTCTCTAACCAACTTATTTCTACTCATCCCTGCCACCAGTGCGTCTGTAATACTTATTAACTTGTAATATATTACATAAGGTAAGCTCCATGAGGGTAGAAATTTTGTTCTTTCTATTTTCTGTTTTTCCTCCAGCCCCTGGAACAATACCTGACACAGAGTAAGCACTCAATAAATAATTGGTGAAGGCATTAATCCCAGAGGCAGTTCAGCAAGAGGCTGATGGAGTGGTTCTGGGACTCTGAGACTGTTGGCCCTCTGAGTGCACAGTTCCTGCACCCAAGCAGGAGACAGACTGGGCAGAGGGTCCACCTGGACATGAATATCCTAATACTCACTGTATGTTACCACTTAAAAAAATCTTATCAGTGATGGATGACAGGCATGGAACATACAGGCCTTTGGGAGTCTATGACACTGGGTATGTTAGCTTTCAACCCTATCTATGGCCTCTGAGAGGTCAGAGGAATGGAGGGGAGTGGTGATAGAATAAATGACTTCTCAAAGAAATCCGCACTTTTGAAAAGAGAGACATGAGGGAGGAAAGAGAGACATAAGGGAGAAAGTCAAAGACAAATGAACATACATCTTAGTCCTTCCTTTCTAAATCCAAATTCCATCCCCCCCAGACCCCTCACAAAGAAAGGTAAAAATTATCCTTTTGCCAGCTCATTCACTTACCTTACATTTGCAAGGTAAGATTGTGGGACAAGACAGGTCCAGCTAACATTTGTTTGAGAACCCTTTGGAATAAAGAGACTTCAAAGAGGACTAACTTTCTTTCTTTTAAAATGGATATTCCTTAATTTATGTCTACTATCTTTAGATAATTAAAGGTAAAATGCTGGCCCACAAATCCACTTGGTGTGGCCTAAAATGACTATTTCTCCAGCTCTGTCCAGAGCTCTCAAGTCCTTCTGGCTCTGCTTTTTTAATTCTCTCCTAAACTGGGAGCCTAGCCTCCTTCCAGCATCATCCCCCTCTCCCTCCAAGGCCCAAGGTTTGGACCCAGGCATTGGAGCTTAGAGGCAGTGCTGATGAGCACCCTGTCATGCCAAGATCACATTTGGATGGGCCCTCCTGGAGACAACTCTCTAACCAGCAAGTGATCAGTCCCAGACCAGCAGGGAAGAGCTTGCCAGGAAACAGGCCTGTCAGTACCGAGGCCTCAAGGGAAACAACCATGAAAACCCCATTCTGCTGAGAAGTGGCTCAGAGAATCAAAGAGAATGCTAAAGAACAGAGTTCAAAACAAGGAATCTGCACATCCCTTTGGATTCCCTCAAAGCATCTCAGCCAAGAGAAACCAATTCTAACCACTTGGAGTTTTAAGATTCAAGTTGTAGGCAGAGATGTGATTGGCTGAGCATGGTTCACATGCTACCTCCTTTCCAGAGGAGGGCTGGCACCGAATACTGACTTCTGGACTGATACACACCTAGTAGGGTAGGGGTAAATCACCCAAAGCAAAAATGAGCTGCTTTATGGGAAGAAGGAGGAAGAGGTGCAGAGCAGGCAAAATCACAGATGTGTAACATGTGGCTCATGCCACCAGCTGGGTTGAGACAGCTCCTTTCAGAGAAGAAGGGGTGGAAATATATACTTGGCCATTTGTTCTTCATGAAAGATAGCAACTAACACTCATAGGGCACTTACACCATAGTATAACAGCATTTGCTGCAACCCCCTGAGGCAGGTACCACTAATGCCCCAATTTTACAGAGGAAATTGGGGTACAGAAGAGTGGTCCCCTGTGCCCATGGTCACAAGGGCCATAATAGACAGAGGCAGGGTTTCAGCCCAGGCAGCTTGACTTGGAACTTGGGGAGCCACTCTTGCCAAACTTGGAGGTCCCTACTGTCTCCCGTAACATTGTATTTTCAGTACAGCAGCTTATAGGTTCACCAGAGGCCAACTTAGAAATCTGTGATTACTTTGCAACATCTTGTTAATGGTATTGCATGATGTCCCTCATAGAGGCCCTCATGGTGGATTTCTCCCAGATCCAGGAGTAAGGCACTGGGAAGGCAGGAAAGCAAAGGGTCCAGGCCAGTGTCAGACTGCCTGGGTTCCTTCCCAGCTGCATAACTTACTGACAGTATGGCCTTAGTAGTCACGCAGCCTTCCCAAGCCTGTTTCCTCATCCATAAAATGGGTATAGCAATGGTGCCTTTCTCCTAAGGTTTTTGTGAAGGTTAAATAAGGAAGGATATTTGTAAAGAGCATTGGACAGTTAGAACTTAACATAGTTCTTGGAACATAGAAGGTACTCCATCAATGTTAAATTTCATTATTAACATAGTGCTTTCTTCACCACTTGAGAGCTATTTCCCTCTGCATTGATTGTCAACCATTTCAGAGCTTTTTTCCCTCTATATAGCATTCTTTAGCTAGATTTTACTTACTCTTGATTTTATTTAATGATAGGAGTTTGTGGCTTTATTGTATTCAGTAGTTTCATTGTAAGCTATCTCTGTCTTCTTGGAGCCAGGGGACTAAATAAACATGTGTATATATGTGTTTGTACATACACATACACACATACAGAGGCTTCCCAAGAAGACTCATTAAAACTCCATTCCCCCCGCCTCAGCCCTGGCTGTTGAAGACCCTGCTCTAGGGAGGTGTCCGTGTTCCTAAAAAAGAAGTAAAATGCCACTGAGAACTCTCTTAAGACTACCTTTCTCCAAATGGTGCCCTTCACTCAAGCCTGTGGTTTTGGTCTTAGGAACTTTGCTGCCACAATACCTCGGCCCTTCTCAGTTCGCTACGACCCATACACCCAAAGGATTGAGGTCTTGGACAATACCCAGCAGCTTAAGATTTTGGCTGATTCCATTAACAGTAAGTAATTTACACCTTACGAGGCCACTCGGTTTCTCAGTAATCGAAGACTGTCTTTCCCTACCATCGCCATAGGAAAAATAATAAATTTATTGAAATATTTAATTAAGGAGAAAAGCACCTCCATGTAAGCCATGGGTTCATTGATGGAGAAGAACTTGACAAAAAGGTCAGAATTACCCTTGTGTCCTTTTTCCTTTGACCTTCCTAGATTCCACTCCACCTCCTACCATCATTCCACCTTTCCACACTTGGTCTGTCACTGCCATGTTCCTTTTTCTCCCTCGCCTCTCCATCCCTTCTACGCTAAGTGTCCAGTTGTTATCACTCTGCCTGGTTCTATCCACTTTATAAGCTGTCCAGTGGCTCATCTGTTGGCCTTCCACTCTTCCTTCATAATGAGAATATTATAATAATTGCCCTTAAGAATATCACAGGGTTACCTCATTTATCACCTGATTATCTCTCTAGCCCTTCATACTCTCTTCCAGCAACACTGATCAATTTTTAGTTCTCATGCTCTTTCCAGACTCCTAACCCTTGCCCATGCAGTTGTTTATGTTTAAAATGTTCTCCTTTCCAATCTCATTTACCTGGTATGTGAAGACATAGCATAAATGGAAGGCTGCATCACACCTTCATCCAGTGATCTTGCCATCTAGACTGAGTTATCTGCTTAGACCATGGATTCTAAAATTTGAATGTGCATCAGAATCAAATGAAAAGCCAGCTAAAAATTAATAGCTTTGAGTCATAGCCAAGGCTAAATTTACCAAATTTGTGATAACTTTTGGGAGTTTATAGACCTCAGGTGATTCTGACACTAGAGTTTTGTGTGAACCATACTATTAGGTTCAATGATTTCGCTTCTTGTAGCATATGCAGATGGTAATGTAAAAGAGAAATGGAACAGCTAATGATTTGCCTGGGGAGAGACCTGTTAAGTCCTTCCCTGGGAAGTGACCTATGGAAAAGGGATGCTGATTACATTAATGGCTCTGGCATTTTCTAAAACATGCAAGTACTTATACCATAATGAGGCTGTAAGCTCCTTGAAAGTTGGGGTGGCACCCAGCTCATCCAAGAAGCCCACTTATCCCCTAGTGCTTTGCACTGAGGACACTTGAAGAGTTTTTGCTTATTATACAAGTGGCCCATTTTGATGGTGTTTTTCTTTGTAGGTGAAATTGGAATCCTTTGCAGTGCCCTCCAGAAAATAAAGTAAAGCCATGGACAGAATGTGGTCTGTCAGCTGTGAATCTGTTGATGGAGATCCAACTATTTCTTTCATCAGAAAAAGTCCGAAAAGCAAACCTTAATTTGAAATAACAGCCTTAAATCCTTTACAAGATGGAGAAACAACAAATAAGTCAAAATAATCTGAAATGACAGGATATGAGTACATACTCAAGAGCATAATGGTAAATCTTTTGGGGTCATCTTTGATTTAGAGATGATAATCCCATACTCTCAATTGAGTTAAATCAGTAATCTGTCGCATTTCATCAAGATTAATTAAAATTTGGGACCTGCTTCATTCAAGCTTCATATATGCTTTGCAGAGAACTCATAAAGGAGCATATAAGGCTAAATGTAAAACACAAGACTGTCATTAGAATTGAATTATTGGGCTTAATATAAATCGTAACCTATGAAGTTTATTTTCTATTTTAGTTAACTATGATTCCAATTACTACTTTGTTATTGTACCTAAGTAAATTTTCTTTAAGTCAGAAGCCCATTAAAATAGTTACAAGCATTGAACTTCTTTAGTATTATATTAATATAAAAACATTTTTGTATGTTTTATTGTAATCATAAATACTGCTGTATAAGGTAATAAAACTCTGCACCTAATCCCCATAACTTCCAGTATCATTTTCCAATTAATTATCAAGTCTGTTTTGGGAAACACTTTGAGGACATTTATGATGCAGCAGATGTTGACTAAAGGCTTGGTTGGTAGATATTCAGGAAATGTTCACTGAATAAATAAGTAAATACATTATTGAAAAGCAAATCTGTATAAATGTGAAATTTTTATTTGTATTAGTAATAAAACATTAGTAGTTTAAACAATTTCACTGTTTCAGTTATTTCCTGGAATGAAATATTCCTCTCACTGCCTTAGAAATACATTAGCTAGATAGTTTTGTAACATGAGAAAATGGCCAGAGGCTCATATCTCCAACCCTTTGCAGGGGCTCCTTGTGACACTCAAAGTCATGCCTGGACAGTCAACGGACTTTGACTTTTGTTGATTGTGTGTTTGCCATGAAAACATGAATATCTGAGAAGCAGTGGGGAGAAAAAAAACAATATCTTTGTAGCTATGATTTGAAATTCTCATACTACTTTACATTTTATTTTGGAAATAGTTAAGTCTTAAAGAATTTGCATAGTGTTTCTTTGAGTTTAGTTCTCAGAACAGCTGTAGTATCATCAACAGCAAATTCTGGGTACCTTCCCAGCTCCACCCAATTTGAATCTCTGAAGATAAGGCCCAGAGACCTGTATTTTTAAGTACCCCATTTTTTTAATTATTCATAGCCAAATTCTATCAGGTACATTCAGTTTGAGAAAACCTGATTTGTGGTGGTCAGTCTGCCACTGCCAATGATGTCAATGTGGATAAGCTGTTTCCCTTCTTTAGACCTCAGTGTCACTCTAACAATGAGGGAGTTAAACTTTATAAACCAAGGTCCATTGCAGCCTTGAAATATGATTCAAGTGTTCATATGTGTCTTTATATAGCTATGCCTGATCCACTGATGGGGTGTTACAATACCTGCTTATATATGCCAGCTGGGAGGAAAGAGGAATTTACTGAATGTGTCTGAAGTTTCATTGTTTTGAAGTTGGAATTTTATGCCTGTATCTATGTTTATGCCTTTGTAAAACCCACTGATTTTAAAAGTGAAAAAGGACTTTTTTCTCTGCTTTTACTCTAAACACCAAACAATCCCTGCAAAGGGATTATTCTGATGTTTCTTCATTTCACATGAAAAGTTAATTATTGACTCTGGAACTTAAATATTAGATAATATTTTTGACAATATTGAAGAGTGAGTTTTAGTCCAGTAAAGATGTTTTAATGAGCTTGAAGGTAAAGTTTCGGTTAAGTTATGATTTTCACAGGAAGTTACATACTGAATGAAAGATAATATTTGTATTTTTGGTAATGTGCTACTCAGTTCTTAGCTCTTTTTTATCCAGATATAAAAGCCCAGTCTATAGCTATGGGATTTAATAAATTTCCAATATGTAAGTGTTTTTATTTGTTTAATTTCTAGTAAATGAGCAATATTTTAGAAACAGTATCAGTCTTTACTGACAGATGATCTTGCTGAGTACAATCAAAATAAATACATAAAAAATTCTAAGCATGTGGCATTGATGTTTAATAAGTTTCTGAAAGTAGGAATCTGAATTTTAACTGTAGGTTTCTAAGTTATATAATTTAGTTGTGTTTCAAAAAATCCACCAATAAAATGTCAGCTTTATAAAAACAGAAACCTTGACTTTATTTTCACCTCTAAAACCATTAGCACTTAGCCCATAATAGATGCTCAATAATTTATTTTAAAACAGTTGCTGTGTGAGCTGCATCACAGGGAAGGTAGCGAAAATTGTTTATCACAAATAAACTATTGTGTAAGAAAAGTTTAGAAACAACTAAATTTGTAATTTTTTCTTTTAAAAGTTATCAAAAATTTATAAATTAGACAAAATAGTGATTTTTTTTGAGATGGAGTCTTGCTCTGTTGCCCAGGCTGGAGTGCAGTGGCATGATCTCGGTTCACTGCAACCTCAGCCTCCTGGGCTTAAGCGATTCTCCTGCCTCAGCCTCCCAAGTAGTTGGGATTACAGGCATGCACCACCATACCTGGCTAATTTTTGTATTTTTAGTAGAGATGGGTTTCGCCATGTTGGCCAGGCTGGTCTTGAACTCCTGACCTCAAGTGATTCACCCGCCTCAGCCTGCCAAAGTGCTGGGATTACAAGTGTGAGCTACCATGCCCAGACAAAATTGCAATTTTTTTAAAAGAAAGATATTACCCCTTATATCTAGTTTAGACTAGATTATGGCTAGTTTGTATTTATGCTGCTTGGATAATAACTGCACTATGGTAAGTGCTTAATAAATGTTTGTTGATAAATAAAGATAAAAAATTATACCAGTGAAACTTCACAGTTGTCCATGGTCAGGCTGAAATGCTCAGAAAGCATTTAGTGACTTCTCTAACATTTGCAAAAAAAAGAAAAAAATCATCGAGGAAACAAAATTAAGAAAGTATATAAAAATGTATTTATTTTGCAAAGGAAAGATTAAAAATGTGTTTAAAGTATCTTCTTCCCAGTAAAGTGTGTATGCACCCTCAACACACACACACATACACACACACACACACACAGATGGTCACTGTCTTTTAATAGATTTCCTGTGAAGTTTCGAAAGTAAAATTGCTTGAAACTTGAAAGTTGCTAAGAGTAGATTTTAATGTTCTCACCCGCCAAAAATATAAATATGTTATGTGATGGATATGCTAATTACCTTGATTTAATCATTTTACAATGTGTGTGCACATATATGTATATGCATATGTACGTATGCACATATATGTATATGCATATGTACGTATGCACATATATGTATATGCATATGTACGTATGCACATATATGTATATGCATATGTACGTATGCACATATATGTATATGCATATGTACGTATGCACATATATGTATGTGCATATGTACGTATGCACATATATGTATGTGCATATGTACATAGGCACATATATGTATGTGCATATGTATGTATACATATAAATGCATATATGTGCATATCTATATATGTATTGCACACATATATATACACCACATTATACACCATAAATATATACAATTTGTATTTGTGAATTTTAAAACTTTCTTTTAAAAAGATGTGCTTCTCTGAGAGATGGGATTCTTAAGTTTCCAAGAAAACATTACTAAAGAAATCATAACAGCCTTTTAATTTTTTAATTTGCCTAAATGAATAAAAGATAAACAGCAATTAAGCTTGAACTGCAGTACTTATTTTTCTTTAGATCATTCTTAGGTGGTACACGATGTCCAGAGGAAGTAAGTGGATCAGCATCTTTCATTGATGTTATTAAAATTTGTCTAAACTTTGGATGCCTTTAATTTGCTATTCCTAGAAGTAGACATAAATTAAGGAACATCTATTTTAAAAGAAAGAAACTTAGTCCTCTTTGAGGTCTCTTTATTCCAAAGGGTTCTCAAACTAATGTTAGCTGGACCTGTCTTGTCCCACAATCTTACCTTGCAAATGTAAGGTAAGTGAATGAGTTGTGTCAAAGGGATAATTTTTATCTTTCCTTGTGAGCGGTCTGGGGAGGATGGAATTTGGATTTAGAAACGAAGGACTAAGATGTATGTTCATTTGTAACTTTGAGTCTCTCCCTCATGTCTCTCTTTTCAAAAGTGTGGATTTCTTTGAGAAGTCATTTATTCTATCACCACTCCCCTCCATTCCTCCAACCTCTCAGAGGCCATAGATAGGGCTAAGTTGAGGAATTCATCAGCAAAGGCACAGAGCAGCTGGCCCTTTCCCTAAGACCCACCCTGCCATATATTGGAGTAGAACACATTTTAAAGCTGTTCATTAGAGAGTCACCAGGCATCAAAATCATCCCAAAGCAAAAAATTAGCTTGGAACAACTACTTTGCTTGCAAAAGGTAACTGTTGGTCTAGAAAGGCTTCCCAGCTCTGGCAACACCCAAATACTGCTTCTGCCCACCTTCCCCAAATCTGTGAAGATAAACTCTGTTTCCTTGGCCTAACAAAATAAATCAAGTTTGAGAGTGAAAAAGGAGGAAGCAGAAACTTTCCCAAACTTTCTGTTCCTAGAATGTCCTTGGGAAAGCCAAGGAGGCAGGAGGCTGTCTTTGAAGTCACTCTTGTGAAAAATAACTACTAATTTTCCCGCATGGAATGCAGCCTGGAATTACACAATAGAGGTTTTGTGACTGTGAAGTGCCTTGTGCCTTCTAAGACAAGGCACCTCAGCCTGGGGCAAAGACAGAGGAGCAGACTATACATGCCTTCCAGAGTGGAGATTCTCAGCACCGAGGACAGCACCCACATTTGTTGCCAGTACTGAGGGCAGGGAAGTGGATGGTAATCCTGAAAACCTTTATTAATTAATTAATTTATTTATTTATTTATTTATTTATTTATTTATATTTTGAGACAGAGTCTCGCTCTTGTTGCCCAGGCTGGAGTACAGTGGTGCGATCTTGTCTCACTGAAACCTCCGCCTCCCGGGTTAAAGCGATTCTCCTGCTTCAGCTACCCAAGTAGCTGGTATGTGACATGACTCCTGGCTAATTTTTTGTATTTAGTAGAGACAAGGTTTCACCATGTTGGTCAGGCTGGTCTCGAACTCCTGCCTCAGGTAATCCACCCGCCTCGGCCTCCCAAAGTGCTGGGAGCCAGCATGCCTGGCTGAAAGCCTATCTTTTAATGGAGCAAGAGTCAGGCATGGAAAGAGAATGAGTTTGTACAAACACCAGGAAACAAGATGATGACAATTATTTTGTTTACAGGAAACTTTGAATAAATTTTGGCTGCATAAAGACAGAATGAAAAAGTGTGCCATTTATCTCCTTAATGACAATGTCCAATGTCTCACATTTTACACAGACAAAAATCAGGCACCATTTTTTTTAAAAGAAGCAGTACACTCCTACATGTTACAATATAGGATAGAGATAGAAAGATGTAGCATCTTTCAGGAGACTGCTCTGGTGATCCCAATTCAAATGGCAGTTTTTCCATCAAGCTGAACTTACTTAAATAGACTCTTAATCTCCCCAAGTCTCAATTTTTTATCTGTAAGGTGGAGAAGATGCATGTCTATCTTATAAGGTTGTCACAAAGATCAAACAACATATTGTGTATATGGAAGCTCTCAATCACTTCCAATATTACATAACAATTTTAAATATTTATTATTCTTATTCAAAGCACAAATGGGCTCTAATAAGTCTTGGTTATTATTACTCTGATCATCTTGGTCCAGCAACATAATCCCAACTGACCACTCTTTCCAAAGAGATGACAACTGTAGAGAAGCTTCCAGTTGAGAAAAGAATTTTAATTAAAGTAGAATTTAGAAATGTGGGGGGGAGGAGCCAAGATGGCCGAATAGGAACAGCTCCAGTCTACAGCTCCCAGCGTGAGCGACGCAGAAGACGGTGATTTCTGCATTTCCATCTGAGGTACAGGGTTCATCTCACTAGGGAGTGCCAGACAGTGGGCGCAGGTCAGTGGGTGCGCACACCGTGCGCGAGCCGAAGCAGGGAGAGGCATTGCCTCACTCGGGAAGCGCAAGGGGTCAGGGAGTTCCCTTTCCAAGTCAAAGAAAGGGGTGACGGACGGCACCTGGAAAATCGGGTCACTCCCACCCGAATACTGCGCTTTTCTGATGGGCTTAAAAAACGGCGCACCACGAGATTATATCCCACACCTGGCTCGGAGGGTCCTACGCCCACAGAGTCTCGCTGATTGCTAGCACAGCAGTCTGAGATCAAACTGCAAGCTGGCAGCGAGGCTGGGGGAGGGGCGCCCGCCATTGCCCAGGCTTGCTTAGGTAAACAAAGCAGCCTGGAAGCTCGAACTGGGTGGAGCCCACCACAGCTCAAGGAGGCCTGCCTGCCTCTGTAGGCTCCACCTCTGGGGGCAGGGCACAGACAAACAAAAAGACAGCAGTAACCTCTGCAGACTTAAATGTCCCTGTCTGACAGCTTTGAAGAGAGCAGTGGTTCTCCCAGCATGCAGCTGGAGATCTGAGAACAGGCAGACTGCCTCCTCAAGTGGGTCCCTGACCCCTGACCCCCAAGCAGCCTAACTGGGAGGCACCCCCCAGCAGGGGCACACTGACACCTCACACGGCAGGGTATTCCAACAGAACTGCAGCTGAGGGTCCTGTCCATTAGAAGGAAAACTAACAAACAGAAAGGACATCCACACCAAAAACCCATCTGTACATCACCATCGTCAAAGACCAAAAGTAGATAAAACCACAAAGATGGGGAAAAAACAGAACAGAAAAACTGGAAACTCTAAAAAGCAGAGCACCTCTCCTCCTGCAAAGGAACGCAGTTCCTCACCAGCAACGGAACAAAGCTGGATGGAGAATGACTTTGACGACCTGAGAGAAGAAGGCTTCAGACGATCAAATTACTCTGAGCTACGGGAGGACGTTCAAACCAAAGGCAAAGAAGTTGAAAACTTTGAAAAAAATTTAGAAGAATGTATAACTAGAATAACCGATACAGAGAAGTGCTTAAAGGAGCTGATGGAGCTGAAAACCAAGGCTCGAGAACTACGTGAAGAATGCAGAAGCCTCAGGAGCCGATGCGATCAACTGGAAGAAAGGGTATCAGCGATGGAAGATGAAATGAATGAAATGAAGCGAGAAAGGAAGTTTAGAGAAAAAAGAATAAAAAGAAATGAGCAAAGCCTCCAAGAAATATGGGACTATGTGAAAAGACCAAATCTACGTCTGATTGGTGTACCTGAAAGTGATGGGGAGAATGGAACCAAGTTGGAAAACACTCTGCAGGATATTATCCAGGAGAACTTCCCCAGTCTAGCAAGGCAGGCCAACGTTCAGATTCAGGAAATACAGAGAACGCCACAAAGATACTCCTCGAGAAGAGCAACTCCAAGACACATAATTGTCAGATTCACCAAAGTTGAAATGAAGGAAAAAATGTTAAGGGCAGCCAGAGAGAAAGGTCGGGTTACCCACAAAGGGAAGCCCATCAGACTAACAGCAGATCTCTCTGCAGAAACCCTACAAGCCAGAAGAGAGTGGGGGCCAATATTCAACATTCTTAAAGAAAAGAATTTTCAACCCAGAATTTCATATCCAGCCAAACTAAGCTTCATAAGTGAAGGAGAAATAAAATACTTTACAGACAAGCAAATGCTGAGAGATTTTGTCACCACCAGGCCTGCCCTAAAAGAGCTCCTGAAGGAAGTGCTAAACATGGAAAGGAACAACCGGTACCAGCCGCTGCAAAATCATGCCAAAATGTAAACACCATCAAGGCTAGGAAGAAACTGCATCAACTAACGAACAAAATAACCAGCTAACATCATAATGACAGGATCAAATTCACACATAACAATATTAACTTTAAATGTAAATGGACTAAATGCTCCAATTAAAAGACACAGACTGGCAAATTGGATAAAGAGTCAAGACCCATCAGTGTGCTGTATTCAGGAGACCCATCTCACGTGCAGAGACACACATAGGCTCAAAATAAAAGGATGGAGGAAGATCTACCAAGCAAATGGAAAACAAAAAAAGGCAGGGGTTGCAATCCTAGTCTCTGATAAAACAGACTTTAAACCAACAATGATAAAAAGAGACAAAGAAGGCCATTACCTAATGGTAAAGGGATCAATTCAACAAGAAGAGCTAACTATCCTAAATATATATGCACCCAATACAGGAGCACCCAGATTCATAAAGCAAGTCCTGAGTGACCTACAAAGAGACTTAGACTCCCACACATTAATAATGGGAGACTTTAACACCCCACTGTCAACATTAGACAGATCAACTAGACAGAAAGTTAACAAGGATACCCAGGAATTGAACTCAGCTCTGCACCAAGCAACCTAATAGACATCTACAGAACTCTCCACCCCAAATCAACAGAATATACATTTTTTTCAGCACCACACCACACCTATTCCAAAATTGACCACATACTTGGAAGTAAAGCTCTCCTCAGCAAATGTAAAAGAACAGAAATTATAACAAACTGTCTCTCAGACCACAGTGCAATCAAACTAGAATTCAGGATTAAGAATCTCACTCAAAACCACTCAACTACATGGAAACTGAACAACCTGCTCCTGAATGACTACTGGGTACATAACGAAATGAAGGCAGAAATAAAGATGTTCTTTGAAACCAACGAGAACAAAGACACAACATACCAGAATCTCTGGGACGCATTGAAAGCAGTGTGTAGAGGGAAATTTATAGCACTAAATGCCCACAAGAGAAAGCAGGAAAGATCCAAAATTGACACCCTAACATCACAATTAAAAGAACTAGAAAAGCAAGTGCAAACACATTCAAAAGCTAGCAGAAGTCAAGAAATAACTAAAATCAGAGCAGAACTGAAGGAAATAGAGACACAAAAAACCCTTCAAAAAATTAATGAATCCAGGAGCTTGTTTTTTGAAAGGATCAACAAAATTGATAGACCGCTAGCAAGACTAATAAAGAAAAAAAGAGAGAAGAATCAAATAGACACAATAAAAAATGATAAAGGGGATAACACCACCGATCCCACAGAAATACAAACTACCATCAGAGAATACTACAAACACCTCTATGCAAATAAACTAAAAAATCTAGAAGAAATGGATAAATTCCTCGACACATACACTCTCCCAAGACTAAACCAGGAAGAAGTTGAATCTCTGAATAGACCAATAACAGGCTCTGAAATTGTGGCAATAATCAATAGCTTACCAACTAAAAAGAGTACGGGACCAGATGGATTCACAGCCGAATTCTACCAGAGGTACAAGGAGGAATTGGTACCATTCCTTCTGAAACTATTCCAATCAATAGAAAAAGAGGGAATCCTCTCTAACTCATTTTATGAGGCCAGCATCATCCTGATACCAAAGCCTGGCAGAGACACAACAAAAAAAAGAGAATTTTAGACCAATATCCTTGATGAACATTGATGCAAATATCTTCAATAAAATACTGGCAAAACGAATCCAGCAGCACATCAAAAAGCTTATTCACCATGATCAAGTGGGCTTCATCCCTGGGATGCAAGGCTGGTTCAATATACACAAATCAATAAATGTAATCCAGCATATAAACAGAGCCAAAGACAAAAACCACATGATTATCTCAATAGATGCAGAAAAAGCCATTGACAAAATTCAACAACCCTTCATGCTAAAAACTCTCAATAAATTAGGTATTGATGGGACGTATTTCAAAATAATAAGAGCTATCTATGACAAACCCACAGCCAATATCATACTGAATGGGCAAAAACTGGAAGCATTCCCTTTGAAAACTGGCACAAGACAGGGATGCCCTCTCTCACCACTTCTATTCAACATAGTGTTGGAAGTTCTGGCCAGGGCAATTAGGCAGGAGAAGGAAATAAAGGGTATTCAATTAGGAAAAGAGGAAGTCAAATTGTCCCTGTTTGCAGACGACATGATTGTATATCTAGAAAACCCCACTGTCTCAGCCCAAAATCTCCTTAAGCTGATAAGCAACTTCAGCAAAGTCTCAGGATACAAAATCAATGTACAAAAATCACAAGCATTCTTATACACCAACAACAGACAAACAGAGAGCCAAATCATGAGTGAAGTCCCATTCACAATTGCTTCAAAGAGAATAAAATACCTAGGAATCCAACTTACAAGGGATGTGAAGGACCTCTTCAAGGAGAACTACAAACCACTGCTCAAGGAAATAAAAGAGGATACAAACAAATGGAAGAACATTCCATGCTCATGGGTAGGAAGAATCAATATCGTGAAAATGGCCATACTGCCCAAGGTAATTTACAGATTCAATGCCATCCCCATCAAGTTACCAATGACTTTCTTCACAGAATTGGAAAAAACTACTTTAAAGTTCATATGGAACCAAAAAAGAGCCCGCATCTTCAAGTCAATCCTAAGCCAAAAGAACAAAGCTGGAGGCATCACACTACCTGCCTTCAAACTATACTACAAGGCTACAGTAACCAAAACAGCATGGTACTGGTACCAAAACAGAGATATAGATCAATGGAACAGAACAGAGCCCTCAGAAATAATGCCGCATATCTACAACTATCTGATCTTTGACAAACCTCAGAAAAACAAGCAATGGGGAAAGGATTCCCTATTTAATAAATGGTGCTGGGAAAACTGGCTAGCCATATGTAGAAAGCTGAAACTGGATCCCTTCCTTACACCTTATACAAAAATCAATTCAAGATGGATTAAAGACTTAAACGTTAGACATAAAACCATAAAAACCCTAGAAGAAAACCTAGGCATTACCATTCAGGACATAGGCATGGGGAAGGACTTCATGTCTAAAACACCAAAAGCAATGGCAACAAAAGACAAAATTGACAAATGGGATCTAATTAAACTAAAGGGCTTCTGCACAGCAAGAGAAACTACCATCAGAGTGAACAGGCAACCTACAAAATGGGAGAAAAATTTCGCAACCTACTCATCTGACAAAGGGCTAATATCCAGAATCTACAATGAACTCAAACAAATTTACAAGAAAAAAACAAACAACCCCATCAAAAAGTGGGCAAAGGACATGAACAGACACCTCTTAAAAGAAGACATTTATGCAGCCAAAAAACACATGAAAAAATGCTCATCATCACTGGCCATCAGAGAAATGCAAATCAAAACCACAATGAGATACCATCTCACACCAGTTAGAATGGCAATCATTAAAAAGTCAGGAAACAGCAGGTGCTGGAGAGGATGTGGAGAAATAGGAACACTTTTACACTGTTGGTGGGACTGTAAACTAGTTCAACCATTGTGGAAGTCAGTGTGGCGATTCCTCAGGGATCTAGAACTGGAAATACCATTTGACCCAGCCATCCCATTACTGGGTATATACCCAAAGGACTATAAATCATGCTGCTATAAAGACACATGCACACGTATGTTTATTGCGGCATTATTCACAATAGCAAAGACTTGGAACCAACCCAAATGTCCAACAATGATAGACTGGATTAAGAAAATGTGGCACATATACACCATGGAATACTATGCAGCCATAAAAATGATGAGTTCGTGTCCTTTGTAGGGACATGGATGAAATTGGAAATCATCATTGTCAGTAAACTATCACAAGAACAAAAAACCAAACACCGCATATTCTCACTCATAGGTGGGAATTGAACAATGAGAGCACATGGACACAGGAAGGGGAATATCACACTCTGGGGACTGTTGTGGGGTGGGGGGAGGGGGGAGGGATAGCATTGGGAGATATACCTAATGCTAGATGACGAGTTAGTGGGTGCAGTGCACCAGCATGGCACATGTCTACATATGTAACTAACCTGCACAATGTGCACATGTACCCTAGAACTTAAAATATAATAAAAGAAAAAAAAGAAAAAGAAAAAAAAAAAGAAAATGTGGTATATACATCCAATAGAATATTATGCAGCCTTAAAAAGGAAGAAATCTTGTCATATTTTACAACATGGATGAAATTTGCTGAATACGCCAGTAATAAAAGGACACATGCTATATGATTCCATGTATATGAAATATCTAAAGTAGTCCAAATCATACCAACAGAAAGTAGAAAGGCGAGTGTCAAATACTGGGGAGGGAAGAGGGGGAATAAATATTTGGTGGATATAGAGCTTCATTTTTGCAAGACAAAAAAGTTCTAGAGATCTGTTTCACAACAATGTGAATGTATTTAATTGAACTATACATTTAAAAATGGTTGAGATGGTAAATTTTATGCTATGTGTTTTCTTACCACAATAAACCAGACTTTTTCTTTAAAGTCAAAAAAATAAAATAAAATAAAATAAAGTAGAATTTAAACCTTTCAACACACACTGCACATGCACACACACACACACATGTACACACATGGGCATGTGTTATGAACAATAAAATAATAAAATTTGCATCAACTTGAAACTAAAACTATCTTGAAAACGGCAACTTTAGAGATTGAAATTGAAATTTCCCATTTGAAGCTTAAGGCAATAGACCTTCATTCTTTCACCCTCATTTCTGACATTGTTCTTCATTTTGCAACCTCCTTTCTCTCATGGAGCTGCAGCATTACCAGACTTGTAGATCATAATCTTCAAAAAGTCAGCATTTGCTTTATTGCTAAAGACATTTCTTGAAATGATCTGTCTCTGTGTCCCCGAACAAATCACATTTTGAATCCAAATTGTAATCCCCACAAGTTGGGGGAGAGATCTCATGGAAGGTGATTAGATCATGGCGGCAGTTCCCCCATGCTGTTCTCATGATAGTGAGTGAGTTCTCATGAGATCCGATAGTTTTATAACGGGTTTTCCCCCGCTTTGCTCTGCACTTCTCTCTTCTTCCACCATGTGAAGAAGGACGTGTTTGCTTCCCCTTCTGCCATGATTGTTAATTTCCTGAGGCCTCCCCAGCCATGCAGAACTATGAGTCAATTAAATCTCTTTCCTCTATAAATCACCCAGTCTCAGGCAGTTCCTTTTAGCAGCGAGAACAGATTAAGACACTTCTTTCAGCTGGGGGTGTTCCGCAGTGCACGTTTTATGAAATAGTTAACACTTTAACATAAACAACATTGATTTAAAAAAAATAGATCATGCTACAGACAGGTTGTTTTACTAAGGAACCAGCATAAGAAAGCATGACTTCACTTTGCTGCCCAATTTTAAGGTAATTTTGGTGAGATCTGGGAGGCTTTTTGTGTTTCCAGGAGCAGGAAGTGGAGAACAATTTTTAACACAAAAGTCGCTGGCACTGTGGCCATTTCACCCTTTGAGCACACTGCAGCCTACAGAAAAAGCCAATTTGGAGGTAGAATCAAAAATTCTTGCAAAATAGGGCAAGACAAACCAGTCCTTCAAATATGAGGAAGTGAAAAGAAAGCACCCTATTGCTCCAGGAATACTGCTCCATCCCCACTCATTAAAGGATTGTAAAATAAAAGTTGCCAAAATCTGCCACCAGGTGTATAGTTTGAGGAGGGGGAAAGATAATCCGTTAATATACAAGGTTTTAAAACTCAAATTATTGCACTTTTCGGGCTTAATTCCACAAGTTTTTAATTGAAAATAAAATAAATATTTTATTTGGGCTCAGTGAAAGACTAGACACATTAAAATGATTACTGCAAGGGCGATGCAGCAGAACCTCTATTGCTCCACCCTGTGGAGTTGATTTAGGATATTAGTCTTTTTGCCTAAGCACCGCTGGATTCCTCGACCTCCTTTTCTCTTCCCTCCCCAGGAACTCTCCAACCTGAAAAGGAACGCCTTCCACTCATCAGTCCTGGCTTAGAACCAGCTTAGCTGGAACCAGAAACATGCTCCATTCATTTCAAGAGATTCAACCCTCATCGTTCCAAAAATTTAGTTTATATTTGATGAACTTAAAGTGGCATCCCGTCAACATACAGGCGGGGACGGTGGGTTTAAAACCAGTCCCATCCCCAGTTTGCCTCAGAATCCCCAAGGCCAGCAGGACTGCCTAGAGATCAGGAGTGAAGCTGGGAATGACCATTTGGCTACTGCAGCCCTCACCTTGCGCTTTTCCACCTAGATTTGTTTGTGGGGCAGGGGAGAGAACTGGAGAGAAGTGGGGCGGTGGTGGACAAATTCTGGGGGATAGGTGAAAAGAGAACATGAGACGTATCCGAATAAAGTTTTCTACGTCCTCAAAGAGAAATGGCACTGACGGAGAAACCGAAAAGAAACCTTCAGATTCTCACCAGCGGTGATTTGCGCTGCAAAGGGCGCAGAAACGCGGCTCTCAGACCTTGCCTGCGCGTGGGTTAATTAAAACCAATCCAGGTTCTGCAGCCCCCGACTCCTCCCTGCGGTTTAGCAGAAGGTAGGCGGGCTGCCCCAACCCTTAAATACCCACGGGTCGACGCCGGCCAGAACCACGGACAGCTCCCGCCCTGTGGCCCATGTGTCCTCCCAGCGCTGTGCGGTCTGCAGTTTCACCCGGAGGACAAGGAGTGTGGCTGCAGATCGGGTCGGCCTGCCCTTGCTCTGCTTCTTCCCCACCCACACTTGGTGGGTGTCTTCTAGGCTGTCCAGCCTTGAACTAAGCACCCCAAGAGGAGTCAGAGCCCGAGAGATGAGAAAGGGGCGCCCGATGAAGATCTAGGTCCGTCCCTCTCTGGGAGCTCAGCTACTGCGCCCGAGAGGCAGCGCTCAGACAGCGGGGAGGAGGCGGCCGCGGAGCCCCCGGAGATGGAGGGTGAAGGCCTGCTTTCAAAGTATCCCACGTCGTTCAGGTACCACTTCCTTTGAGAACTCTTGTTTGCTCACAAATGAGAGAGAGAGACCAGAGACGTATGAGAGGCCTCACTGTACAGTGAAACTGAGGTTTCCCAGCATAATAAGAGCAGTCCTCATCCACTTTCCCCTCCCTATCCCTTCTCCACGCTCTTTCTAACTTGGTTCTTCGAGGAAAGAGGTTAGCCAGATGTGAAACTCACTCATCCATCGCGCTTCCCCTTTCCCCAGCCACTGGTAGGTCTTCACACTCCCCACCTCCCTTCTTCCCAGACCTGCCAATCTTCAGGTCCCATGGAGAGAGCTGAGAAGAAGGTTGAATCTCCAGGGCCCAGATGGGTTGGGACCTGGGGGTTCTCTCCTTCTGGTGGAAGGTGGAGAGGGAGTGTGAGATCCTTCTGCTTCAGGTTGGTCTTTTCTACTGGCTTCTGTTTTAAGTGCAGGGGAGAGCTCAATGAAAAAGTCTGTTTCTCCAAGACTGAAGAAGTTTTTTGCAAGTGCAACCTTTGTTCAAAGAGTTGGACCTTTCTTTGTGTATGTGTGAGGAGGGGTGTGGGGGGATGAGTGAGGAATTCTGGGAAGCATATTTTAATTCATTTGATCAATGGCTTCCAAGTGTTCGGTCTCTGTTAACCCCCAAAGGACTCAGGGCTCGTCGTAGAGAGAGTGGGAGGCTGGACTAGGCAGTGGGGAGAAGATAGAGGAAGGTGGAAGGTGGCCACCAAGTTTTCTTCTTGGTTGGGCATTAGAATGGGAATGCAGACATGCTGTTGTCTTTAAGGATTTAGAATATAAATTACTGCTGTTGGTTATGGGTATCCGAACTAGAATCAGAAGCAGGAAGTGTTTGTAAAAGGGTGTCTGGAAATCTGAAAACTAAATATTCAGTTAGGCTTTACCTACTTAGTTGAAGACAGAAAAAAACAACCACCTGATATCTTCAGGCAAGTGCTGCATGCTCTAAAAAGACACCATTTGGGGAGTATAAAAGAATACACCAACATGATCTCTGCAGCAAATGTCGCAATACAAGCCAAGTGCCCACTAGTAAGATTGCTCAGATAAATTATTATCTATGTAACAGAACATTGTTCAAGAGTTCAAAATAAAATGAAGTAAATCTATAAATAATGACCTAGGGAAGTCTATGAGGTATTTTTAAGCAAACAAAAAGCATGACCACATTTCCATTTTTTGAAAAACGCTATTAATGATGTATATGTATATACATGGATATATGTATGTTTGCATGATCACAGAGGATAACAGAAACTAGCAAGTGGGAATGTTGCCAGTGGTTACTACTGGGTCTGAAATGATGGTCAAAGACTGCTCTTGCTCTTTATCCCACATGCTGTTTTAAAAAGAAGAAAGATAATGTGATTAAAGGTAATTTGAACTTGTTACTCTTGCTGTTTTTATTTTTATTTTACTATTTTATGTCATAAAATATTACTGAAATTTGAGGATAAAAAGCAAGTACGTGAAGATTTCAATTACTGATCCATCTCTCCCTTTCAATCCCTTGAAGCAAAGATTCGTCATTTAGAATTCAGACCTGCCAAGACCACGGATGCTTTGTCTCAGGTGAAAATTTACATGAAATGTAACACTTCTAAGTCCATTGTCACCATGTTTATTGATGCCTTAAAACAAGAGCTCAGATGTGGGCATGCTCACCCAAAAGAAAGAGGTAAATCATTGTATTTCTCTATGCAGAGGCTCTGAATCTAAACTGAGGATGGAGATAAAGTTCTGCCATTTCCCTGGATTGGCTATGATTACAAACCTGTTCCACTTTAAAGGCAGTTCCTGGAATTGGCATGTGCCACAGTCTACACACAACTTTGCTATTTCAAGCCTTTCTAACTAAGGAGACAGCAGAACATCATAGTTAAACAAGGGCTGAACATGGTTTTGCCATTCACTCAATACATGACCTTAAGCAAGTTATTCATCATCTTGTGCTTTGGTTTCCTCACTGGTAAGGTGAGAACATAACAGTATCCACCTTATAGGTTTGATGGGAGTGTTAAGGAAGACAAGCCTGTAAGGAGCTTAGCAGAATGCTAACTGTAGTAGTTATTATCACTAATCCTACGTGGAAAAAATGCAAATCAAGGAGAGTGGAAACCTGTTGAAAGCAAATTGGTCCTTTTTGGATAAAAATATCCATAATGAACAAGAGGGATGGAGCTGGAGATTATAGGTTAAGGAACCTGACGCTACAGTCTGCATAGTTAGATGGAATAACGTGGAGGGTTTGAGTCAGGACCCCTGGATTCAACTCCCAGCTGTGCCGCTTACCAGCTATTCCCACATGAACAAATATGTTACCTCTCTGTACTTCTTGTTAACTACAAAATGCCAACAATAATACACACTTTCTATGCAGACTGTGAAAATTAAACGAATTCTAAGCATTCAGTACATGTTAGCTACCATCTGTCTCTTACCCTCTAAAAGCAAAATTGCTTCAGATGCTCTCAGTGACCCTCCCCCCACCCTTCTGCCCTTTCCTTTTCAGTGCAGAATGGCTGGCTGCCAACTGCCAGCTCCTAAGTTTCTCTTTTTAAAAGTTTTATTCAGATTCTAAGGCACTTTGCCTTTATGGTAGACCAAAAGTTCCTAGGAATTAATACCTTTGCATCACATTATTCCTCTACCAATGACCAGTAAGAGCTGGTAGAGGCTTTCTTCCTCACTGACTCTCAAAGTTTTATCAGAGGCAGTAAGCTCAGTTGCCCACAATAATAGCTGCCTGCCTGATAACACTCCATGTAATTATTGCCTTTCTTTACCTGTCTCTGTTTCCCATTTTTCTATTTTTAGTTTCCAACTATACTATTTCCACCAGGATCCTTTTCTCAGAGTCTGCTTCTAAAAGACCCAAACTAGGACATATGTGCATATGATGATAATGACGACAATGATGAAGACGATGATGATGATGATGATGATGATGATGGTGTGTGTTTCTCACCCAAGCTTCTGCGTTGTTTTTTCCCCAAGAGTCTCATCTATTAGCCCTTATCCTATAAATGATTAATGCTAATGTCTCTTTTTTTCTCTCTTAGCTCGGATATCTTCATTTCTCCTTCTTACAGTTTCCTTGTTTCCGAGGAAAAACACAAGATCTTGACAACTGCAATCACCTGGTAACCAATCATGAATCTGGTATGGACCACTTTCACCCTGTAAGTAAAATGCACTTGTTTATCTTAATTCCACCTCACAACTTATTGGTTATACTCTTCAACCTTCCAAAAAGAAGATTCTAGGCAGGCTTTTTATCTGCACTGAAAATAAATGCCATCATTGCCACTATCACGCAAGAAGCTGACAGGCAGATCCCTATCTTTCCTAAGAATATGGCTAGAAATTTAGGCCAATCAATATGTTGTACTATAAAAACTCTAGCCCCAAATATATAGACAAAGGTAAATTGAACTCTCTTGTTCATGTGTAACTTGGAGAGAGTAATTCCACACAGTAGAGTGAGTAGTCTGGAGTGAATAGTCTGGGCTGGGTTTATATCTTGCCTCCTCCACTCCTAGCTGGGTAACCTTGGGGAATTTATTTAACCTACATCAACTTTGGTCTCCCTGTTTATGAATTGGGGATAATGAAAATAATACATACTTCACATTCTTTTTGGTAAGGATTATATATACTATATATAGTAAGTACTTAATACAAAGGCATATAGTTAGTGTCCAGGAAATGTTAACCCTTGTTATTCCTATTGATAATAATAATAAACAGCAATAGAATCTTACTGAGGAACCATAAGGGACCTCATGGTACATACCAGATTTATACATCTCAAAGCTGAAAAGAGACCACAGACATTCTGCAGCACAGAAATTCCCCAGCTGAGGTCAGGTGAGGTGACCTTCTCAAAAACACAGGATTCATTTCAACAAGCAAACGTGGTGATTGCTTACTGCATGATAGATATGATTGTTGATATTGGGTTTGTTATTGTACGTACTACAGGCTAAGAGGAGAGTTAGTTTTTGGAACACAAAAAGGCTATAATTTCATGCAGAATCTGTTTATTGAGATCTAGCAGGTGGCCACAAATAATACCTAACACCAGCTGAAAATAGGAAACCATTTCTCTTTTCCAGGCCAAGAATATTTCCAGGAACCAAACTGCTTTGGAAGGGGAAGTGGGGCTTCTTGGATAAAGTTTCCTGGAGAGAAAAGGAGTTCTAATTAGTATGGGCACTGAGGTGAGGATAGATAGAAACAGACATGGGGGCAGCATGCTTCTGTCTGGCCACCCTTAGCGGGTTGATATCTTGATCAGTTGGTTGGTCAGTTCCTAGGATAGAATAAGGATCCACAGCATGTAGACCATATCACTGCCTAGGAAACACACAGTGGTGCTTGCCCTAGGAATTTCTGCCCCTTCTTTCCAAGACCCCACATTGGAGGCTCTATCCAGAGTGAACTACTGAAATTCTTTTAGAACTTTTAACCCAAATAAAGCTGGGCTACCTTATGTCCTATTTTAGAAATAGTACTTCTTTCTAAAGAAATGTCATCATGACAAAAACAAAAAAACAACAACAAAAAACATTGTCAAGCAATATAATTCTTTAGTGGAATCTTTGGAAAGGGCAACTTATGGGAAATTCCATTTCTTGCCATACAGTAAAATGCCCTGATGCGCCACAAATTGCTCTTCTCTCTTTTCCTGTACTTTTTATCAGTCTCAAACCTCCAGCTCTTCTTTCTTTCTCATATTTATCTTCCTATCTCCTGACTTTCTGGCTCCAAAGATAACAGCGTTATGGTACACATCAGAATCTCTGAAACCAAATTGGCTAATTAGCTTTGAACCTCGGCACTATCATGGTTTGTTTGTGGTCTTGGAAAAGTTGCCCAACAGTGGTTGACATATATTATATTAACTTTTACCTTGTGCCAGGCAGGTATTAAGTAACTAGCCCAAAGTTACTTAGCTAGTTAATGATAGAGCCAGGACCTGGCTCAAGCAACTTGACTCCAAAGCCTACATTCTTCTTCTTTTTTTTTTTTTTTTTTTTTTTTTTTTTTTTTTTTTAGCGGAGTCTTTCTCTGTCACCCAGGCTGGCACAGTGCAATGGCACGATCTCAGCTCACTGCAACCTCCGCCTCCTGGGTTCAAGTAATGCTCCTGCCTCAGCCTCCTGAGTAGCTGAGATTACAGATGCATGCCACCACACCCAGCTAATTTTTTTTTTTTTTTTGTATTTTTAGTAAAGACAGGATTTCACTATGTTGGCCAGGCTGGTCTTGAACTCCTGACCTCAAGCAATCCTCCTACCTTTGCCTCCCCAAGTGCTGGGATTACAGGCGTGAGCCACCACACTTGGCCCAAAGCCCAGACTCTTGAGGACTATGCTGTTCTGCTATGTTATGCCTCAGTTTTCTCATCTTTAGATGGGGGTAATAATAATACTGCTTCATGGCAGGAAAAATAATGTACTGGGGAGTGTTAACGCTATAAATATATTAATTTCCTTCTGACATTAAATGGTTTTAATGGTTGCATTTTACTGAGTCTACTAAAATTCAGAGACATTAAGTTACTTTTTTTGTAGTCTCCCTGGTAAGTTGCTGAACAAAGCTGGGCTTAAATTTAAATCTATACTATTTCTAGTTGAGGCATTCAAACTCATACTCAGCCATCTGAGGATGATGTAGTATTGGGCGTCTGATTTTTACCTTCCTGGGCCTCAGTTTTCTCACCTTTAAATTTAGGGTGTTCACCTCACAAATCCATGATAATTATAAAAATTCGATATAAAATTGTAATTTGTAGACCTTCCAATGGCATGGACATGTTAAGTGTGGTATTGTTAAGTATTATTGGGTCTTTCTAGAAGCGTTTGCCCAAGTTGCACAGAGCTGGGGAATAAACAAAGTTTCATGGAAACACCAGACACGTCAAAATCACCCAAGGACACCACAGATGGCCATTCAGCCTACTGGGGGATCTAGTAAGAGAACCTACTGAGGAGAGGATAGAGGGGAGCCTGCTAAGGTACCTGAGGCCAGAGATACAGGAAAATTAGCTGACCTCACTGCACATGTGGGGATGGGGGGAGAATCCCTGTTCTGCTGGAACAACAGCGCTTCAGAGAGGCTACTACTCATGGTGAAGAAGGAAGCTTTAACAGTGGAGATCATGAAGACCACAATCACCTACACATCCAATCTTCCCTTATCCCCTGTCCTAACAGAATCGCTGTACTTGCCTTTCCTTTGAACGTGGGTTGCCTCAGGCATTTGTTCAACAAATACTTGTTAAGCACCTATGATGTGACAGACACTATTCCAAAGCATACAGACAAGATTTCTGCTTTTATAATATCTGTATCCTGACAGAGGGAGGCAGGAGGGGAGACTAAAAGAAACAAATGAAGGATATGATTATTTTGTCTGATAAAGACTGTGAAGAAAATAAACATCTGATTGCTCATCAAAATCATCTTTGGTAATAGATCATGATATACTTTTGCCAAATAACCTGAAGGTGCTCAAAGAATTGAGTGGCATTACTATATAGTTTCTCAGCACCTACAACCATAAAAAATGGGGAAAAACCCAAACAAAAATAATCAATACTGGTTCCTGTTTCATTTTAGTAACAAATAAATTTTGCATAAACTAAGAGGGTTAAAAAATTTTCCATCATTTTAATTAACAAATGCATTTCCAATTATAGTGCACTTTTGTGGTTAGCAATTATTTATAAATTGTGTATTAATAATATTTGTAAATATCACTCAATCCAAAACATGTTTTAACCCTCAGGATCTTAGAGTCATGGAAAAAAAGTTTTAAAGAGGCTTAATTTATACTCATTTTTTTTGTGAAGATCAATAAAATGCTTTTAGGAATAAAATATATTGCATTGCAACAAAATTTTGTGAGCAATATGAAATGAAAATATGGTTTCAAGAAAAGAGGACAAACAGAAAATTTCTAACTATTAGCAAAGTGCATACCACAGCTTTCGGCTGGATTATTGTGAGTATCAAGCTGCAATGGAATCAGATTTCAATGGATACCAATAGAAGAATTAGCTAACCGTTTTATTTTAAATGTGAATATTTTAATACACCAGCGATTACATTTTTATGACATAGGATAAATTTTTAGGCAGTGACTTAAAAAAATCTGAGGGGTATACATATTTGCAAAATTCTTTTAGAGAGTGTATAAGATTTGAATATCACGTGCGTAATCTTTAGACTGCACTATACTTAGTGGCCCCTAGATGGAGTCTCTCCTCACATGTTGCCCCAGTTCCACAAGGACAACTTGGAAGGGTGGAGAGCTCTCATTTGCATTAACTGCTCCACAAATTATTAAAAAGGCCTTGATAGGAAGCTCACTGGAAGGAAAATGTGGCATAGTGGAAATAGCAGTAGATTTTGCTCAACATTAGTTTTCCTGATTCTTCTCCTAACTAGTTCATTGGCTCTCTGAGCCTCAGTTTCCTCATTTGAAATATGAGTGGTAGGATACATTCATATAAAGAATACAGACTCTGGGATTGGACTGCCTGAGCTCAAATTTCAGCTTTGCTACTTACCAGCTGGGTGACCTGATACATGTTTTTGATATCTCAGTGTTTTCTGTCATCTAATAACCATAATAATAATGATAGTAGTACCTATTGAATAGAGTTGTGATGATTAACCAAATTAACACTTATAAAGTGCTTTGAATAGTGCCTAGCACATAGATATAATTACTACTTATTACCTTAACTATTAATATTATTATAATCATTAACATGGCTTTTGAAAAAGTGAAAATGAACAATGCATGGGAAATGCTTTAAACCCCATGGCTGCTACACAACTAAAAGAAATGCTAATAAATCACATTAGCTATGGTGCTTTCAGCAGCAAATTACAAAAACAAAAACAAAACTAAAATGGGTTTAACCTAGGAGGAGATTTATTATTTCCTATAACAATAAGCTCATATACGTGACAGTCAGGGCTCCAGTGCTATAATTCCAGGCTCTGCCCCGTGAGGTGTTCTTTGTGCTCACAGTATCTTCCCTCTCACTCACAAGACAGCTACTACCGGAAGCTTAAGCCAGGTACTTCCTTCTTCCCTTCCATCTAATTGGCCAACGTAAGTCAGGTGCTCACCTCTGCATCACTAATATTTCTTAAGGAAGTTCCGCGCACTGATTGCCTTAACCCCGGTGTCTGAACTGATCCCTGGTACATGGGATAGCGTGACTAGGTTAGGACAATCAAGATCCAGACCCTGGAACTGGAGATATGAGTCACACATCTCAGTCAGTGTCCCAGCAGGGAGCAGATGGCACATTGAAACTAGTTTAATAAGAATTTAATAAAGTGACCATAAAGCTGTGGGCAAAGTTTAGGGAACTCAGCAAGGGATGGTGCAGTGTCCAGGGCTGGCAACAACAGGAACCAATACCTCCCTCAGCCTGAGGATTAGGGGGTTATTATTAGAACACAAGTGCCGAGAATCAGATAGGGAGGGTTGCCCAAGAGGTTCTTTGTCCATTCACAGAGGGATGCTGTCAACTTGCAACTACCTAGCAAAGAAGGAAGCCAGAAGAATAAATACCCACCCTCCCTCTGAAAGCCACAGTGCAAGGAAGCCATTAATGCCATCAATGCACACTCATCACCAGATCAGGCACTCAGACTCTAGGTCACAGTGGAGAAGGATAAGCAAATGGAATTATGAGCATACATGGACATTGAATACACATGAACTGTACAAAGGAGGGGACAGATACCTAAACAAAATCACATCCTGTTAGGAAAGAGGAAGAGGAATGCTGGTTAGACATCTAACACAATTCGCTATAAGTATTCTTTTTCAAAATAAGATTGTTCTATTTTGGTTTCAAATATAAATTATCTACAATTGAAGATATCTTTAATTTTTAAGTAAAATTCCTCCTCAAAGGAGAGGCACAACAAGATAACAAAAAAGGCTGAACTGTCACTACTTGATGAGAGATTTAGGGAAAGATGAATGTCTTGACCTTTCAGGGGAAAGTGAAGAAATCCATTCCCAGAAGGGATTGCAAAGGGAAGTGGCTGTTCCCTTGATAAGGCCAAAGAGGGCAAGCCTAATGAGGCCTAAGCCAGTTACATGGTGTAATTTACTGAATGGTGTTGGCTGCCTTGCAATGTTTCAAGGCAATCTTTTTGCAATACATGATTAGTAGGAAAAAGAGATTTGGATTTTGCCATTTTCCAAAGGAAACTTGACTACATTTAGTAATACAGAAAAATGTTCTCTTTGGAAAGTCTCATATTTCTATGCAAAGTGGTGTCCCAAGTCAGAATTTACACAATGTATTATTGCCTAGTGTATGAGGATCAGCTAATTAGTTCTGAACGAAATGTCAAGATAAACAAAACCAACCTCTAAAGAACTCCAAGAAGCTCTGTGACTAAGTGTCACCATCAAGGACGAGAAGAGTCTACACCAGTGATTCTCAACACTGGCTATGTATTAGAACTTTTTGGGAGATCTGAAAATTTTCTGGGCCCAGATTCCACCCCAGAGCAATTAAATGAGAATCTCTTTCATTAAGGTACAGGCATTGGTGCTTTTTGAAAAGCTCCCCAAGTGATCCTCGTATGCTTCCAGGGTTGAGAAGCTCTGGTCTATAGGACACCTATACTTCCAATAGATGCAGCATGCTCAAATCAATCAGATCAGTTGCTGTGCTGATGAGTCAATTCAGTCCAAGTAGCCATGTTAGCATGTAAAGCCTATGACTATTTTGTTGTGTCTTTTAGCCAGATATTGAGCCAGCACAATAGAGCAGTTAAAAAGGAGGACGGCCTGGGGTCAAATTCTGTGTCCACTCATGGGCTATGTGACTTTAGAAAAGTCACTTAACTCTTTTGAGGCTTAGTTTCATCATCTGTAAAATGGGGGCAATGGTAGGAATTACAACACAGATTGTGTTGAGTATTAACTTAGAAAATATTTATGGAAGTCTTAGAGCAGTGCCCATCACAGAGTGAGCCCTCACTAACTGCGCACTGTAGTTATGTGTCTAGATTTAAGCCAGCTGGAAGTGCCAGGAGGATCCCTACACCTTTCCCACTGGCTTTGTAGAGTTCTGTCTGGCAGGGGGTTGGGGAGGAGAGGTTGTTGAAGTTACTGGATATTTTGGCCCCTCCCAATCCAGAATATATGGGTCTATGAGATGCTTTGGAGTATTTCTGCATGACAGGTAAGGACTTTAAGAATGAAAACGACTACTATTTCTGCCAATAATTGCCACCGTTTATTGATTGTGTCAGGCACCCTGTCAGGCAGTTTCCATCTTCTCACAATCTTCACAAGAATCCTACAGAAACAAGACGTATCCCCCGATTTACTGATGATGATCCTTCAGCCCAGAGATGGTGAGTAACTTTCCCAAGGTCATCCAGCCAATAAATGACCAAAGTGGGATTTAATCCCAGATGTCTCTGGCTTCAGACCTCATGCTTTTTTAACAAAGCTATGTTGCCTGCCTTCAATGACACTCTTCAACCTTAGGACTGTGGTAACTTCTTATCTTGGGGGGACAACAAACAACAAACAAAACCCCCAAAACAAAATCTCTTGTTGAACAAATGGGGCCATGTCCCAAAGATGGAGCCTTCTCAGCAAATCTCTTCCTTTCTAAGGTACCACAGGTCTAGAGAATAGAAGTTAAGGGCAGACATTGTGGAACTGGCTTTGGTCTGTGAAGAGTAAGTAAACCCATTATCTAGTATTCTGGGATCCAGAGCCTTCCCTGGAAGGGGACATTTTTAAAGGGAATATTTTTAATCGTGCAGGATGAGCCAGCAGGTAGTGGTGCTCCATGAAGAGAGGGCAGTGTCTGCCTTTGGTGCTCCTCTGAAGATGGGCTCTCATTACTGATGGGTTCAGAGGTTGGGAGTGATCAGTGGGCGGAAGGCTGCTCACAGCCCATTTCTTAAGAAGTTAACATAAGTCAATCCATACAATTAGTTCAGAAACCCACTACCTACTTACTCCTGGGAAGGCTAGCAGAACTATTATAATCTCACTTTCTCCTGGCCCAAATGGAGACACTTGGTCACACATGAATCTTTACTGAGTTTAAAAAGTGCTTATGTGAAGTCTCTTACAAACATAACATTTTTAATCACATTTATAAAAATATATTTAATGTCCTCATTGCAAGGACAAAATGTCGATAATAATAGCCTAGGTTTGTTGGTTTTTTTTTAATGTGCCAAGTTTTATATATATTAACCCACTTAAGCCTTACTATAACCCTATGAAGTATTGACCTATTTTTCAGCTGAGGAAAGTGTAGCCCAGAGATGCTGAGTAATTGCATGATGGATTGTGTGGTAGTTCTCTATTATCTATCAGGACCCAACAGGAATAGAAGGAATACTCAAATTGAGTAAATTGGGAGGAATTCATTATGGGGACTGCATACAAGCAATGGGCAAGTTGTAAAAAAATCTACAAGGAATAGGCAAAGCCCCACCCCTAAACTTAAACGGAAAGAAAGATTTTAACAGGGGCTGTTACGTTGAGTGGAGGGAGGTAGCCAGGCCACGTGGCCCAGCAGGGAGGGAGCTAGGGGAATAAATATCCTAATCACTCCCCTCTTTCCCTCTCATCTCCTACAGCACTCTCCATCGGCTGAACCCAACTGGAAGTCGGAGGGTAAAGGGCCCATGACTCAGTCCGTTCAGGCTGACCCGCCTGGGGCTCAGAGCATAACAGACAAGGGTGGGGAAGAAAAAAGAATGGACTTGGAGAAGCAAATGGGAAATATTCAGGCACTTCTGATCTCAGTTTGGCCAGTCGGCTCCCCTCTCTCTGACTGTAAACACAGAGATACAGAAACTGTCATTAGAAATGAGTAGTGTTAATGATCCATGACAGAAAGCTCGTGAATTTCTACTGCTGAGGAGGCTTGAGCTTTTCTGTTTTCATTCTTTCTACACATCGGGAGCGGAGCTCCCCAATGCCTTTCTGATACATCGCTACTTCTGCTTCACCTAATCAAAGGCACTTACTGCTGCTCAGAACCTCAGGCCTCCAACTGAACAATGAACAGGTTTTCTCTCCATCACCCCCTGTTCTCTAGTGTGAGTAGTTAGATTACTGCTTTTATGTCTGTCTTCCCAACTACAGTCCACAAAACGGCTCATATTGAACAGTAATACAAATAAAGAGAAAAAGGAGAGAAGACAAGAACAAAAAGTAATGAGTTTAGAAACTTGGAAAGTAGAAACTTCTTTGGTATGTTCCTGTTGAAAACCACTGGTCTCATCTTCCACTTTTTCACATTGCTGTTTCAGAGAAAAACTTAATTATACTTAATTATAGGGTTGTAATGTTTATAGGGTTGGTTATTCTGGTTAGCCAAATTTACTGGTTATCTGTTTAGAGCCTTTGAATTTTAATTCTAGCTGACACATTTGTTAAAACATTATTAGCTTACCTTTCTTCCTTAATGAGTACTGGATCTTCCCAGAGAAAAGGTTCCCAGTCATTTACCTGGAATTTTTTATACATATTTGCAGCTGTTCTTTGAGCTCCCTAAAGAGCATAATTAGAGACATAACATTCACTCAGATTTTCTGCCCTTCTTTGTAATAAGTCAATGAGCCAGTCATTTATTCCACAAATATTTGTTGATACCTACTGTGTGCCTGTCAGCAGTTCTCCAAGCAGGGGCTACAAAAATAAAAAGATTGTCTTTTAATGAGGAGCAACTTCGAGTCTTAGCTCTTGGTACTCCCTCTGTCTAGTAATATCCATTTTTATACTTAGTATTTTAATAAATAACTCTTCCTCAAATTATTTTAAAACACACAGTAACAGAAAAAATTATTTATTTATTCTACTTTCTCTTAATTACACCTGTGGGGAGCTTGGCGGGGCAGACTCTGGGTTTCCAGCCAAGGTCTTTCTGTCCACCTGGGGGCAGCAGACCCTCACACAGAAAAGTACCTCGAAGGAAGCAATTGGCTTTCTGAGCTCCTGGCTTTCAAACACAAGTCTTCCAAATTATGGACCCATGAATATTCTAAAGACTTATACTCGAAGGACGCTTCCAAAATCAAATAAATTTGGGTTGAACCAAGTTAAATAGGGTTTTAACCCTGCAGGACTTCTCACGATGTTTAATATACTTTTTTTTTTCTTTTCTTTCTTTCTTCGACAGAGTCTCGCTGTATTGCCAGACTGGAGTGCAGTGGCGTGATCTCGGCTCACTGCAACCTCCGCCTCCCAGGTTCAACTGATTCTCCTGCCTCAGCCTCCTGAGTAGCTGGGACTACAGGCGCCCACCACCACGCCCAGCTAATTTTTTTTTATTTTTAGTAGAGATGGGGTTTCACCATGCTGGCCAAGCTGGTCTCGAATTCCTGACCTCAGGTGATCCACCCGCGTTAGCCTCCCAAAGTGCTGACATTACAGGTGTGAGCCACTGCGCCGGGCCTAATATAGTTTTGTCGTACAAAACACGATGGCATACTTGCTCTGTGCAAAGTACATCACCCACAGTGGCCTATTTAAACTTGGCAACAGTCCTATGAGATAGGCACTAATTGTGTTCCCCATTTTACAAATGAGGAAACAGAGGCACGGAGCTTATAACTGGTGGCTGAGTTTCCGGTTGGGGCCATCTAGTTACAGAACTTGCATGCTTAATCATGACACCGTAATGCTTTGCAATGGGAGATTCCAAGAGGGGGAATTTGACATTCAGTGTTTCCCAAATTTATTTGGCTTTGGAACCCTTTTATTCCTTCTAATCAACATAGAGGACAAGTATGTAATGGGATACTCTGATAAATGCTTCAATAAAGCAATGGCTTTATGCCGCCCCGCTTTAAAAGATAACTAAAAATATAAGTCCACAGGCCCATCATATAATTGAACAGGTAACGACTGAATTTTGATTTGATGGAAAGACTCTTATCATATTAATCTAAGTTCTCAAAGTGAATGCCACTAAACCAAGACTATTCAGTGTATTTGAAGTATGTACAATACCAGTCCGAATTGGGACTTCTCAGGAAGAAAAAAGGGTATATGGCAGATGGGTAAGAATAGAAAGCCACAGGTCTAGCAGGGAAGCTAAATATGGTGTGGAATGTGTTGGGGAGATGGGAAAAATGCTCACCTCTTCATGGAAGTTCGAAAAGAAGGCTGAGATTCTAAATAATGCTGGAGTATTGCAGCTGGAACAAGCATGATAGCAATGGCCAACACAAGGCCTTTCTAGAATAAATCTAAAACAATTAAGAGATAATATGATAGCATTGGGAGATATACCTAATGCTAGATGACGAGTTAGTGGGTGCAGCGCACCAGCATGGCACATGTATACATATGTAACTAACCTGCACATTGTGCACATGTACCCTAAAACTTAAAGTATAATAATAATAAAAAGAAAAGAAAAAAAAAAGAGATAATATGCCAGGGGGTTGATGCCAGGTAATACTGATAGTTACCTTAAACAATGTTTTCTCAACTTCAGTTTTTTACACACCAACTTCATGATTTTTTTCTATCAAGATACGACTACTATTATTTATCTAGCGTTTTTTAAATTGTCTTATATCTTTGCTTAAATTTATTTTTTTAAACATTAATATCTGAGAATTCATCATTTTGAAGGAATAATTATATTGTTCTAATATATAAATTTTAAAGTTAATATCTTTATTCCATCTAAAGTGGTATGTGTACTATTCTTTGGAAATGATTTTCTAAAGGATTAAAAACTTGCCAGTGTTGGAAAAAAAAGGAAACAGGAAAATTAAGACTGAGTTAAAGAAGGTGAAAACAAAATTGAAGAATAAGACTAAAGGTTAGACATGAAATAGATCTGTCTCTAATTAGAGGTGCAATGTCAAATTTTTTTGTAGATCGTTCTAAAAATATCACTTGTTCTTTTGCTTGTATTTTAATTCAATGATTAAATAAACAGATGACCTAGTTTCATTAACAGATTATCTTTTTCTTAGTTCTGTCTGATAACTGCAACAAAAATGTCAAATACCCCTCATATAAATTATCAAATCAAAAGGTTATTCATTATATGGAATGTTTTATTTATGACCATCTGTATTGCAGCTTTGAGTTAACATTAACTTGGATGGCTTTTATTTTTATTTTTTTGAGAGAGTCTCACTCTGTCACCCAGGCTGGAGTGTGGGGGCGCAATCACAGCTCACTGCAACCTCAACTTCCTAGACTCAGCCTCTCAAGTATCTGGGACCACAGGTGCCTGCCACCATGCCTGGCTAATTTTTTGTTATTATTTGTAGAGATAAGGGTCTCCCTGCATTGCCCAGGCTGGTCTCGAACTCCTGGGCTGAAGTGATCCTCCCACCTTGGCCTCCCATAGTGCTGGGATTACAGGTGTGAGCTTCTGCACCTGGCCTTGGGTGACATTTTAGAAATCAATTTTGAATTTTTAAAAACTCATCTTGTGCTTCCAAAAAGAAAAGACATATTAATGTGCTGCAAAGTCCACTTTATTAAAGACTATTTCATCATTCCATTGATTACCCATGGCACGAAACATTCTTCCATGTTGACGTTAGACATAGAAATTGAAACACAGATGACTAAACTTACTGTTTCAACAAAATGTGAATCAATAGATTATTTGATAAGAGCAAGAGATATCCCCTACAGCAGTACTATCCACAAAACTTTCTGTGATGATGGGAATATTCCACGCCTGCACTGTCTGATTCAACAGCTTCTAGTTCCATGTGATCACTGAGCACTTGAAATGTCTCTAGTATGCCTAAATAACTGAGTTTTTATTTTATTTTAATTTATCTAAATTTAAGTGTAAATGACCATGGGTGGCCAGCGGCCTACACAATGGAATGTGGAGCCCTGTAGGGTAGCAAACCTTCTGCTCAGGATTCTGTCTTTTAAAGAGGGTTTGGAGAAAATTCATTCACATTTGACTCTTTTTCTTAATAGAGGAAGTCTCCATTTATGCCTATATTTTAATAAAATGGCTTCAACATTCTGTTTCATAATTAGTCTTCTAATTGGTTATGATCAATATATTTACACAATGTCTTTCTTTGTGTTTTCTTTTGCTCTACTTTCTAAGTGTAGATCCCATGATAGATAATGGGCAACAAGTCCAGGGGCCGACAGGTAAGAAGAATTGGATGGAATGGCAAGACTCCGTCTCAAAATAAAATAAAATAAAATAAAGAATCAGATGGAATGAAATGGATGGTATATAAGATCCTAGAGGCTAAGCTGCTTATAACTCCTAACTTATAACTCAACAAGCTAACTCCTAACTAGTTTTATGGCCTGTTAAAATACTCTCTTAGACAAACAAAATTAGAGCAATTCCAACTATTAGAAAAACTAAAGACATATTATCTAGGACCTAAGATTTTTTAGACCTTCTAGAACTGTTTGAACCTTAGAAAAAAGATGTTTTGGTTCCAAAACATAAAAAGAAAATTACAAAATCAAAAGTAACATTTAATTAGATAACTGCAAAATGTAACATGCTAACCAACCAACTGCAGTTTAACTATTTTGTAGCTAATTTAAATTATATTTAATATGGAATGTGAAATATGGTTGACATTAACATGCTTGATAGATTTTATGGCCCTGCAAGAAAAAGACTGCCTAAAGTGCTGAAGAAAATGGCAATAACAACACCCTTCTGGAAGCAATATGAAATCACCAAGCTGCCAGCTTGCAAGCCTCAAACGACATGTTCATTGCCTAGTTAAGAAAGTCATGTCCAAGAAGGTCAAGTGATAAGTTCCCATAGTCTACATAGAGGTGTGTCCCGACTAGAATTTTTATCTCTTACCTCCCACATGAGGGCTTTTTCACCCAAAGTCGTACAAAGGCCCTGAATCACCTGCATCTGGTTCATCAGGATGCTTGCTAAAATCCAGATTCATAGGCCATACCTCACGTCTACTGAATTAGAACCTCTGGGCTTCAAATCCAGCAATCTGCATTCTGCCCCACACAATGCTAACTATCATTTTACCTCTTTCTGGTGACATACTTAGCTAGATGGCTGTAGTCAGTTCAGCTAGGCAATTTGTTTTCAGTGAGTTGATTAATTGGATTCCATCGACCTGTTGACCCAATGTGGATATAATAAGTCCAAAAGTGGTTTCTTTTTTTTAAATGACCCTAAAATGGAGAAACAATAATACTTAGATTCTTTCCTCACCAATGCCATTGGATCAAGCATTCCAAAGCTCTCTTAGAAGAACTGTGGAGACAAAATGCCAGGACACAACTGTGAAGGAAGTACTGAGGACAGACATGGAAAAACTTGCTTGCTGAAAGCTCAGGGATAACCATGGCAGCCACCCAAGATTTTGTTCTCTCTGCTTCTCTGGCTTCTTTTTCTATATGTTAGGTCAAAATGGTGGATGTATGGAATGTTCTACATCTGTCAGTGCCAGGCACTGTCCTAGGTGCTGAGGAATCTAGGATGAGCAAGTTAGACTCAGTCCTTGTCTTAAATTTGCTTACAGTCTAGCTCAGGAAGAGGCAAACTAGGCTTTAATCCCAGCCGTGTCACTCACGTGCTGTGTGACCTTGGGTAAGCCACTTCACCTCCATGCATTTCTGCTTTCTTATTTTAACCTCTCCTTCACCACAGCCCCTACAGGAGCATCTGTGGCCTTAGAGAGTCAGTGGGGTTACCATCTACATTGATAATTCATGGGTGCATGTGACTGTCTTCCCATTAGCCAATTCTTGTTTGTGCAGAGCTAGGCCATGCCAGCCCAGTGAAAAGGCTGTCTTCTCCTTCTGACCCCACCCAGGGGCCCCTGGGGCCAATTACATCAACCTTTTCAGAATTTGCTCTCCAAATTAGCTCGTGTGTGCTCTGGCTATGTGAGAGGGTCACATTCATTACCTCATGGATGTGAGGGCTCCAGCAAAGCCGCAGGGGAGCTGTGTAGCCCATGACAACCTCCTCCAAATGCTTTCTGAGGAGCTGCAGCAGGATGCCTCCCCCCCTGCAGTGCCTCAGGTCCATACGAAGAGAAAAAATGATCCCAGAGTCAAAAGATTCACTCCCAAAACAGTCCAGGGCTAAGGAAAACCACAGGGGAGAGCTGGGGGGAAGAAGGAGATGAAGATACAGAAAAAAGTGACCTCTGTGGCTATTAAGGGAAAATGCTAATTGTTTCAATCACAAGCCTAACCAAGTCTGGCAAATTCTGATAGGGGCATTTTTATGAACATTTACGTTTAATCTGGGATTTCCAATTGCTAAATTAGTTCAGAGTACACACTCTGGGAGAGTGTACACATACTCAGTCAATTTGACTAACATGTATTGAGTACCTATTGTGTGCTTGACATCATTATGTGCATTTTGAATGCAGTGGTGAAAAGCCATCTTTGCCCCCATAGTACGTACATCCTAGCTAGGGAAAACAGAAAATAAAAACAAACTAGTTAAATAAAAAGATATACGTGACATAATTTTAGGTAATGATAAGTGCTAAGGATAACAGGATAGCAGAGAAGGGGATAGAGAGAAAAGAAAAAAAAAAGACTGCTTTTTAAGAAGCATCTGAGCAGGGAAGACTTCTAGACAGAGGTGACATTTGAGCAGAAACTTAAATGAAGGGGGGGTGGATCTGGGCAGATATTTCACACAAAGGAAATAGCCTAACCAAATGCCTATCAGAGGCTGCCTGCGATGTAGTGTATATACGTTATAAATATTTGTTGAGTTATTTTATAAAATATGATACAGGTATTTTTACTATTTGAAAAACCTAGGGCACAGAGAGGTTAAGTGATGCGTCCAGGGCAACACAGCAAGTTAAGTGGCAGAGTTGGAAAGTGACTCTAACGTTTTGCTTTTTAATCCTTTGCCAAATTATTCCTGGGACTAGGCACTCCTAAGATTCACTAGAATCTGATTCTCTGCTCCCTGCCAGTCCGCCCCTCCCCCACCCATGTAAAGTGTATTTCCCCACCACCTTAAGCTTGGGTGCAGAACCCTAGAGACAGGGTTTGGTATTAATGCCTGACTCTCATAAAGAGTTAGATGAGAAACCACTTGAGGCATGTGCCCCCAAATTTCTGGGTCTGAAAGCACCTGAAGACGTGGTGGAACTTGTTCTAATTGTATCAGTGGTAAAACCAGCCTTTCCCAGGCACTCAGTTAGACTGCTGACTCCATGGTCTGACTCCATTTCTGTCTTTCTGGGGAGAGCTGGGTGTGAGAGGGGGTGTCAGTTACACCCTCCCTGACTAAGGAAATGTGCAGAATGGAAAGACAGCCATTACCCATGGCTGGCCATCGCCTCCTTAGCAACAATAGCCGTGTACACACTCACACACAAACACTGCACCAAAACAAGCAAAGGTCATTCTCTCTGGGCACTTCCAAGAATGATCTCAATTTTTCATAAAACAATGTTTATAAATTAGATGGAACCCCAGAGTAGTCCGGGAACAGAAATAACCATTTTATGAGACTTCCTGCCATTACATTATTACTTGTTTGCTTTAAATAAGCAAAATACAGTGTGTAGTGGACTCTAGCCGACCCCTTCCAGAGTCAAGCAAAGACCTCCTTACAAAGACCCCAGGCAAGTGAGTCTGAGTTGGGAAGGATTTTTTGTTACTGAGGGGGAGGAGCGCTTTCCATTCTGGGCCTTTTGACTAGAAGCATCTTAAAGGCAAGAGCTGTGCCCTATTTGTCTTTCCATCGCAGCACCTAGCACAGTTACTAATACAACATACGTATTGAAGAAATGATTTTCATTGTTGAGTGAGTAAATATGTTACCAAATCAATGAATGAAAGGATGAATGAATGATCTGATCCCCAGGGCTAAGTGCTGAAGAAAACGAAAACACCCAACAAGAGCTACAAACACATTTAGGCCCTTGTTACATGTCAGGCTCTATCCTCAGAGCTTTATATGTGATGGCCATGAATAAGCATCCCATGCTCTTCACCCTTCTTCCTGCTGTTACCGGCTTTTCCTCAATTCCTTGGGACCTCCATGCAGCAATCTATAGCCCCTGACACAGACTGCTCCTTCATTCTAACTCCAGAATTTCCTTTTCCTCTTCATCTATAAAAATCCCTGCTATCTCAGTCCGCTGAGTTTAAGTGGCTGTCATAAAGAAAAGCATTTGATAAACTAACTGCCTTAGGTTGACTTTCCTCAGAAGCAGACTCTGAGCAAGCATCCAAGTGCAGGGGGTTTATTTGGAAACAGAGGCTGGGAAGGAAAGACAGCCAATCAAGGCTCACAAACTTAAGCCAGCTACCACTATAGGCAACCTTAGTTGAAAAATCTTATGTGATGCACACGTATGCTTATTGCGGCACTATTCACAATAGCAAAGACTTGGAACCAACCTAAATGTCCAACAATGATAGACTGGATTAAGAAAATGTGGCACATATACACCATGGAATACTATGCAGCCATAAAAAATGATGAGTTCATGTCCTTTGTAGGGACATGGATAAAGCTGGAAACCATCATTCTTAGCGAACTATAGCAAGGACAAAAAAACAAACACCGCATGTTCTCACTCATAGGTGGGAATTGAACAATGAGAACACATGGACACAGGAAGGGGAACATCACACACTGGGGACTGTTGTGGGGTCGGGGGAAGGGGGAGTGATAGCATTAGGAGATATACCTAATGCTAAATGATGAGTTAATGGGTGCAGCACACCAACATGGCACATGTATACACATGTAACAAACCTGCCTGTTCTGCACATGTACCCTAAAACTTAAAGTATAATAATAATAAAAAAAAAAAATCTTATGTGAAAACTCTGAAAAATGGTGAGAAAAATATGCCACCTATTCTGAGCTATCCTACCCAGGGGCAAGAGGGCTGGGGTCTTTATACACCACCTTGCCAGTCTTTGTTTGAGGAGTGTTAATTCTCTGGCATAGCCAGGCTTCCTTGCACAGAGGCAGACTTGGCTTTTCTGGACTTTGGAGGAAACAATCCAGTAAAGTGATGCAGATACATATGGTTGGAAATACCTGGGGCACATTAAAGTGTTGAAGCTGAAGAAGTGTAGGTAGGGCACTGACAGCATTGGCCACTATAATTTTCATAGGGTGAAATGGCTGACCACAAATTTCCACCCCTTGCCAGAAGGATCTGACCTTCTAAGGAAAGGTTTGGATGGGGCAATAATTTGACACAAATAAATGTGTCTCTTGTTCAGGTTTGGAAGATGAGACGGAAGTACTAGAAATTCATTTGACCATGGAAGGGGCAAATGAGTTTCCACTTACATATGGCAGATATATGAGCTTCTCCTGAGATTATAGGTGAGATGGGATCCATTTTCATCATGGAGTAAAAATGCAACCAGTACTCCTTCTACCGGAAACTAAGTAGTCCCTATCAAACCCATGCCTGTAAGCAGTACCTGGATACCTTTCTGCTACCAGAGAAATTCTGTGGGTCCTCAACAAGTGGGTGTGGAGGCCCAGCATGGAAAGTCACTTGCCCAGTGTTACACAATGGTTAGTGGCAAGCTGGTTTCATCAGGCAATTTAGCCAATAAAAGAGAATCACACTAGGTCTGTCAAGCAAAAAGGGATTTAACATTGAGTAATAAGTTTATAAAATCACTGAAAAGGCTGAAAGGGCAAGTTAGGAGGATTAGCATTAGCTTTTAAGCTGGGGTTCCAAGAGTCATAACATTTATGAAGCTCTGCCTGGCTCAGAAACTTGTCCTCTCCATAGGCCTGAGGCAGGTAAATTTCAGGAGATCATTATAAAAGCATGCCTGCATGACATCACATGCTACTCCTTCCAGAGGAAAATGATGGCTTTGGTCTGTCTTCCCCCTTCCACGTCTTATGCTACTGCATCTCACTGGCAGACTGAAAGTCATAAGACTAAATCACATTTAGACAATCCTGGAGGCAAAGGAGCCCAGGAAATGTAGCTCCTTGGCTTCCAGCCCCTGAGATTCAGGGGCGAGCATTAAGTAGGCAGAAATAAATGCAAATGGTCCAAACAAAGCAAAACAACATCTAGCATTGTGAGAGCCCCAGTAAGTATAGGAGTGAACCTAGATAGGAGAGGGAACATCTACTCAGTGGTACATGCCTCTCCCAAAGAATATATGGGGAACAGTGGCAAGGAAGAGAGTCAGCACTGGCCAGAATTCTGTACCTGTCCCACCTTTGGCAGCAGTTCTAGAGACCCAATACGAGTATTTCCAACATCATCATTGAGCCTATAATATTCATTGTCTTCATTATTGCTGCCTCCCCACACCTATCAGTCCATAATGCTATACCCTGGTTGTATAGTGACAAACCCCAGATAAAAACTTCGGGCCCTCAGGGCCTGTGGCCACAAGTGGAGCAATTAGATATGGGCATCCAGAAAACCTCCATTAGTGAAGCCTACAGATGTTCATCAGAGACTCCTGTCAATGCTTTATGGGTGTACAGATATTCGGAGTAATGCGGCTTGTTAATATCCATACATTTGGGATGACTTGGTTGGGGTTATGGCTGTCACACTAATTTGATGCATGACTTTGGGCAAGCTAACTTAACATTCCCTCCAGGGAGAATGTTATTGGGCTACATTGTCTGCATTCCCAATTCTAGTATCTTCACACAAAACATCTTATCTTAATCACAAGGTAACAACATTTCTCTGAACCCCAAAGTATGGCAAGGTTTCACAAGAATCTGAGACTTTCTATCTTAAAGGGAAAGATTCTGTTTAAATATTTCCTTCCTGATCATTTCTCTCTTAACCAAAGTTAAGATTGACCCTTTGAGACCAATATGGTCGCTATAGTGTTTGGTTCACAAACGAACATGTAAACTCTAGTGCACAGCATAATTTTGAGTCACTCATTAGAAGCCAACCCAAAGCCCCGAATCATGTGTTGAAAACAATCCTTGTGCCAACCTTTGAGGATAACAAGACCTCCATTTTCTTGCAGATGTCCAATGCCTTCCTATCGTCCCCCTGCTTCAAACTCTTCTGGTATGGGGACATCTCATGTTCCTAACCTCTTTCTCATGAATCAAAACTTACCAAGTGTCACTCCTTCCTAGGATTTTTCTCTCTGTTCTGAGGGTGGTTTATGTCAAATAATCAAATTCTTGCTAACTTATTAATGAACTAATGTATCTCATCAAATATATAGAATATTTGAATCAATTAAAAATGTGACATTCATGGTAGGTTTATTAGAAGTATTGCCACTGTTATTATTATTATTATACTAAGGTAATTATTATTATTATTGATGATGATAATATAGCACTTTGCTTTTGCAGAGAACTTGTGATCTTCAAATCACCTTACAACTGATTTTCTAAGGAGGAACTAAGTCTCAGATCAGTTAAGAGATTTACACAAGATCACCTAACTGATCAGTGGTGAGTTAATGGAAGTAAAACCCAAGTCTTTTGGCTTCCAGCCCATGCCCTTTTATGGCATATCTCACTGCTGAGAGGAAAAGCTGACAGAAGTCCCAGAGTAGGCATGACTAAGGAGGATAGATGAACCAAGTGAAAGGACTGACTTCATGGTAAGTCCCAATGTGCCATTAGGCTTGCAGTCCTTCACAGCAAAATACCCAGAAATAAGACCAAGTAGCTGGTTCACAGGATGGTCTGATTTCTGATTTTTAGAGGTAAATATTTATTTCTAAATATATCAACCTGGTTTCCTGCTCTAGGAAGCACAGGCATGGCCACCATCTTTGTGTAAGTTGGGCAGTGCAAAACCCATGGGGGTTCCATTTACAAGATAGGCACTGTAGATTTATACACTTATTATTTAAAGTTTTAAGAAGATGACAGTCAAATGTCTCATTTTTTAAAAAATCAATGTATTATGACATTTTTATAATTGTCATAATTATGGAATGAATTGATGGGATGGAAGAGATGGGAGTGAAGTATCTTAAGGAAGAAAGCATTTTTAAAATTTTTCTGATCCACTCAAAAGCAGATAGGTGGGTGTTTGTTATAGATACAATCCAGGATCCAGATAGATGAAAGATATGAAGAGTGATTTGGCTTTTATTCATTTACTTATTAGTTTATTCATATAATGACTTATTCATTCATGCATGCATTATGCATCATCAATTTAAAAAGTAGACTTTGAGTGATAGCTTGTGCAAAACATTGTGCTAACATTGGAATGCTTAAGGCCAAATTCCGGCTTTCAGGGAGTTCAGCCTAATGGGAGAATCTGACAAGTAGATAAAATGCCTTCAAGTAGCATAGGGTTTCATGAGGACCCAGAGGCAGGAATCATAACCCAGTCTTGCATGGGAGCTGATCGACAGAGTGGGGCGAGTCAGGGAAAGTCCCTTTCCTTCTTAGGAGGTAGCATGAGGGTGTTCCAGGCTGAAGGAGTAGCAAGTGCAAAATCCTGGAGCAATAGTCTGTGTCCTCAGCAGGTGACACGAATTTGCTTATTTAAACCTCATAACAACGCTACGAGAGAGGCGCCATTATTATTCTCATTAATAGATGAAGAAGCAAAGGCACGGAGAGATTCCGTAACTTGCTCAAGGTTGCCCAGCTGATAAAGAACAAACCTAGCACTTGAACCCAGAGAATCCAGCTACAGAGACCACACTACTCTCGTCTGCCTCTTGAGAGAGAGCGTGGACACTTTGGGAGAACCCTGAGAAAGTCAGTTTGGCAGATGCTCAGCCTTGGGGCTGGTGGTGGGATAGAGGCCGAAGGAGTGCAAGGGTGTGAGCCAGGCAAGCCTCAGAGCCTGGAGGTGGTTTGGTTCGGGGCTGCTTATAAGAACATGAGCTCGGCTCTTCTTTAGCTCCAGCTGGTGACTCCGCCTTTCCCTCTGGCTGCTTCCCGGAATCCACTGCCCAGTCCCCCAAGGGGCATATACCTAACAAACTATGGGGACCCCGGGAAATTACTCATCTTCCCCATCCCATGTCTGTACTGACTCCAGAGACATTTTCCAGAAGTTGCTTTGTCGATTTTTAAACTAAATGTTCATCTACTTGTTTTGTTGCTATGAGGCTCTTTTCTCTGAAACTTGAGTGACGGGAAGAGTGACCCAAAAACTAAACTTCAGTTATTTGAGCTCCGGTTTAGATTGATTTCAGTTCATTGTGAGTTTATGCTATTGTGTTATTGTGTTACTAAAGTTCCAAGAAAGCTGGAAAGAATACACAAATTTCAAAATGTCTGTTACTTGCCCTCTTGGAACTTTTGATCTATTTGGCCAGAGCCAAAATGTATCCTTGGGAGATTATTAGAAAAAAATCAAATTAAAACTCAGTTGAAAAACTAACTTTTTCTGTGCATACTTTGTGTAACAGCCCATTAAAAACTAACTTATTCTGTGCGTATTCTGTGTAACGGCCCATTAAATCACTATGCAAATTCTTGCCACTGTTCATAGGGCCTGATCAAATGAGCAGGGGTTTTTTTTTTTGGCTCTGTCCTGGGTTAAATAACGAGATGATTATTTAATCATTAGATACAAACACTCTACCACTAAAATACCAGATCATTACACACACACAAGTTACAGGACATGTTTTAGCAAACACTAGAGTATCTCTAATACATAGCAAAAAGATCTTAATAAAACATTCTTTCTGAAAACCAGTTTACTGTAGGTATTTTGCTATTGATCATGGAAAGCAAAGATCTGTCACTTTGGTCCATTTTCTGGGGAGATTAGCTTCCTTGTTTGAAAGGCAGTTCATATGGTGGAAATGGTACTGACCTGGGAGTCAGGGGTACACAATAGCAACCTCAGTTCTACCATTAACTTAACTCTGGGCAAATCACTTTGTAAGCCTCAGTTTCTTATATGAAATGGATTGGACTCTATGATCTCTGAAGATATTTGTTGTTCACCCAATTCTATGGTGAAAAAATACCAAAGCCTTGATACTGATAGGGATAGGTAAGCCTCAAGTAACCTTAAATTTTATTTAGGTCAGAGCTGTGCAAACTTTTTCTGTAGAGGGCCAGGTAGTGAATATTTTGGGCTTTGTGGGTCAAAGTCTCTTGATCACAACTACTCTGCTGTTGTAGCAGGAAAGCAGCCATAGACAATACATGAATAAATAAGTGTGATTGTGTGCCAATAACTCTTCATTTACAAAAACAGGCAAAAGTTAGCATGCTGGACTTGGCCAGTGGGCTCCAGTTTACCAATCCCTGATTTAGATGATGACTGTCATAGAGAGAGTTGGGAGAAGCAGTGACAGCAGAACCTTGGCCCATCTCAGAGATCTGATCAAACAGGGAAGCCCACAACACGCTCCGGGCCCACCTTGCAAAGGCCACTCCACCTGTTCCACCTCCTGGGCACCCAGGAACAGGCTTGAATGTGTCTCTCCCTCAGGGATGAAAGAGTTAAGGAGGCAGGGACAGACATGATTGTTTCTTTCTAGGGAAGTTGTTTGGAATTGGGAATTTGCTCTGCTACACAGCTGGAACTCATTACTGCTCATTACAAGTTTTTTAAGTTAAAAAGTTTTATTTAGGCCCCTGCAAAGGTTTTCTTAGGCCAAGAGTGAAACCTCGTGCTTCGTGCTTGCACTGCAAGCTCTCTTCATCCAAGCGCTCCTGTCGGGGCTGTCCGTGAGAAACCATCCTCCCTTCATGCATGGTGCCCTCCTCACCCTCCTGATGCCCCACTTCTCCCCTTCTTTTCTTCTAGCATCTTTCATAAAATATCAGTCCACAAACCTTCTCACGGGCAAGGAGAACAGGCTTTTCAGCAATATGAGAAATTGCATAACTGAACAATAGAAACATTCACCTTCTTGTTAGCTAGGACCAAAAAATGCTAATATTTTAGGTGGATTCCAGAATCTCTCACACAGAGTCTGGGGTACAGACACAGAAGGTATGGTTCATAGACCATTGAAACTCAGGCCAACACGTGTTGGAAATAAAGTGGAAAAAAAAATAGAATCTCTTTTCTTCTTTCAGGTTAATTCAGACAAAGGAGGCAAGGGTGGTTTGGCTGATTTGAATGATGGTATGCCTCTTAACTAAAGCCCAGTGAACAGTAAATAGCCCTTAGCTAACTATACATCTTTCTTTTTTTCTTCTTTTTTCTTTTTTTTACTTTTAGGCTAAAGAAAAAAAAAAAAGCAAGGAACCAGCTTGTGTCAGGGTTTGATACACAATGTTTATCAAACAATGCTTATCAAATGTTATTTCTGGGATCCCATCTACAGGGTGACAGTTCGGTGGAATGGTAATACTTTGGGTTCAGAGAATCTACCCCTCAGCACTGGAGATTCAGAATCATCACAATTCAATTGCATTCCCCAGTCCATGCTTCAGCAAAATGGGAAAGGATCCTCAGATTTGTCAACAAGGCTCTGACCAGACAGTTTTTCTGGCTAACCTTCTACTTCATCAGAAGACTGCTGAAAGGCGTAAACTTTTCTCGAAGCACTATGTTAAAGATCTACTAACTCTAGGTAACAGTGGGTTACCCTGGTCAAGTTAGCTGTCCTTTCAGAAATTTGGTAGCAAGGCTACGTGTAGCCGGAGTAGAAATAGGAATCAGAGGATCATGAGACAAAGATTTAGGTTCGAGCTCTCACTGAATAAATTGAGCATTCAGATTAAGCCAATCAAAATATGCCCAAATTAGAAAGGACATAATAATACTAGTCATATTAGTGATAATACACATTCTCTGGGTCTTTACAGTGTACCAGGCATCATGCTTAGGACTCTTCAAGCAAGATTTGAGGCAGATACAACTGCTCTAGTTTTACAGACAAGGAGACTGAGGCTCAGAGAGATAAAATGATTGCTCAGTGACACATGGTGACCACGTAGCAGAACCAAATTGCAGGCCAAGTTCTAGCTGATTGTAAAGCCTGTGCCTTTAATCTTCACCCTGAAGATCTAAAGACTAGTATAAACTCTGCCACCCAGTAGCTAGGTAAATCCTTTTTCCTCCCTAGGCCTCCAAACCCACCTTTACAGTGAAGGGTTGTTTCAGTGGATCTGGGAGTGTGGTGGTGGCCTGGGACTCTGTGTCAGAGGTCCAGATCATCCTCTTCTCTACAGACAGAAAGAAGAGACTTTTAGCTGCAGGGCTGCTGTCAGCTGGAAATTTCCTTGCCAGCCTCACCTTCCAGATCCTCCAGAGCACCCAATACATCAAATACCCCTCATTCCATGAAGCAGTCCCCCGAGCTGTAAGTGCAGGGGCGGTTTGTAGTCTCCCCATTCCTGAGTGCTCTGTGCTTTGCTAAATGAATTCCTCTTGCTGTGCATCCCTCCAGGGCTGAGCCCCACAGGCTCTGTCTGTGAACACTCTCCCAAGAAGGCCCTCTTCCCTGCAAGGGCACCAGGCCAGGCTAAGATTCAGCCAAGAGCCAGGATGGAGATGTAGCGATTATGAAAATAATTAAATATATCTGTATATCTTGATAAAAGCAGCTGCTCTAAGGTTCCTGCATGATGCCTTTAGGACCCCAGCCACTCTCCTGGTGCCCCTGGAACATCCTAGAATCCAGCCACTGAAGGGTTGATGCTTGGCCCTGAGAGCCACTCCAGTCTACTGCTAACATCAGAGTCACCAGCAGAAGCTGCCATCGCAGTCCTTACATATTTCGAGTATCACTCCTGGCTCCACGCCACCTGCACTACCCATGGGAAGAGCAGGTGGCAGTCTCTGGATAAACACTTTTAGGGGCATTAGAGTAGCTCTTTCTTCAGCCACTCGCAAATGCTTAAAATTGGACAAAACTTTTCTTAATAATATAAGTAGAAGAGAGTCTTACTCTTCATTCACTTATTCCCTCATCAGATCTGATATGTACCAAGTTCCTGACTAGTGTCAAGAACACAGCTGAACATGAGTACAAGGAGGAGAGAGAGAGAGACAGAGAAATGAACATGTTATGTGTGATATAGCATGACAAGCTCTTAAGGAATGCACAAGATTCATTCATCACACAATAGTTATCAGCCCTGACAGTGTACCAGGCTGTTTTAGGTGACAGCGACACCGCAGAGAATGAGACAAGCTTCCTCTCTCATGGGGAGACACAGACAATAAACATGAAACAAATATATCAATACAATAACTACAGAGTTGCTGGTGCTATGAAGAAATTAAAATAGGGTTAGTGAATAACTGGGGGAGGAGACTCGAAGCCCGCGCTGCTCAAGGAAGGCCTCTCTGAAGAGATGCTGTGTGCAAGGAGGACTCCCTAGAAGTCAGTCAGGTGAAGACCTGGCCAGAGTTGAGGGAGCTGTGGGGGAATTGGCAAGCCCCTAAATGCTGCCAGAACCAAGAGGAGGAGCAAATAACTCTGCCTGGGAGTCAAGGCTTCAAAGCCTGTAACAGAAAAGGTGACATTTATATGAGATGTGTCTTAAAGGATGGAAGTTCACCAGGAAGAGGGTATGAGATTAGGGGCTTGGTGAGAGGTAGCAGAGGGTACGTGTTGACAGAGCAAACAGAGTTATGTGGGGCAATGTATGCAGTGAGTGGCAACCAAACCACCCCTTTGGGGTGGTGATTTGGGACATAAACTCACACCAAAGGATAAATTGCTGGTATTAGCTTAAGTAAAAGCACTTTTTGATAATGGAGAGCATCTTGAGTATATTGTGGTGTTTGTGGGCAAGTGGGAGAAGGTAATAAGAAGTCAGAGAAGAAAGGGGAGGATGGAGGCACACAGCAAAATGACCCTCCTCCCAGATGATCCTGTACAACAACCCTATTGCAGCCATTTTCAGGCCAGGAGGCCACTCTGCACACTGCCATGTCTAGTCCGGGGTACTTGAAGGCTAGTGAGGGGACTCAACCCTGTGTCCTGGAGCATTGAAGAGTTCACAGTTCTTCCCTCTGGAAGTTCCTGTAGAAATCATCTTCAATTCTCTCCCTCCACAGAAGGGAGAACTGAATCTCAGAGAGGTGGAGAAACTTGCCCAATATCATGCCGCTCAGGTTTAGGTTACCCTGCTCCCCAGCCCCGCTGTACCCCTTCAAGCTGCTTATTATCCACAGTACAGTTCGTTGTTTAAAGCAGTTGTTCTCAATCTTTTTCCTGCCAAAGCACACGTAGTGGGTATCATTTATGTTTTTGACAGATGCCCCGAAATGTGCCAAGAAAAAGCCCTGTGAGACAGAGCTCCATTGTAGGATGTGTATAATTCACAGCTGAGACTCCAACACTGTCCCTTCCGCACTCCAGAAAGCACATTGCTATGCAAATGAATAACCGGGAGGCTATTATAAAAGGGATCAATTTTGAAAATTATTAATGTGCTTTTTTTGCATTCTAATTGCAGCATTCCTAATTTCTCCTCAATTCTCTGCAGATTGATATACTGAGCCATGCACATACTGGGAAAAGCAAAAGAGTAAAGTCTATTATTGTCCCCATTTCACTTTATTCTTGGTAAAGTTTCACATACCCATCAATAACTTTTACTTACATCTAAGTGCTGCCTTATTTTAAGTGGGTTTGGGATCAGGCCTCGCTCAAATCTGTTTTTCTCTCCACTCTCCAAGCCCTCAAATCCTGCCTTGCTAACTTTTGGTACTCATGAAGCTTTACCTCCTGCCACAAGGTGCCATAACTCAATCCCCAAAGAGGCTTGATTCTCCCCTAACATAGATTCCATGAGTCCCCGAGGAGTTCAGTCACTGGGCAGGGAGTATCCCTGTCCAGAACCAAATCATGAGTGGGTCCTATACAGCTGGGAGTGAGCAGCTGGTTTGTTATGGCGAGTATTGGCTGATAATTCAACTCAACCATCCATCATGTTCCCCTCCTGACCATCTTGAATTATATACTCCAGGCTCCCGCCTGCTGGCTTAGGAGAGGAAGTGGCACTAGCTGAGCTAGCTCTTGAGGGACCAGCATGGCTCCCACCCTGCCTCCCATGGACTTATAAACACTTCTGCATTACTACTCATGTGCTTTCTGAACTTGTTATGAAGTCCCATCTCTTCCCCCAAAGTGTCTCAGAAGAAGTCCCAGGTCAGTGAATTAATCGTCTGAGTTCCAGCTGCAATTGGACTTTCTTTTCTGAAAGAACAATTCAATTGTTGAAAATTTCAGAAGTCAAGAAAGGGCCTCATGATAACTTGTCTTATTCCTCCCATCTGCCGATTATTCTATATCTGTTCCTGACCTTGGCCTGATATACCTTCCTAAATTTAGTTTGAGCATTTATTAACCTACACAGAGACAGGGTAGCCATAGATCCATAAATCCTAATAGAACTCTCATAGGTAGCTGGCCACAAATTTACTCACCCAACAATTTGAAAGTGCAGAGGAAATGCAATTTTATTATTTTATCTATAACTAATTCTAATCTGCCTTCTGATAGCCGGAGGGGGTGGGGGAGTGGGGAATAACTTTCAGTCCTAGCTACATACTTTAAAACTTCAGTGAGAGCTGATCACTAAAATAGTCCCTTTAGATAGTGCTCAGTGTCTCATCAGCGTTCTGATAATTTCCCTGATTCTTCTGTAAGATGGCATCCACGTATATGAGGTGGGGGTACGTGGCTCATGTGACCTTGTGAAGGGTGGTAAGGTTCAGAGACTTTGGGGGACAGTATCTTTGGCATTCCTGGTCTCTTGGGTGATGTTTCTTACTGCCTGAAAGCTGGGTATTTGCTGCCTTCTAATGCTAACCATTCTTTGACCTGGCCAGTACTCTTAGGGAAAATTGACTATTCCTCTCTTTTCAGCATTGGCCTCCTCTTGTTCTCCTGGTAAAATGCCCCACCTAACTTCTGCTACAGGATCTTTTCACCCACTGTGATGGTTAATTTTATGTCAGCTTGACAGGGCTAAGGGATACCTATATAGTTGGTAAAACATTATTTCTGGGTGTGTCTGTGAGGACGTCTCTGGAAGAGAGGAGAGATTAACAACTGAGTTGCTACTGACTGAGAAAAGGGGATCTCTCTCACCAAGGTAAGTCCCATCATCCAATCTGTTGAGGACCTTGTAGAACAAAAAGGTGGTGGAAGGGTGAATTCACTCTCTGTTCTTGAACTGGGACATCTAACTTCCCTGCCCTTCCACATCAGAGCTCGTGGTTCACAGGCCTTTGGACTAGGACTGAATTACACCAATGGCTTTCCTGGTTTTCTCCAGTCTGTAGACGGTAGATTGTTAGACTTCTTGATCTTTATATTTGTTTCCATAATAAATTTCCTCATATCTATACCTCCTATTGGTCCTCCTTCCCTGGTTCTGCTAACCCTGACTAATACACCCATCATCCATAGAAGAGACCAACCACTAGCCTATTGGGTCTCAATTCCACTTTTATCCCAGATGGGAACAGAAGGCAACTTCAGATGATCTCAACTCAGGGCCACCTTCAGCCTGACCACACTGCTATGTCAAGCCTATGGGGAAGTCTGTGAGTTAAAAACACAATACCCACTTTTTCCTTCAGGATTATCTCTGCTTTTCTAATATACCTTCCTTTCTCCAGTCCAAAGATGAAAAAAAGGGAAAGTGAAGACACACAATCTACCAGCTTTGCTTTCTATCTCTGTTTTCTCTTTTCCTGAGATTGATGTCTGGGTATATGGGAAGAGTGATGTAACTTTTATTTTGTATCATTTTTCATCATGTACTATAATGAACTGATAGGCTTGTATCACATAGATGGGGTATCGTCACCCACCCTACAGGAGGAGTCTTAGAGCTCATTCTTCCAGGAATGGCCCATGCTAAAAGAGAGACAAAGAGATTACAAAATCTTCCTCTGAACAAGAACTCAAGTTTCACACATTTTTTTTCCAGTTCTGAAATCTTATTTTTTATGAAAATCATCCTCATCTTTAGCGATGAACTCCTTTATGATAGCTATGATAGCCCTACTCCCCCAGCAAATGGATGAATGGATCTAGTAGAGTGAAAGTCAAATATGGAGAAAGAAAAAGGAGTAAAGTAAGACACATTACATTTTACATTTTTAAAAATATTGTCTCTGTTTTGTTATAATAAAGGTAATTTTGTATTCATCTTCAATATTTTAGCTGCTATCATTAAGCAACTCCTTGTTAATTGATAGTGGCTAACGGTGTGAGTGTGTCACACCAGGGGAATATGTTACAATAGATTGTAGTCTAGCTTTGTAAAACTTCATAGGCTTCCAAGTTATCCAAGTTATCATACATCATGCAAATTTTTAAATAATAAATTGTGTCTACTGATTTTCCAAAATGCAGGAGGAATTGGTGAGTACCTGAATCTTCAAAGCCTCTGAATCATCATTTGGAGCCATAGTTACTATTGTATCAAGTGCAACTGAACTTTGAAAGTACAGAAGATTGAACTGAAGGAATGTTTAACCCTGGATACTCTCTGCAAGTAGTCCTTTCCCCTTACTCATTGTTTATGCCACGTGGTTTTCTTCTCACTTCAATTTTTAATTTAAACGTAGGATAAATGTGTCTAATTGAAAGGTCTTGTTGCTTCAGTTCTAGTTAATCAAGATGTTGCTGTAATTCAGACATAAGCATTCCTCTTGTTCCAAAATTTGAAGCAAACCTCCTATACTTTTCTTATGAAAGCCCGTCAGAGCTATTGTTCAAAATCTGGCTAGCCATTGAGTAAGCTTGCTTTAAAGTCGTTGAAAGTCTCAGGGCCAGCTCTAGAAAATGTTCTACAGAAAGCCCCATCATCATCTCCGAGTCTCACTATTCAGAATGCTCACTTCAGTGCTGCTTAATTTTAGCCTCTGTAACATTGGCATGGCTAACGGGTCCCCAATAATCTTAGTTTTTCTGCTTCTTTCTGGTTATCATGCCCTGGCTTGAGAGGGAAGCTTGAGGAAGAGGGTCAGCTTGGTGCTTCTGACTATGAATTTGATTTTATACATCTTCATTACAGACAATCTTCAAAAGTCTGGGCTTCCAAAACAGACTTCCTGTTCAAGCAGCATTTCCCTTCATGTCTTCGGGTAATCTGATGGGTAGAGCATGTATATGAATTCATTAACTTTGTGAGACTGTGCTGAAATTCTTCCTTCTTGTAAATGTTTCTTGGCTACAAGTAAAGGACATACTGGGCAAGGCCAGGCCTATAAGAACTAATTTTAAGCCCACAAACTTCCTGTACTCCAAAAATACCTAAGATTTTGGATGTATGTAGGAAATAAAGATTTCCTTTTGAGATCATCAAATTGGCCAGGTGCGGTGGCTCATGCCTGTAATCCAGCACTTTGGGAGGCCAAGGTGGGTGGATCATTTGAGGTCAGGAGTTTGAGACCAGCCTGGCAACATGGTGAAACCCTCTCTACTAAAAATACAAACGATAGCTGGGCATGGTGGCGCGTGCCTGTAATCCCAGCTACTTGGGAGGCTGAGGCAGGAGAATTGCTTGTACCTGGGGGACAGAGGTTGCAGTGAGCCAAGATTGCTCCACTGCACTCCAGCCTGGGTGACAGAATGAGACTCTGTCTCCAAACCCCAACCCCTCCGCATAAAAAAAAAAAAAAAACTCCATCAAATTTGAGATGGATACTCTCTTTCTTGACAACCACCTACTTTAGACACCATGAAGGTGTACTCATTCACTCAGATGGATACAATATCCTATTTGTAATGTGCAGAGACATGATGCATAATCTAATGGGGAGTGAATTTCTATTATTTATTTTCTTTTATAAATATTGAAATCATTCAATAAATAGTTTTTGAATACCAACTCTATGCCAACACAGATTCTAGGTCAACGGTTCTCCACCTTTTTGACCCCAGAATCCTGTTACACTCTTAAAAGTTATTGAGGACTTGGCTGCTCTGCCTATGAAGTAGCCATTCTTTTATTCCTTCACTTCCTTAATAAACTAAAAAAAAAAAAAAAAAATTGAGGACTTCAAAGGATTATGTTTATGTACTGTGTTTATTATTGTGTTAATCAGTATTTACTGATTTAGAAATTAAAACTAAGAAATGTAAATATTAATTGGTTGATTTTAAAATAATAAATCATGTATTAATACAAATATGATTTATGAATATAAAATAGCTTTATTTTTTCAAAACAAAAACATAGTGAAAAGAGTAAAACTGTTTTACATTTTTTTTGCAGATTTCTTTAGTATCTGGCTTCATCTGGAATCTGGATTCTCATACTCTACAACCAATCTACGGTGATATGTGTTCTGGTTGAAGTACACAAAGAAAATCCGGGCTCACATAGTTACATAGTTGGAAAGAGGAAAATATTGTAATAGTCTTTTCAGATAATTGTGGGTAATCTTCTTTGATGCTAAAATAAAATCCAAGTGGCTATAAGTTCTTAAAAGTCAGTTGCAAGGAGGAATTTGAAACCATATCAATCAACTTTTCATACTCATATTAAAATTCATTGGTCTATCTTGAACTTGGAATAGATCCTTTAACCATGAATAATTTTGTAACCTCATGCATTTTTCACTTGGAAAATATTGGTTTACTGAGTCATTAACATAGTCTAAAAGTTGACACATTACATTGTACTATATAGACTAGATCCAAAAATAGCATACATTCGTTAACATCACCTATCAATTTCATCAGAAAAGTCTCTTAAGTATTAGGAAGCTGTCAAACCGATGGTGGCAGATACAAGTTTTCCAAAACTCTAACATTCACTTGAAGTTTTGAATTTTATCAAGTGATATTTTTTGTTTATTTGAGAAAATGTCTGCCAGATACGCAAATCTAAGTAACCATTGCTTGACTGGTGGTCATTCTTTCAAGGAACAATGGTGTTTCATGAAAAATGTAGCTAGTGCAGCTTGCAATCAGTCACACAAATGCTTTTCCTCAAGACAATCATTATACTTTGTTACATGGGGAGGGCTGTTTTAAGTGTGCTTTCCTATTTATCACATGGCACATCAAAAGAAAGTGTACTCGGCGGTCACAATTTCAAAATAATTTTTACCGCTTCATCAAGGGCACTCTTTAGTAAAACTGACTTTTTTTTTTTTTCCTGAAAGAGCATGAAAAAGAAGAATGCAGTGACCTTTTGTACAGTTTGGTGCCACTGCTTGATTTGTTCTAAGGAGTCAGCAGTTTTACCCACCGTTGCATTTACACAAACATTGCAAATGTCAACACAGTGAAAAAGGCATTTAATGCCTTAGTATTAGTATGAAAATAATTTGATCAGCCATCTATGGACCATACTTTGAGAAGTGCCATTCAAGGCACTGAGAATACTCACAAAGTCTCTGCTTTAATAATGTGGGGATTACACTATTCTGGAGATCAAGCACTGGGGGAGAACACTACAGACAAATACACAATTAAATGAATCAGCTAACATGAAGTAGTAAGTGAAAAAATGAATATATAGCAGAGTGGCATTGTAGAGAAGAAAGACTAGAACCGAGGGATTACTTTATACTGGACGGTCAGGGAAGAATCTCTGAGGCAGTGACACTAGAGCTGAGCCTTAACTGACAAGGGCCAGTCATGTAAATATCTGGAGGAGGAAATTTCCAGGCAGAATGAAGAGACGGTGCAAATTCCTGAGATGGGATTGTGCTGGGCATGTCTGTGGAAGGCAAAGAAGGCTAATGTGATTGAAGCCAGCCAATGAGGTGCCTAATGGCAGGAGATGTGTTTGTAGAGGTCACATCCATTTATAGGCTTAGTCCATTCAGGCTTTTATAACAAAATACCTTAGACTGGCTAATTTTTAAACAACAGAATTTATTGTTCACAGTTCTTGAGGCTGGGAAATCCAAGATCAAGGTGCCCAGCAGATTCAGTGTCCGGTGAGGGCTTGCTATCTGCTTCAATGACGGCATCTTCCAGCTGTGTCCTCACATGGTGGGAGGGGTGAACAAGCTCCCTCAGATCTCCTTTATAAGGGCACTAATTCAACTCGTGAGGGTGGAACCATCATGACCTAATCACGTTCCAAAGTCCCCATCATCACATTGGGGATTAGTTTTCAATATTTGAATTTTGACGGAAGGGGGCCCACAAAATTCACCTGACAGGTGCCAGATTGGTGTTCTCTGGAGAGAATATGGAATTTGCCTTCAAGTTCTGTTTCTGTTAACTGCTGGTAGGATGACTTAGAGTCATTATTTGGATTTCCACAGGAACCAGGCCCTCAGGTAGAGATTTGCATGCATGATATTTACTGGGGGTGTAGAGGCAGACCCTGGGGACTCACACCTATGTTGGAGTAAGGGAAGTAGAACTGGAAAGAGGCAAAAGATGAACTGTGATGAAGTTTCAGAAGATTCAGCTGATCCTACAATGAATTATGTAGCTGGGATAGGATGGTCCTTAAGGAATGTCCTGAATCCAGGCAAGGGAATTAAGTTTTGTACCCTTTTACCGGCAAATCAGTAGATGTGAGCTCCTTCAGGGAGGGTGCCTGAACTTGGGCAAGGCAACTAACTTTGGCAGAGGGCAATTCCTGGAGAGAGAAATAAACTGAGATCTGTCAGCAGCCTCCTATTCTGGCTAGGAGAAGGAGAGCTCTGGTCCTAAGGGGAATTTGGGTGGCACACCACAGCATCCACTAAGTCTCTCTCAGTTTTTATTTTATTTTCTTATCTGTAAATTGGAGATAGGATCAGAATTGTATAAAATACAAATATTTAAAAAAATCTGAATAGTTGAGTGATTCAAATGTGATAAATATATAAGAAAGGACTATAATGATGACACAGTTATGTAAATAGGATTTTTGATATTACAGGGAACTTGCATGGATTTAGTGCTTCTTCCATGAATCATTTATGCTATTAAAAGCTATTTGTACAAATGTAGTAATATTTCCTTTATACAGGAATACATCTTCTGAATAGCTGGACTTTCTGAGACAACATTTTAGTGAGCTAGGAGGTGAGATACTCTGTAGTAATTTCTGAATGTCAAAACATGCACCATGTTTAACTTTTTCCATAGATACGTCTTCCTGTGGTCTTTGCTATGTGACTATGAATCGTATTTATCACCTCTTGTTTTTCTTCTCCAGAGGTTGCCGTCATGAATTATTAGATCATAGTGCCATGTTTGCAGATAAGGAATTTACCCAGTGCTCACAGGTAATTATTCTTTTGTTTTTTTTTTGCACATACTGTCTTGCTGATAAGTCTAAAATTGCTAGACCAGGAATTTCTTGGGGGGAAAAGAAAGAATTCCATGATCAAATAAGTTTTGAGCAATAGCTATTTACCCAGTTTATTTACTGCAGGACTTCTTGGAGCCTTTAATAAGCTAATACACATTGTGATCTCTCAGCATAAAACTATGTGCAATTCAAGAAGGCAGTCTTTTTTTCCCCTAATGACTAAAATGCTGCAAAGCTGACTTTGAGACATTTTGGATAAAATTATATAAAGTGATTATAGGGCTTCAATGTATCTCAAAGTTTCTCCCATCATTCAGTTAACCCACTTTTATGTTATAGATGTGCAAAAAAAAAAAGGCACATTCAAGAATTCAGTACAGTGAGGTAATTCTGTTTCCAGGAAATAATTTCTGGAGAAATGTATCTTGCATCCTAGACAGATCACCACCCAGTATTCATCCCAATGAAACCGTCAGCCCAGTCATCACCTCTCGGTTCAGGCAAATCACCCTTCCATGTGGTTCCTGGACCACATGGAAAGACAACAATTTCACCATCAATTTATTTTTTTGCTTCTCTCAACACATGAGCAGAAGTTTAAATTTTATTTCAAGATGTGCACTGTAAAAAAGAAATTATTCCAATTAGGGCCTAATCAATTCTAGTTTCTTGAGAAAACACTTGGCTGGTGGTAAGCCAGGACCTAGTCACAAGGATCAGACATGGTGTGGACAAGGCCTGGGATTAAGACGTTTCGAGTGAATGAAGAATGAGGGAAATAAGTAAACTTTGAAGGGAAGGTGGAGCAATGAAAAAGGAAGGCAGGTACAGTTTGATTGCCAGCTATTAGAAAAGCAACCATGGATGTCTGCATTAACAACTCCTATTCCTCGTTTGCTGATTAGAATACTGGATTTACTTCTCTTGTATCATCTGATGTTGATATTAAAATCTGGCACCATTAAGTGTGCACTGCATGATCATGGTTTATTCTCATGTTAGGAGAGAGGATAAGAGACATAATACTTTTTTGGTTTACAATTCATACAGTTAGTCATGGATGGTTGTCCTTTTACAAAGATGACATACTGGAGAGAATACCATACTAGGAGTCAGACCTGAGTTGAAATCTTGCCTTTGTCATGGATTGACTAGTCTCTTGAACATCTCTCTGGACCTAGGTTTTCTCCGTGGTCCCAGGTGAAGGCTGAGCTGATTGGGGTATTTTCCAGACATTCAAGATTTCTTTGACTCTATATCATTCTTATGTTATTATATATTGATCCACTCTCCCATTTCTTGTAGGATCAAGGCCAAAGTTCTTCAACTGTTATTCAAGGTCTTCTAGTTCCTGGTTTCACCCTTCTTTCCAGCCTCAAATTTTAAATGAGACCTCTGTTTTCTTGCCTTTTTTTTTTTTCAGATACAAATCACATGCAAAACCACTCCAAAATATCACCTCTTTTCTGAAGCTCTCCCTGACCACTTTTCCTGGAAATTATCTCTGCCCCTCTAATGCTGACGGACATTGCTGTGTCTTTGGCTCTACCCACTTACTGTAGAGTACTATTAGGTTTCTTTCCCATGTAAATGTTTATCTCCACAAATATACTAATCTACTGGTATAATCCATGAAAATGAAGAGAACATAGTGGAGATTGTAATGAAGAGAACATAGTGGAAATTTGTTAACTAATGTCTTGTGATTGAGTAATGATTTTTTTCTAGCCATGGTGATAAATTCCTCCACACGATCTAACTTAGGCCAATGCATCAACAATTAATTCATTTATTACATTTATTACATAGATATTCTGTGAATCAAGAGTGAAGCTTGTGACTATGGAATGGTGACAGGTCACCCAGCTCCTGTGTTTCTCTTTAGACTCCTTCTCTTGACACTGGGCTATTATCCTTATTATCCTAAATGTTCTGTACATTCTCATCATATTTATCAGTGCTTCATGTACATAATCTCATTCATGCCTTACAATCACCCTCTTGAGGAGGAACTATTTGTAGATTAGGAACTTGAGTCAAAAATAAATTAAGAGGCTTGCTCTTGGTCATACAGCTAGCACATGGAAAAGTCAAAATTGGAACTAGGACTTCCTGTGTTCAGGGTCAAAGCTCTTATCTGGAGTGATCAGGAAGAATACACAATAAGGAAGTTTGATAAAGTACATTTCATATCCAATAGGCTATAGACAGTCTACTTAGAATGTTCTCATTTGTAGAATTTCTTTTCAGTATCTGACTGAACTAAAGGAGAGCTTCTTGTCTCACTGGTCCGCTTGGGGCAGGGAATGAGTTAGAACATGGAAAAGTATGGCTCTCTACTTCAAAAGCCCAGTAGAAACTATGGTGGAAATGCTGACAACTTCAGGCAAAGAGAATTGGCATGGAAAGGACTAGCGATTAGAGGTGGTAGGACTAAACCTGAAAGCTACTGGTTTTAGGAGATGGAATATTATGGAAGGTGAAGCAATATAATGGTACCCTACTGTAAATGGATCAGGCCAAATAAACAGCAATGATCATCAATGTGAGCTTCCACAAGTTACTTAAACTTTCTAAGCCTTATTTTCTTCCTCTTTGAAATGAATAGAGCAGAATATGCTTCATAAATTTGTTGAGAGGATTAAATGATATGATTCATATTTTGAACACATAATTTCTGAATGTTTATTATGTATCAGGCATACTTTTGATATGAGATTTAACAAGGAAAAATTAGACAAAAATTCCTGCTCCCAGAGATTGTCCAGAAAAAACAAACAATAAATAAAATAAATAAGGACCTTACAGTATGTTAGACAGTGATGAATGCTAAGGAGATGAATTAAGCAAGGAAGTAGAGGTGGGGATTGCTAGTGGACTAGGAAGGGACAGAGGAAGTCTTCCTGAGGAGATCACATTTGGGCAAATCTACAGGATAGAAGGGAGTAGACCATGTAATTAGGCAAGAAAAAAGTAAGTCTGAGGGCACCGAGGCAGAAATGCGCCTTAGGAAGAGCACAGTGGACAAAAGAGAAGGGTAGTAACAGATGAAGTTAGAATTGGTAAGGCCACATAGGTCACCATGAGAGCTGAATTCACTCTGAGTGAGGTGTGCAGCCTTTGGAAGGTTCTGAGCAGAGCAGTGACTTAACTTTGACCTAACTTAAGTTTGAACAGCATGACTTTGACTGCTACATTGAGAACAGAATGAAGGAACAAAGGAGGAAGCAGGGAGAGCATTAGGAGATTATTGCAATGATCCCAGCCAGAAATAGCAATGGCTTGAACCACATTGGTAACAGTGGAGGTGCTATAAGTTGTAAGATTGTGGATGTCGTTTAAAGATGAAACTGACAGAATTTGACAACAAACAAGTGGTAAAAAAAAAAAAAAAGGATCAAAGATTGATGCCAAGGCTCTCAAAATACTCAAATAGAGAGATGGAGTTTCCATTTACTGAGATGGAGAAAACATTTTTTTGTGTGTATGTATATGCGTACAGCGAGGCGATCAAGAGTTTGCTATCACTCATGTGACATTTGAGATGCCCATTAGATGTCCAAGCAGGAGATATCAAATAGGCAGTTGGATATACAAGTCAAATTCAGGGAGAAATGTGAGCTGAATAATAAATTGAGAGTCATTAGTATTTAAATGTTATTTAAAGCCATGATCCTGATTAAGATCATCAAAGGAGAGAGAGTCAAGAAAGAAGAGTTTCAAGACTTAAGCATTAGGACATTTCAGCTTTTCAAGAGCCTGAGAAGGAGTAGTTGTGATGTAGGAGGAAGATCAGGAGAGTGTAGGGTCCTGGAAAGCAAATGGTGATTTAAGAAAGATGGGAGTGATAATGGAGTCATAAGCAGCTTCTATGTCAAATAAGATGAGGACTAAGCATTGAACACTGGATTCAGGAATGTGGAGAGTATTGGCACCTTGACTAGTGTAGTCTGTTGAAGTGGGAGAGATCAAATCCTGACTGCAGTGAATTTAGTAGGAAAGAGAAGACTTGGTGATGGAGAATATAGCCAATCCTTTCATGGAACTTTGCTATAGTACGAGTCGGAGAAGTGAGGTGGTAGTTGTTGGGGAAAATAGGAGTCAAGAAAAGTGCTCCTTTCCCCTCTTCCCCTCTTTCCTTCTTTTTCCTTCCTTTTCCACCCCTCCCTCCCTCCCTCGCTTCCTCCCTTCCTTCCTTCCGTCCTATGTTGATGGAAATGATGCATCTCAGGAGAGAAAATTGATGATGTAGGATATGGAGAGGGAAAAAATCTGGAGCAAGAAGGATGTGATTTAAAGCTCAAAGGGAGAAGTCACTTTTGATAGGAGCATGAACAGATAGTTCATTTGGAAGAAATGGCAGAGTGTACAGGCACAGATGCTGGCCAGTAGGACAGTGGTTGAGGAAACATGTTCTTTTCCAGTTTTTCCCATTTTTCTCAGTGAAATTATAAGCAAAGGACATCGGCCAAAAATGAGGAAGGAATAGTACATGTTAAAGATTTGCAGATAGAGACAGATGGACTAGGGAAATGTATGTTGATGCCAGACAGACTTAGGGGCTATCATAAGATTGACGATCCTGAGTCTGAAGTGATTACGTATCAGTTACTGTCATTAAATTGGCACCATGTAACATACAACCAAAGTCCCAGCAGTATACCACAATGAACATTCTATTTATCATGTTGCTGTTGCAGGTTGTCTTGGGGTTGGCCAGTCTCTGCTGGGGTGAGCTGGACAGCTCTGTTTCAAGCCACAAGTCCAGCTGGACTTTATTCCTCATTGCTGATTGTACTTAGGTCAGCAAATATGCAAGGGAAGCTTTTCTCAAGAAAATGCAGAAGTGAAAGGGACCTGGGCCCAAAGCTGGCACATTGACATTTCTGCCAACATTCTTCTAGCCAAAGCAAGTCACATGGCCAAGCTCTCCATAGCAGATCAGGGATACAGGCTTGCTGCATTGGGTGGTAATGCAAAGTCATATGGCAAAGGGCATAGATCTAAAATTCCAATAAAGGGCAGCCCTAAATATGACAGTGATCCAATCACCCACACATTATAACCTGCATCGCTGTTTGTTTTTCTCCAGCTTTACTCAGGCGTGTGAGTATAGTTGAGAAGTAAAAGAGAAGAATGTACACAAAGCACACTTTGTCTGGCACATACTAGCCAGTAAAAATGTCATTTACCCCCTGCCTCTACTTTCTTTTTTTTGGGGGGCGTGGGGTGGGGGTGGGGATGGAGTTTCGCTCTTGTTCCCCAAGATGGAGTGCAATGGCATGATCTTGGCTCACTGCAACCTCCGCCTCCCAGGTTTAAGCTATTCTCCTGCCTCAGCCTCCCAAGCAGCTGGGATTACAGGTGTGTGCCGCCATGCCCAGCTAATTTTTGTATTTTTAGTAGAGACGGGGTTTCACCATGTTGGTCAGGCTGGTCTCAAACTCCTGACCTCAGGTGATCCACCTGCCTCGGCCTCCCAAAGTGCTGAGATTACAGGCATAAGCCACTGTACCTGGCCTCTACTTTCAATATCATCGTTAAACAAAGGAAGAACAGTGACACATGACTGATATGTAAATAGTTTGTATTGACTGAGCCCTCACTCCATGCCAGGCATGGAGTGTTTTACATCAGAAAATGTTTGCTCTTTCTTACCCCAAGATATGCAAGTTGGAAATAAATAAATTTAAGAGTCATGAAGAGACACAGAATGGAATATCTGAATAATGAGTTGAGCCCTTGCTATGTCCCCAGTGTTGGAAACACATCTCTAAAACTGTTAAGGTTGATAGGCCAGCAGTTTGCTTGTCACTAGTATTCTACAACATTTTTATTGGTGTTAATATCAATGGCATAAGCTGGATTAACAGACCATGGGTCTGAGCCAAGGGACAGTTTGTTGGAAAAGATGCCATGTGTACAGCATGTTATGGTGCACATAGTAGGTGCATAATAGCTGCCAACTTCCACATGCCTTAGAGATGTGGTTCCCATATTTTCAATACAGATTTTAAATCCTCCTCTCAAAGAGTTCCTTGTTTAGATATTTTAACCAGAAAACCATAGTTATTAGGTTGTAATTATTTTGTTGCAAATGTTTACCACTGTTTTTCCATTTCACCATAATAATGATGCTGATAATAACTATAAAACAATAGTTAACATTTATTGCTCAATAATTTCCATGTAGCAGGCACTGTTCTAAGTGTTGTGGTCATTATGTCATTTAATCCTTATAAGAAGCCCATAGTCATGCATTATTATCATACCCACTTTCAGATTAAGACATTGAGGCACACAGAGGTTAAGTAGCTTGCTAAAAGTCATACAGCTAGTTTGTACAGCTAAATTTAAGATTTTTATAAGACTGTTAAATATTTATAGCAGCTCAGGGACACATTACTACCTTTAGGTCCCAAGAAGAGGAAACTAAAGCACAAAGAGGTTCAGAGATTTCCCCAAGGTCACATAGCTAGTTAAGAGCAGTCACACCTTGACTCAAATACATTTAAATTTCTTTGCAACTACACCTCAGTGACTACGATGAAGCCTCTTTTCAATGTAAACCTGAAAACTTCCTGTCTCACACTAAGTTGGTACCTCTGCTAAAGTCGTTTTGCCACATGTCTGGTAAATGAGACTTGTACTCACACCAATTAAAATTCTGATTTAGTATGGTAAGTAAATGCTAATTTTAGTTCTTTTCTGAAGGAAAGTCAGAAAGGGTATAGGGGTGGTGTGTGTGCATGTGTGTGTGTGTGTGCATTTGTTTGAGAGGGAGATTAGAGAAAACTGAAGAAACTACTTTTTAGTCCTGTTTTCTATTAATTAAATAAAATCTCCTTTAGGATAGGAGACTCGTGATTCTTATCATAGAACCTTACTATCTAGCTCAAGGCCATAAGGCACACACAACATGCGGAGTCTTCTGCACCATCATACACCAGTGTTCTAATAGCGTCTACTCGAAGTCCAAATTTGGAGCCCACGTACATTCGGTTCGCAATATGGTTCTTCTGATTCTTCTCAGCCCACCCTGCCCCATTTCTTTTCTGCTTGTATACATTTAACCATACTTTTCTTCCCTTGTGCTCTTTAATCTTCCTTTTGATCCTGTCTCTAGTGTGGCAGAAAGGAAAAGGTTTTGGAGAGAGCAATCCCAAGTTTGATCCCTGCCTCTAACTTTCCTAAGTAAGAGACCCTGAAAGTTGCTTAACTTTGATGAGCCTCAGTTTCCTCATCTGTAAAATTAGATAATGATATGTGGCTTTCAGGGTTGTGGTGAAGGCTAGTAATAGCACGAGGGTGTTGCATAGCACTGTGGAGTGGCAAATGGCATTTGTGCTGTGCTCTGATAATGGGAAGGAGTTTAAAATTAGAGAGGAGGCAGATTGTAAGCTCTATAAGGACAGGATTCTTTGCTCACTACATCTCTAGCACCTAGCATGGTTCTTGGCATACAAAAAGCATTCAATAAATATTTTTTACCTTAATGAACTAATGAAGAGAAGGAAAGGCACTCCAGGTACAAAGATCACATTCAAAAGCTGTGGCCAAGAACTTGAGATCATTATAGATTTTGGGGAGTCAGACACAGAAACAAATAGAAATAACAAAAGAATGAAATCAAGAACACATAGAAATTAGAATAAAGAAGTCTAGGCTGGGCGTGATGGCTCATGCCTGTAATCCCAGCACTTCGGGAGGCCAACGCGGATGGATCACCTGAGGTCAGGTGTTTGAGACCAGCCTGACCAACATGGTGAAACCCCATCTCTACTAAAAATACAAAAATCAGCCAGGCATGGTGGTGCATACCTGTAGTCCCAGCTACTTGGGATGCTGAGGTGGGAGGATTGCTTGAACCTGGGAGGTGGAGGTTGCAGTGAACCAAGATCAAACCACTGCATTCCAGCCTAGCCTAGGTGACAAAGTAAGACTCCATCTCAAGGAAGAAGAAGAAGAAGGAGAAGGAGGAGAAAGAGAAGGAGAAGGGAGGAAGAAGAAGGAGAAGAAGAAAATAATCTAGGAGTGCAGAGAAACATAAAAATCCATTACATAATACAAGAAAAGGTTTTCCAGAGGAGTTAGCATTTTCATCGTCCATTCAGCCATTCATTTAGATGTTGGATAGAGGAAGAGAAGGCAGCAATGGAGATGAAGGAGGAGAAGGAGGAAACCCAAGATAACACAGTATCATAGAAGCTGAGTAATTAAAGTGTTGCAGGAAAGGAGCAGGTAATTGAGTTTACTACCACTGATAGACAAGAGGGAAATGAGGGCACAGTAGCAATAATGGAATATATAACATTGGGGCTGGAAGAAAGCATGGCAAGTAAAATTCAGTTACAGGGAGAGGGACAAAAGCCAGACTTGATAGATTAAATGGCAAATGTGTGCCAAGGACGTCAAGATGGTGGGTTTAAACAACTCTTCAGTGAAATATTTCTGAGTGAGCTCAGAAATCAGAAATATCTGGGGAGGAATTGAGGCCAAGGGAGAGTTTTTAAACATGGAAAATTCAAAGCAGTGTAATTCAAAGTGTGGTTCATCAGAGATCTCTGCTAGTTCTGTAGATCTGTGCCAGTCTATGAACCAAATGTGAATCAACGACATCACAAAGCCAAATTCTTAGTTCAGTTGACATTCTTTCATAGGAAGACATTCTCAATGAAAGAACCAATGCATTGATTTACACTCTGGTGTAATCTTATCTCCTCACGGCCTAGCCTGCTATGTAGCACTGATGTAGAACAGGTTTATATGCTGATAAAAATGAGGCAACAGAGTGGGACAAACAGGATACAGAAGCAAAGTGCCTGAGATGGTGTATTAATTGTTCTCATATTGCTGATAAAGATATAACCAAGATGGGGTAATTTATAAAGAAAACAAGGTTTAATGGACTCACAGTTCCACATGGCTGGGGACGCCTCATAATCATGGTGGAAGGTGAAAGCCATGTCTTACATGGCAGCAGGCAAGAGCAAATGAGAGCAAAGTGAAAAGGGAAACCCCTCATAAAAACATCAGATCTCAAGAGACTTATTCCCTATGCTGAGAATGGCATGGGGGGAACCTCCCCCATGATTCAATCATCTCCCACTGGGTTCCTCCCACAACACGTGGGAATTTTGGGAGCTACAATTCAAGATGAGATTTGGGTGGGGACAAAACCAAACCATATCGGATGGTGAGAGGGTGAATTTCAGGTGTTAAATGAGGGCAGGTGCAGGAGCAGGAACACAACTTCCATTGTGGCAGCGAGGTAGGCAGAGAATGTAGGTGAGAATAGAGGTTGATTTTTGTAGATGTTTTTGCCTGGTAGATAATGGAGTTCTGACTTTTCATTCCTGTTTTTTCAAGTGGGATCATCAGCTGAGAGTGAGGAGAGGGGTGGAGAAAAAGCATGTGAAAATTTGGAGGATGAAGAGAAGGTATACAATAACTATCTCAGAAAGATGTAAAGTGAACTTATGAGTAAGTCAAGTAGATAAATGTTAAATGATCATGAGTGATCATTTGAGATCTGGGATTATGAAATTCAGCCAAGCCAATCAGCACATCCATTTGATTTTCTCCAGCAACATTAAGCTACTTAGGTGTAGGAATAGAAAATATTTAGATTTAAATAGTGTTATGGTTCTTCCAAGAAAGATGATGGAGGGGAAAAAGGGAGGAAGGCAGGGAAGGAGAGGAGAGAGCGAGGGAGAGAGAGAGAGAAAGAGAGAGAGAGAGAGAGACTGCTAGGTGGATCGAGGGACAGTTTATTATTAGGGCCTAGGTACCAGTAATGGAGTTGAAGAAGAGGGGGTTGTGGTTAGAGGGGACAATGCTTGGAACAGATTGGGGGAGTGAAGATTTTAGTAGGGGTGAGACTGTGGGGTATGTGTGACTGAAGTGAGGTAAAAGCAGAACTATATCAGTGGCAAAGAGTTAAAAGAACTGAGAAGGCAGGGAGCTAAATGAGTCAGCCTTATAAGTGTTGAAGTTATCAACGGTGCCAGAAATAGAGGTGGAGAAGAAAATAACAAGGTAAGTGCTAAAGTCCTCAATGGATGAGGCCATTCATCAAGTGGTCAGTAAAGATCAGTAATATGGAGGCATGGAAGGTCACAAGAAACTGGATTGTTGAAGGAGGAAGTAAAAATAGTTTCCAATGAGTAATTCCAAGCATAGAGGATGCCTACCCCATCTTTACATCTTGAGGTATTTGGGGAAACGGGAGGAGGAAGCTACAATTTGAGAGGGTTACAGAGAAATTGGTTTTTTGAAAGACATTTATGTTGCTCTTGAAAGAATTTTATGGACAAAGAGAGGGAGAAGGACATCATAGCAGTTGCTCTGTGAAATAATATAATTTGTTCCACCCTACGGATATGGACATCTTCTAAATACACCCTGATGTTCTTATGCATCGGGGCACACTGGGCAGCTGTGGAGACAGACTTCCCTGGCTCTTTAGTTGGGGCCAAATATGGGATCCCACAGGAGAAATGCCATAGGCCCAATAAAGAAAGTATTCTGCACAAGCTAGCTGCTGTCAAGACACATTGGTGGCTTCAGAGGCATCCATCTAAAACAGAGAAGGTTCACTTCACTGGGTGGAGGGACCTCCTCCAGGTGGGTGCTGACTCAAGCCTTTCTCTCACTGGGGCTGTGGGAGGGCCTTCTGCTGGTTCTAGTGATCAAGAAGATCACATTATAGATCGAATCAAATTTCAAGTTCTCAGGGCCCTGGGGTGCACTGACACCATCAAGGTAGTTCATCCTGGGAAGTCCCAGCTTGATATCTCTTGGGAGTGTACTTACTGGACCACAGAAGAAAACAATGTGTAAGACAGTTTCCACTGTAATGAAATTCTCCCTAGTTACATGAACTTGGCTCCACTGCTATTTAGAAGCAGGTGAAAAAAAATTTAATGAAATTATTATTAAAAGTGTTTCCGATTACCTTAAACAAGCATTGGTGGATGACTGGCTCCCTCCCACATGGCCCAGCCATCTGGCCTGACCAAGTTGTTCCGTGCTTTCAGCTGGACATACCTTGAATGAGGTCTTTGACATGGCAGCTATGGAATTGGCTTTGCCAGCACTGACAGAAAAAGCCAGGCATGCTTACCCCATGTTCCCTTGTTGAAGTACTTAATTTAAGGATTTGGTGAGCAATGCAGCCTGCCCCAGGTTATCCCAGACCTAGCAACCCACAACCATGCAAAAACACAGAGGCTCCCCCTGGGGCCTTCTCCAACAGCTCCATGGCCAAATGCATTTTTGGCATGTGAAAACACAGCCTTCTGCTGGAAAAGTTTGCTTGCTACCCACCCTCTAAGTACTGGAGACAGGGCCAAAGCTGCAGAGATCCTGCACCTATTGAAAAGCAGCCATCCCAACTTTCTCCCAAAGGGGTGAATGTCCAATAACTAAAAGTCCATATGGCACAGCTACTAGTCTGTCCTACCTTTGGGAGCCATCAGTCTCCTACATCATTTTGAAATGGCCCCCATGTTGAGTGGCCCTCTGTACCCTCTGTAGGGTGGGATGAATAGTGCAGCCCCATTTCTAGGACAGCAACTCTTAAAGGGAGAGGAGCTGGATTGCTTATGTGTCCATAAATGTACATTGGAGAGTACTATGGTTAGAGATGATACTACTATGCTATCCATCAAGCAGAAGCAAGCTAGTGTTAGCTGCAGTGGCAGTTGCTTCAGGATCGGGGGATAAATCTAGACATTCATTTCTTCTTCTTATGGAATTATGCCACAGTTAGAGATCACAGATAAGCTCATTTTAAATTCTGATCTGGCTTAATATACCAGCTTTTAAAAGTATTGCCTCACTGTGCAAAACTTAAGTGTGCATGCACCCTGCTGCTGCTCTCTGCTCAGAGCTTCCACACTGAGACTCCTTGCAGGGTCAAAGAATGCCTCATCTTCTATAGGAGCTTGTCTTCTGTGCAGATTATGTGACTACAATTTTCTTTAAAAAAATCAAAGCCCTCAGAAAAGGACCTGATATTTTTTCCAGGATAGCTGTTACATATTAGCGTACAAAATGCAGACACTATACCCAGCAAACGTGAGAGCAGACATTTTTCCAAATGCGTTTTCCATTCTGAGCTGACCATCTTACAATAGAAATGGATTGGACTTTGATGTCAGACAGACCTGAGTTTGAATCTTATCTTCTCCACCTACCAACCAGGTTACTTAGCTTGGTGTTATGACCTTAAAAATCTTCAGGATCTCCAATATCTTCCTCCAATATCTTCAGGATAGTAATCTTTATTATTATGAACTTATTGCAGTTAAAATGCTCAGTATAGGTCAAGTGTTTGGTCCAATAAATGGATAAGTTGGAACTCAATAATCCTTATTATAACTTCCAGAGTAGAGTGATGTTTAAAGAATTCTTTAGTAATCTTACAAAAATCAAGTGTTCATATGGGTGGTACATCAGTATGTAAGAAGTAATTACCAGAGTATTATATAGGCCATGTTAAATGACAAAAGCCTCTAGAGGATTAATAATAAACATGGATTTGATTATAGTAACTAGTGCCTAAAGCAAGATGATTGATGGACCAATATTAATCTGGAAGCAAGTTTCTAGGACCACATGCCTGTCAGTGATTTACATGAAAATACAAAATGCATGTTTATCAAATATATATATATAATTAGAGGATTGGAGAGAAAATGAATAATTTAGGTAACAGAATCAGAATCAACAAGCATCTTCGCAGGTTATAAATTGATAGGCCAAGATGAAATGCAGTGAGGATTGATGAAAGCTCTTATACTTGTTTCCAAAAGAAGGAACAAGATGGGGAAGGATGATATGCTGGTGCAGGTAACAAAGACTTAAAGATGTTGAGGACCAGTGAACTCTTTAGAAATACATAGTCTGACTTCCAAGGCTAATGGAAACACAGATTAATAAAATCATAGCATATATAATGAGAGTACTGTATTTGAGACTGGCCCCCAAACCTAAATAGGCATACAGACAAATTGGAGGCAAATAACCAAGGTAGTAAATTAATTTCACTCTATATTATATAATTGAAAGTACTAAGAATGTTTGTCCAACTGGAAACTCGATGAAGATTGGCTGTTATTTTCAACTAGTATATACAGAGAAGGGATATGCATGGTGTTTCCCAAATGGGATGGCCATACTACCATTGATACATTAATGATAATATAATTAATAATACATTAATATAAATAATGTATAACACAAACAATATATATAATTAATAATACATTAATAATATTAATATGTGTTAGAAAACCATAAAGCTAACACATCAACCTATGATTTCACAGATTTTATTGCTTAGTTGTAGATTAAAATAGGTAAAGTTATAATGAGTTGAATAAAAATATTGAGTGTATAAGTGTGTAGTAGAGCAAGTACCATAGGAGTAGTCTGGAAACACTATTCCTGGGGATGGCAAATCACATTTCCTAGTGACTCCCAGGAAGAAAATTAGAAACAATGAGGAGAAGCCACTTGAAGCAGGTTTCAGCTCAACATGCAGTGAACTTTCCAATAAGCTCACTCTAAAGATAAAATGGGCTATCTTAAGCATGAAGAAATTCTCCAACTAGGAGTATCCAAGCATAGGCTAGAGGGCATTTGGGGAAGGGAGCATTAGAGAAGATTCATCATCAAGAAAACGGTTCAAATAGGTGACTGTTAGACCTTCTTTGGTCCTGTTACCTTGTAACTGAGTTCTGTATCAAGATTCAATCCGCTCAGCGACAACACATCTTTTGGTGTTAAGGAAATCTGTTGTTTGTTTCACTTTATTTGGAAAATGTTGGGAGGAAATCAAAACTGTTTTATCAGAGATGCCCTTGGTTTCTATTAGGCTGGGGTTGGTAATGATTGCCTTCAGGGCATTAATTTCAGTTAATGGCCATGACACGCATCTCCAGCTGTGACACATTAGGTGGAACTCATCACCTCATCCATCCCCATTTAGTTTAATCTGGAAAAGAAGACCATGTTCCTCAATAATAAAATAGGGTCTGGGGAAAAGAATGAAACTACCCCTTAAAGGAGAAGGAAAATGTGAGTGTGTTCTCAGGCCACTGATTCCGTTATTATTTGTGCTTATAATTTTGAAGCCCTGGGAAAGTTACTTAATATCCCTGAACTTCATTTATGCTCATCTGTAAAATGAGAATATTGATACTGAACACCATGGTTGCTAGGAGGACAATGATAAAAAAGTACACAATGTCATAATTACCATGTAACAAGAGTTGACTAATTCATAGGTATTCCCATTCACCCCCCTTCATTTCATCATGATTATTATTTATGTAGAAAATGAAATTTAGTAATAATGTTTCTAATTAATTCTTCCACTCATTCATTCATTAAGCAGACATTTCTGAAGGTGCCTATGAAACCAGGCACTGTGCCAGGTAAGCACAGTGAGATTCTCTATTTCAGAGACTGGAGGCTATGCTTGACAGCAGTAGTGTTGGTGGGTTGTTAAGTTATAATAATACTCTACATTTACCCAGCCTTTCATATCAGAAAATGCACACATATAAAGTAATCTCACTGAAATCTCCACAATTCTGAGATGTAGCAAACTCCAGGAGGGCAGGGACTTTGTCTGTCTTATTATTATATTCCCTTTCCTTAGCACAGAGTCTGGCACATAATGGAAACCTTATATTATTTCAATGAATGAAGAAAAATTGACGAATCAATGAAATCTGAAAAGATAGTTACTGGTAGCATCATTTTACAGGGAGAGGAATAAAGTGTCATTGGCATTGATATTTATCAGCAATCACAGCAATCACTGAGTATTGCAGTAATTTCACAAACTAAACCATTTGTGGTGGAGATAGCATCTTACCCTTCAATTTTATTGTACAGGAACAGTAGAATAAGAAAAAAAGTAATACAACATAAATGTAATACATAATAGCAAGAATGATAATAACAACACAAATAAAAGCTAACATCCATAGAGTGCTTAACCTGAGGCAGGCTGTGTTCTGATAACTTGATGTGATCATGGTGAGAATGCTGTTGGATATGTTCTACAAGGCAATGTGCCCGCAACTTACTGTATCTTCATCTGCTGAAGCCTTCCTTAGAACTGAGCCTTCGTTGTCTTCTCTTCATTCCTCTTCCAGTGGTAGAAATTGTGAGCTCCTCTGGGGGGTAGGATCTTTGTCTATTTCAGATCTGTATTTCCCAGCACTGTATCATGCATATGGTAAGTGTTCAATGTGCTTTTAATGAATACACGAAAGGGTGATCTAACTGAAGGAAAGGAAATGCTCAGTGGGCCCCCGAGTCATGAGAAGATTTGAAGAAGAGGACCCTTGAACTAAGCCTCAGATATAATTGAACTTTGAAAGAAGCGGGGTCCAGGGGACTGAGGATGATGCATTAGGAGAGCAGTACGAAGGCTCTCTGTCCTGCCTGAAGATCGGGATGGGGTTGAAGTGGGGAAGAACTGGGTTGCCTCTCAGCCTCTTGAGGGATCTTCCAGTCCTTGGCACTGTTGATTAGATATTTGGTTTCAGTCACCGCTCCATTCTTTTTCCATTTTGTGCCTTGATCAGCTCTATTGGTTTACTTTAGAGTTTGATCTTTGCAAGCAGAGTGGAGCCATCGAAGCCTATGGGACAGGACTTGTTTCATCAAATGGGAAGCCGGAGGTAAGAACTTCATTTGTACTTTTTCTAGTAGCATTGCCCAAAGTACGTTCCATGAGAAGTTGTGTTAGGGGATGACATGGGGCTTGTAGAGGTAAAAAAAAAAAAAAAAAAAAAAAGTTCAGGGGTCAAATGTTTGTGGGAAGTGGATTTTTCATCACTGCATAACTTCCCAACAGCTTTCCTAAACACTGAAGCTGTAACAGGGGCTTGCAGAAGACTGTAATGATGTGTAGAGGATTCCAAACTTAGTTAACCGTGGGGCACTTTAAGAGTGGGGTGGGGGAAGGGGGGAGGGAAAGCATTAGGAGATATACCTAATGTAAATGACGAGTTAATGGGTGCAGCACACCAACATGGCACATGTATACATATGTAACAAACCTGCACGTTGTGCACATGTACCCTAGAACTTAAAGTATAAAAAAAAAAAAAAAAAAAAAAAAGAGCGCGTGCGGACGGAATCTCGTGGGATTAGTATTTCACAGAACATTATATTCTTTCTTTTGGAAGCGCTCCCTTAGATCTTTCTATTAAAGAAGTACTTTACCTTAGAGCACTTGGATATATATTAATTCATGGGCTTCCTGCAGATACAAGGATGTTTCTCTCCCTCTACCTTCTCCAGTCTTCACCATCTGCCTTTGTCATGAACAGGCTTCAATTCCCACGTCCGCCCTTTGTGCACACTAGAGGGTGGTGTTGAGCCTGTTTAGAATTTCCCGCACTTGGGACTGAGAAAAAGTATGATGAAGTTGCTCTTCCTTTTTACATAAATCAGGGAGGAATAAGTACCCCGCAGCTGTTGCTCTTACTGTGAAAACCATTGCGGGGGCAGGAGTTTGTTCAAAATTCCTAAATAACAGAAGGTCTTGAAAACCACAGACCAATGCTCCTAAGAAGTTTCTCTGTCTGTCCTTCCATGCCTGGGAGAATCAAGTCCTCATCTGGGCTCTCTAGGGGTTCGTGAGTGCACAACACTGAAAAAATAAAATACAACAAAAGTGTGTCCCTGTTTCATTGTATCTGGAATACTACTATGGTTGGAATGGAGCTGAAATATTTGACAAACTTATGTCACAGAGACACTTCTGAATAAACTCAGTCTTTCTTTAGCTATACCCAATTCTAACCTTCCTGCCTTCTACTCAGTCTTCAAGACACAGTTCAAATTTCTACTCACCTAAAAATTCAAAAGCTAAGAGAATCACCATCTCTGAACTCTTATGCTCAGCCTCGGATTACTAAAGTCTTAGAATAATCTTTAAAAGTTTTCATTTATGTTCCTTTTTTCTATCAACTCTATTGTAAGGGCTTCCAGAATAAGGGCTACATGTTACACTTGCCCATGTTGCCCAGCAAAGGATTAGAAACTTGGCAGAAGGAAACAGGTATCTACCGATTTCCTACCATGCAGCAGGCACTGTGTTGGGTACTTTCACGCCTCTGCTCAATTAAGCCTGAATTTGGCTGGCTGTAAAGCCTGTCGTCTTTTCACAAGATTGTAACCATTCAACGAGTACATTTAAAATGGCAGAATATGTTGGACAACCTCATGTCCTGGTTTGCCAAGGTCAGTCTTGGTTTATATCTGTTGTCCTGGCATAATTATTAATAGTATCTCGTGTCACTCTCAAAAGTGTTGCAGCTTGGTCTATAAGTTATATGACAACCAATCTCTGGAGCCAGACAGTTTGGGTTGGGACCTTGTTTCTACCATTCACTAAACTCTGTGATATTAAGCCAGTTACTTAACTTCTCCAGGCTTTGGTTTCCTCATGTAGACCAGGCTTTGGTTTCCTCATGTAGAGATTGAGGATGATACCTTCCTTAGTAAGGTCTGATGACGATTACACAGTAAAGTGTTTGGACAAATGGCTGGCACACTGTAAGCACTCAAACATGGCAGCTATTGTTAAAATGAGTTCTTGATCATGTGAGCAACACCAGGAAGGCACAAAGTATTGCAGTACGAAGTGACTCAGGAATGAGAGAGAAGCTAAAACCTGAGTGATGGTTTTCTTTTTTTTTTTCTTTTTTCCTTTTCCTTTTTTTTTTTTTTTTTTTTTTGAGATGGAGTTTCACTCATGTTGCCCAGGCTGGAGTGCAGTGGCGCGATCTTGGCTCACTCCACATCCTGGGTTCAAGTGATTCTCCTGCCTCAGGCTCCTGAGTAGCTGGGATTACAGGCATCTGCCACCACACCTGGCTAATTTTTGTACTTTTAGTAGAGACGGGGTTTCGCCATGTTTGGCCAGGCTGGTCTCAAACTCCTGACCTCAGGTGATCCACACCGGTCTCGGCCTCCCAAAGTGCTGAGGTTACAGGCATGAGCCACCGCACCCAGCCCTGAGTGCTGGTTTTAAGGAGAAAGCAAACATCATAGGTAACAAGTAGTGAGTAATGGGTCTACAGCCATGGTTCTCAACGTGCCAACACTGGACCAGCAGCTTCAGCAGCTGGGAGTCTGTAAGAAGCGCAGATTCTCAAGTCCTAACTCAGACATTGTGAATCGCAAACTTTGCGGGTAGGACCCAACAAGCTGTGTTTTAACTAAGCCCTCCAAGTGACTGTGATGCACACTAAGCTTTGAGAACCTTAGTGATTCTTAGAACAAGGGGAGCTGTGGGGTTTTCCTGGAAAGCAGAGGGATCAGCTGGGAAGCTCCAACCAGCAACAGAACAACCTGTTTAACCAGGGGGCTTCAGGATCGCCGTATGCCAGCACTCTCGTGTGGAAAGCAACCTTAGGGAGCCTTAGTCTGGAGATTGCAAATGTGGACTCAACAGCTAAAATATGCCCCACATGTGTAATTTTATTTGGCCCGTTAAAAAGAAATTAGCCAGAGAATAAAAAAAAAAAAATTGGGAAATGTTACATAGAAATTCTGATTTCTAGCTTCCCTAAAAATTTCAGAAGATTTGGCATCTCTGGGCCCCATTCCCATCTGGCCACAATTGACTGCACTGGAGGAGCAGCTGCCTGCTTGAAGCTTGCAGCTTCCAGTTCCCCTAATTCCCATCAGGCCAGCGTCATTCCTGTCTAGATGTCACCTGTCCTGTCCTTGTTCCTACTTGTGACTTCAATGCTGCCCCCTGCTTTAAGATGAGAAAGGCCTGGAGAGTTTAAGTGATTTGTGTAAGGTGTGTGGCCCAGGCTTTTGACATTACCCTGTGTGTTGCGGGAGGGGAGTCTCTGATCTTCTGAGCCAGGTCTTGAAGGAGAAAGAATCTGGGAAGCCAGAAGGCTGGTCTTGCTGAGGTTCTTAAACTTTACTATATTTCGCAATCCTGGGTCAAGGATTAAAACTGCATATTTTCAAAATTGCCCCCACCTCCAGTCCCCAGTCTGGTTTAGGGGTTGGAGAACCGAGCCCAGGAATCTGCATGTTAAAAAAAATCCCTTTTTTCCCTTTCTCTACCCCAACTCCATGACTCTGAAGCAGATGGTCCAGAAAACACACTTTGGGAAACACTGGGCTATTTGGAATACATTCCAGGGGGAATCTGTACTCAGATGAGTGGAGAGTGGGCCAAGCAGAGCATGAAACCCTGTCTCAGGCTATGCCCAGAGAAGGGAGCCAAAGGCACTGGGGGAAGATGGGCAAAAGACTTAAGTGTGGTAGGACCAGATTAAGTTGGGGTATAACAGCCTGAGAAAGTTCTAACACATAAATGTAAATGTCCCTGAGCCAGACCATGTAGTCTTTGATAGGAAGGACAGGAGTGATGGTGGCAGAAAAACAATTAGGGAAGAGATTTCATGGCAAGGCAGGAGGCAAAGAGTTATTAGGACTGAAGGTGAGACCAGAAATTCTAGTTTTGTGCCTCTTGGAAAGAAGACAGAGATTACATAAGTACCCATCAGAACACACTAAGACCAGCCTTAAGTATAAAGACCATCCATCCCAAATGAAGGGAGGGCCCTGACCTGGATCCTCCTAGCATCCACCCTCCTCTGACATCCCATCTCCTTTCCTCACTGCTCTTCATCCACTCTTTTCCACTCACTTACAGTTGTGGGCATTTTTCTTCCTCCCTCCCTTCTCTATCTCTTTGTCTTTCTGTGTCTTTTACTCTTTCTCTCTCTGTGTCTTTTTCCTCTCCTGACCCCCTCCCAATATCTAACTCACAAACCACACAAATAGTCACAGCATCAAAAAATATTAAGGAGAAAAACATCCATCACCAGGCAAAGAGAATCCAGGGGATGAAATCAAATCCCTGAAAAACGTTTCTAAAGTAATAAGTCCTTGTCAGATTCCAACCAGCCTGGGTCTCCAAATCGAGAGGCAGAGGTATTTTTCTTCTGTTCCAAAGGCATGAGCAACGTCCCACAGAGCTCTTCCGTTCCCACTGTGCCTTTTCCTCTGACTATTGCTGTCAAATATGCTTTATCATGTCATTTTAGCACCAGGCCTGGCGCATTTCTCTGTATAGTAAAAGCTAATGAACCGTATGGCTTTTGGCAGGATTGGGCAATATACATGCTCCATTTGGAGCAGAGTAAGTCCTTGGAGTCTCTGGCTGTGTGAGCAACCTCAGGCTGTCTCTTGCGCTTCATGGGTCTGTAAATATCATAGCTGTGGTCACTGCTCAGAATTATTAATATTTCAGAGGCCTGCTTTGACCCTACCCCCTACAGAGGAGGCTTTGGTAACACACAGCTTCACGTTGGACCCCGTCCAATTGGAATTTATGACTGGAAGTGGCAGAAGGCCCGCATTATAGCAATGTCTCACCTTCAGCTGGCTCCACAGCTTAGACCCTAAGGACGTCATGGTATTCAGTCAATTCAAAACCCATTTATTGTGTTCCTAACATGTGCTGAGCACTGTGTTTCGATGCTAGCAATGGAGACACGATAATGGCCCAATCCTTGCCCTAAAGAAAGTGGTCTGGTAAAGAGAGAGGGCCATGAAAATAGGGTCCCTTGTGCTAATAGATTTCAGGTACAGCCCTTTACAGATTTTAAATTAAAGCTGCCCATTCTTTCCTCTGGGTCTCCTGAACCCTTGCTGCTTGCAGTGTGGTCCTCAGACGAGCAGCACAACCTTAAAACTTGTTAAACATGCAGAACCTTGGACGCCGCCACAGACTGAATCAGATTACAGTTTCAGATGCCTCAATCTAAATCAGGGCCTCCCAAGCCCAGATAGGTTCAAAAATCACGTGGTGGTCCCATATTTGTTTTCAGTGTCAGGATAAATATTTTCAAGTACCTATTCTTGGGCTTTACCCTTTGAAATTCTGGCATGTTAGGTCTGAAGTAGGGCTGGCGATTTCTTTATAAGCACTCCAGATATTTCTGATACAGCTGATCTGTGGACTGGCATTTGGGAACTAGCCTCTAAATCTGTGGTTCTCAAATCTAGCTGAACATTACTGTCATCTGAAGAGCTTTCAAAATTCTCAATGCCCAACAAACATTCTGAGCAATTAAATCAGGAACTGTGGGGGTGGTGCTGAGGCATCAATAATTTTAAAGATCTTCTAGGTCACTAGTGTGCAGTTAAGGTTGAAGATCACATTTCTAAACCACCATTACCAAAAGTTTAACTACATAAGGATCACTCGACACAACTCCCAGTCCCCACCTCTAGAAATTCTGTCAGTCTAAGACTCCAATTTGAGTAGCAATGTTCTAAGCAATACAATGGGGTCAGCAGAATCCCAGTAATACCAAATTGAGAAGGAGGTGGAGCTAGGTCTGAAACAACTTTCCTGGCCCTAAGCAGGGTACATGCTGCCTGCACACTTGTCAGGCAGTATACTGAGGGCTACACTGGGACCACCTGCATCCTTTGCGATGACAAATTGAAGTTCAGACTCATACTTCAATAGCCTTAGCCCTTCTAGTCTTCTCGTGGGCTCAGGTTTCAATGGTTCATTCCCTGTCTTGTTTTCTGGGGTCAAAGTCTCTATCTATATAGCTGGTGCAGAGTCTCACCTCCTCCGAGACAGAAGTATTTTTCTCACCCACACTGAGCTCAAGACATATTGGCTTTCTTTCACTTTCTCAAATGTATTATCTTCCTTCTACCTCGGGGCCCTTTGCCAGAAATGCTCTCCTCTCTCTCCAGTTCCCAAGAGCTGTTCCCTTTTAAAAGACCAGGCTCATCACCATATCAATCAATTTAGAACCTCTGGGGATTGGATCTAGGCACCAGTATTCCCTTTGCCAGAAATGCTCTCCTCTCTCTCCAGTACTTCTTCAGGAAAGCCTTTTCTGAGACCCCCAAATGAAATCAGATTCTGCTATTGGATGCTTGTATAGCACCTTGTACCTTTCCTTCATCACACTTGCTACAGTTTTGTTGTGCCTCATGTAAATATTTGAACAGTTTCTCTAAACAAGTCTGATTAAGGCAGAAACCATATCTCTTTTGCTCAGAACCGTATTCCAGCCACTTGCATTGTGCGCAGAACACAGTAGGGACTCAGTGAATACTTGTAAATGTGAAGCGCTCTTTCTAGACATTGGAGGTCCATACATATTCTCCACATCCAACCCAAGGTGATAACTCATTTGCCTTAGACAGGTACCATTCTCATCCTAAGACACCCATTCTAGGCCCTGCTAAATAGTCTGGGCATCTGCCACCTCCCTGCTGGCTTACTACCCACTCCCAAATTTTAGACTCTGTCAGTCTACATGAGGCTCCCTGTCACTTCCAGGCATAGTTATTAGCATTCCCCATCTCCCACTCCAAGCTGTCTGAGCCTCCATGGATTCATTTTTGGTGGGGGAGGGCATTCTGGCACTGACCTGACAGAGTTCCCCAGCTGTTTACTCTCCATTACACTATTAAGCAGGAAATACGATTACCACTGTTTTTAAATATCTTGTGATCCTCATGTATAAAGCAAGAATAATAGTGCCTACCTCAAAGGGCTGATGGAGAATTATATGAGATAATCTGCATTCACAGTACATTGCACAGTAAATATATATTTGGAATTTTTATTACTAGTAATAACTTCAAAAATCCCCACTGGACCCCACAAAATGTATTAGCGCTGCTGTTTGTACTTACTAAGATGATGGAAAGCTAATATGGATTTGATAATTTTAAATGAGCTCGCATTTTATTTGTTATGACAGTATTACAATCCAACAGTACATCTAGGAGTGGAGAATAAAGCTTATTTCCACTCCAAGAAAATATATGACATGGCTGAGGATTAAGGTCCTTTGCACAATTCCATGCCCTAATCCTCCCACACTATGTCCTCCGCCTTCAGGTTGAGAAACACAGCTTGAGACTCTAAGCTGAAAGTAAATACTTTGGAAAATTTTATACATCTGGTCTCTTCGCTCTCATTTGATTTTTTCTTTAAACACATTCTGTCAAACAAGCCAGAATACAAGCCCTTTGATGCAGAAGCTGCTGCCATCCAGGCATATAAAGATTGGGACTTTCAGCCCATCTATTTTGTGGCAGAGAACTTAAAAGATGTCAAGGCTGAGCTCCAGTGAGTGTGGGATGGGGTGGAGAGTAGGGGGAGGAAATCTCAGTGTGGCTTTAATTCCACCACAGAAGGTGTGGGCAGGCTTGAAAAGACAATAGCTCATGCCTCTATTCTTTCACTCAACAAATCTTTATTGAACACCCTACTAGGTGCCAGGAACTGAAAATAGCGCCAAGGACTTCTAAGCAGTGTGACCTGAGGCAAGTTCACTTTCTTAAATCTTCAATTGTCACCTGGAAAATGGAGATGATAAGAGGGTTGCAATGGGTCTTAACTAAGGTAATAGAGGCACAGGGACTGGCACATGATCAGTGTGCACTGAGTGCTCATTCCTGCAGCTGTTGTTCACATGTGAGCAAGATGGCTACTGTGTTGCCATCATGAAATTTTGAGGCAAATGGGACACAGAAAAAAGTACACAGGAAATTACAATAGCTTTTGATAAAAGTAACGTAGGTGCTGTGGAGCACGCAGGGGCACCTAATTCAGACTTCCTGGAGGAAAAAAACATTAAGGCATAAACTGAGACATTAAAGGTGAGTGTCAGTTCCCCAGCTGAAGAGGGCAAATAGAGGCACATTCCCTCCTCTCCTACAAAGAACACCCATTTCCAACAGAGGGACTAACCTTCACCCCAGGATCTTTAAAAAATACTGGTACATAGTTCCCACCTCAAAGGTTCTAAATTAGTTGGTATGGTGAGAAGCCTGGGTTCTGGGGCTTTTAAAAGCAGTCAGGGCTATAAGCCACTAGGTCTTTTCACAGCTAGGATGGGGCCTCTGCCCCAAGCATATCAGGTTTTTATCAGCCTGCCTCTCTTTCCCATCTAACCAGAGGTACCCAAATTGTTCTCTTTGGGGGAATCAATGGTAATCATTCTGCCATGACAGAGTCAATATTTCTCAGACTTTAAAGTGCATATAAATCACCTGGTCAGCTTGTTAAAATGCAGGTTTCAATTCAGTCAGTCTGGGATGGGGCCTCGATTCTGCATGTCTAACAAGCTCCTGGGTGATATTGATTCTACTGGACAGAAGACTGGGATATGGCTAGCAAGGACTTTTATCTAAAGTTTTCCAGTATTTCAAAATTTGAAAGAGTATAATTTTAATTTCATAGAAAAGCATAACAGAGTAAATTCCAAATGAGTGCTGGAAATATAAAGGCAATAGAGTATGTTATGCCTATCCCTGTTCACCAGATATGCTTTATTTTTGTGTAGGCTAGTTACTAGGAAGTTGGCAATAAAATACATAGTTATGCAACAAACTAGGTTTGGGCAATTGGTTTTTGTTAGAAAAGTAAAAATATATGTTCTCAGAGAGCTCCCTATAGAATGTCTTGGAAACCACTGAAGAGGAAGAAGTCACAGATACAGCCACATAGAGAAGAATATAGCATAACTATTGAAAATTTTGTCTCTGGTTTCAGACTCCTTGGGTTTAAGACTGATTTCTACCTTTTTTTTTTTTTTTGCTGGGTAAGCTGGGATTAGGTAATAAACCTCTCTATGCCTCTATTTCCTCACTTATGAAATAAACAGAATAACCTATTTCCTTGAGTCGTCGTGAAGATTAAATGAAATAAATGTAAGGAGCTGAGAAAGGTGTGTCTCTAGAGGATAATGTGTGATCAGTAAAAGTTAGCCATGATTTCCTCACTTAGCCTGGGATATATTTGCATATTGGTTAGGTAATAACCCTGTGACTTTTATGAATTCACTGCTGGCTCACCCAGTCTTTGAGATAGCACTCTGGCCAAACATCTCTGTATTGTAGCAGCTTCCCTAACTCTCCTAAGCATGGACTCTTTAACTCAATGCTATGTAGTTATTCATTCAGCTACTACTATGTGCCCGTCTCCTACCAAACACTGTGCCAAGTTCCGGGCTAATGAAAGGGCAATCTTTTGACCTCAAGAAACTTATAGGTCGGAAAGGTGAAACCCTTGTAAATAAAACAATAACAAGAATAATGACAATGATTACTTGTGATTAGAGGTATAGACAGAAGTGGACGAGAGGTTGGAGAATCATGGAGCAGCTTCTCATTCTATCTTATTTAGGATTGCCTTTGGCTGTCAAATTCAGAACTGCAACAATGCTTCATTATAAATGTTAGCCATTTGACCTGTCAGCTCCTCTTATTTGCAGTTTTGGGTTATGTAAAATTAAATAATGTCAAATTTCATTGATATTGTACCAGTGAAATCCCACATTTTCAACCAACTGAAAATGACAGATATAAGTTAAGACAGACTATCAGAACATAATTTTGTCACTGTCATCTAAGTCAGGGGTAAGCAAACTTTTTCTGTAAAGGGCCAGATGGTAAATATTTTAGGCTTCGTGGGTCATGCAGTTTGTCACAATTACTTGACTGTATCATTGTAGTGCAAAACCAAACATGGGCAATCTAAAAATGATGTGGCTGTGTTCCAATAAAACTTTATTTACAAAAATAGGCAGCAGATCTACAAATCTTAGTTTGTGGACCACCCTCCCCATCTAAGTGCCCATTTTCATTTGACAATGTCTTCACTCAAACATTCAAGACAAAATGATCCCACACCTTCAAAGATACAACAATCTCACTGTCTTATTTGCATTTTTCACTTATTTGTGAAATGCTTGCTTATATACGAGCTATAAGATGCATTGTCAAAAAAAGCAGTATTTATATCATTATTTTTAATGCTATAATTTTATGTAATACGTACGGCTGTTTTCTACAATGACCAGAAAAGCTGCAGAAGGAAAACCCTAAAGATTGTATAAGAATTCATTATTTTTAGAAACTTAAATGAGAAAGCCAGAGAGATCACTTACACTAACAGGCACAGTGGTTAAGAATGTGAATTCTTGCTATACTGCACAGGGTCAAGTCCTGGCTCTACCATTTACTAGCTTGTGACCTTGGATGGTTCTTAGCCATTTATTGCCTCAATTCTTCCTCTATAAAATGGGGCTATTAATATTTCTTCATAAGGTTATGGTGAAGATTAAATCAGATGACCAGTGTAATATTAATGGAACAGGGTACACAATAAGCACTTAACAAATGTAGCTATTGCTTTTGTTCTTTTCACTTTTGCTTGTGGAAGGCAACCTTACCTTGTGCTTGCCTTATTTTTTCTGCCAGGAAATGTGCTCTGAAGATCAAGAGGTCCTTCTCAGCAGGCTACAATATGATCAGCTGCAGCATAGATGTGTTGGACTCACCCCAAAGAGTCAAGATGGTCTTCAATGAAATGAAAGCAAATTTGGAATAACTCGGCTTTGACCTTGAGAAAGTTTCCTAAGCTTCAGCTACATATCTTGGAGTAGCTTTTATCTACCGTGGAATTTTTCCAAGACTGTTACATGAATCATGAGAAGGTTTCTTAGGCTGTCCTCACCATGTTTAAAGCAAGAGTATTTGGTGGCTATTCCTACAGGACTATTTTTTTCCTTTGCTGATTCCACTTTCTTTCTATTCTCATTGTCATCTCTACTGAGATATGTTTTGTGGTTGCAGCCAAAGTCTCTCATATATATGCATTTGGTAAAGGCCCAGAAGTCCTCTGTTTTTGACCTTCTCCAATTTTTCAGCAATCACTATGCCTTGTAGACTTGAGCCAGCTTAGAATACTAGGTAGAGTCAGTCTTGGACAGTTTTGTGCAACAGATTATCAAAGGGCACTCCAGATTTGCTGGGTAGATGGACTTTTAATTAAGCTGTATGTGCCAAGGTGTTTGAAAATTTTGAAACAAGAGAAAATTATGTGTAAAGTACCTAACTTTGTGTCTGGCATGTTCTAGGACAACACTGTTGAATGGAACTTTATGTAATAATGGAAATATTGTATATTTGTGCTGCTCATTACAGTAGCCACAGCCCCATGTGGCTCTTGAGCACTCGAAATGTAGCTCATGTGAGGAAGGAACTAAGGAATTAATGTAAGCACTTTTAATTTATTGGCCACAGTGCAGTTATAGGACAGGTTGCATGTGTTCTGTAATTCTTGCAAGTCTTGTCAAAGCAAGTAGTACAAGTTGAGTATCCTTTATCTGAAATGTTGAGACTAAAGGTCTTTCAGATTTCCATTTTTTTCCAGATTTTGGAATATTTGCATATACATAATGAGATATCTTGGGATGGGCTCCAAGTCTAAACATGAAATTCATTTATGTTTCACGTAGACCTTATACACCTATCCTGAAGGTAATTTATACAGTATTTCTTTAATAATTTTGTACATGAACTGAAGTGTGTTTTAGTACTTATACATGGAATTTTCCACTTGTGGTGAAATGTTCGTGCCCTAAAAGTTTCATATTTTGGAGCATTTCAGATTTTGGATTTTGGGGTTAGGGATATTCAACCTGTATACACTTAACTGCTTCATAGAAAAAGGACAAAAATCTCAGAAAAGTGAAGAAATTTTCCAAGGGTCACCAAACTAGCAAGTTGCACATGGTCAGGAAGGGATTTACACACTTCTCTCTCTGAAGCCACACCCGGGGGTTTTCTTCCACATCACACTACATAGTACTGTGCTGTAGCATTATGTTACTATAATTCTTTTCAAATTACCATAACATCAACTAAATGTTGTTATATGTTGGTAGAATTACTCTAACCTATTGTCTCCAGAGAATGAATTGGATGAATTGACTTGTGCCTAGGGAGAGAATTTGCAACTGCCTATGGAAAACCTGGTATTCCTTCCCCCTTGAAGACACTGCAGAGTAGGTTGTACCTCTCTCTTTCCTCACCACTGTGACAATGGACTACGATCTCAAAAGAACAGTCAGATATCACAGCAAGCTGGTAGTTTGGGGACAGCAGTGCATTTCTTTTGCAAACTTACACCAAATTGATTTCCCAACACATGTTTATAGATGTGCTCTCCTGAGCTCCACACACAGAGAACCATTTCCCTTTTGAACAGCTTGTCTGGTTACATCTTGTAGTAATTTATCTGTGTGCTCTCTGCCAACTAGTTTGTAGGGAAAACATGTTTGATACATAACAATAGATCATTTGGGGATAAATCAAACTCTTAATGAAGTCCTGCTTCTCTTCAGCCAGGCATTTCACTCTGAAGAGTCTCTCTGAGGCGCTGGTGACTTGAGGAAAGGGAACGTGGGTGCCCCAGTCTGCGAGACAAGTAGACGCATGGAAAGCTGGGTTTCTCCAAGACAAGACTAAAGACACAGCATCCCTGGGGTCCCTTCTCATGGAGTCCAACTAAAACCACTGAAGTTGGATTGGAGACTAGAGCCTGGAGACAGTTCAGATTAGACCTATGTTTGGAAGAAATGAGAGATCTATTTTGCCCAAAGCCTCACACTTTCCTTGGAGGGGAGCCATGACCGCCCACACACCCTTGTCTTTCCCAGTTCCTGTAGAGAAAGGAAAGTTACAAGGAGATAGAAAGTAAAAAGAAAAGAGGGAACGAAGGGGGAAGAAACAAGAATGAGCTGAATAGAAAAGCTGAAATGAAAGAGAAATGAAGTGGGAAGTAAGTGAGCAAGAAGGAAGGGAGAAAGAAAGAAGAAATACATCAAAAGTTTCAGTTTACAACCCTGTGTATCATAAACACTGTTACTAACAAGTTCTGGCTGAGTTCCTGCCATGTGCCAGGCCCCACTGCCAGACAGGATGCTAGGTGTTTTCATCCACTGCTAAGGACTAATTGAGACCTCGAGAGCTTGAGAAAACAGTAGTTCAGTTCTTGCAAAGCCCTTACCCGGAGAATCTACACCACACAGATGCCACCAAGAAATTATACAATCTGTCTTATAACCATTTTACTCTGGATATCTGGAAGTGGAGGGGTCAGAGACTGAATGGTGGAGAGGAAGGGCACCACTGAGAATCAGCTGATATAAAGTGTATAATCATATCGGTCTGTCCTCGTTTGAGGACATGCATCACCCATAGAAATGCTTAAATGCCAAGTAAAACACATCTTGTGCTTTGAGTCTGAACTCATGAACTCCCCCCGGGAGACTTTGCAGGGGCTGGTATATGCTTTTCCCTGAGTTGGGGGTGCATCTAAAACTAAATTCTGTGATTGTTTTCTAAGGAGAAAAATGAGCTGTGCTGGTGCTTTTCTTTAGTGAATGAGGAACTCTTCCATCAAGTAAACCCTTTGCCCCAGTCTTCTCTGGCTCCCACTGCCTCCAGGATCAAGTCCAAACCCTTTGTCCTGCAATCCAAGGCCTTCCACAGGCCGGCTCCAGACAGCCTTATCAACAGCGTTTTTCCAGCACTCTTCACTGTGAATGATCAATCCAGTTAGGCTTGTCTGCTCACGCTCCCTCTCCCCCAGCACACAATACTGCCCCTGAATTTGCCTTCCTATGCCTTTGTTCCCATGGTTCCTTTCAATCAGGAGGCTCTTGCTGCATCTCACCCTCTTCTAAAATGTAAACAAAGCTTCACAGCCCCATTGAAGGCAGGTCCCCTTGGGAAGAATTCCAAATCCATGGTGACGTTTTGCTCCTCTGAGCCTTCTCGATACCCAGTGTTGGTGCTACGGTGGTGGGGGCAATAGTATGTCATCCAGCGATGCCCCAGGGTTCTTATGAAAGAGATTATTCTCTCTGTCCTGCTGTACTTCCAGATCTCTTATATTCTTTTTTTCCTGTCGCCTCCCTTCATGTCCATCAACATTGCCCTGTTGTCTGTGTCTCCTCGTAAATTGTTCTCCAACTATCATTGCCTCCCCTCATTGCCAGGAAGCCAGATTACCAAGCAGCCCCCTAACCTCCATTAAAGAGAATAACTTCCTCCTCTCTCTCTCCTAAGGACTCTAAGGATCTGCAACTATTTACTGTACTGTTTATTTCATTCTGCAATATGAATAGCAATTCATATACATTTTTTGTCTTACAAATTAGATTGTAAGCCCCTTGAGTGCAGGAAATTGGGTCATCTTTGTTTCCCTCTCAGTCTTTACCATATTGGATCATATACAGATGATGCTCGATAAACACTTACAAAATGTATTTTCGTAATTATTTTATTTCCCAACTATGCCTTAAATATAGGCAGATACACTGAGTGAAGGCTTAGAGAGCCTTCTGATGAGTAAAAGCATTTCTGGAGAAATAGGAAACATCTGAAATATTTAGGGTGTAAGTCTTCTCTCCCCTGTGCATAGGATTCATTCTCAGGTAATCTTAGTTCTCATAGTGGAATGGTTCCCTTAAGGAAATTCAGTGAATTATTTCCCTAAGAAGAAGGGTGGATATAGGATGACTGGGGAAAAGTTTTTCTAAGTCAGGTACATCCAAGGATTGGAAACCAAGTCCATTAGGTTTCACCAGAACTAGAATTGAGAATGAACTCAAGGGGACAAAGCTGTGCTCTCAGCCTTTCAGGGCAACCTTGTGTCTTATCACTGGCTCTTTCAGTGCATGAAGTCCATTTTCCCCTCTCCAAGGACTTTCTCTACCACCCGGCTCAGCTTGCATAGGGCTTTGACTTGCTGTGATGCTAAGCGCATTTTGCAATGTCTCCAATTTTCTCCGTCACTAACTAGAAACAGTTGCTCAGCTTTCTAATTCCAAACTCTGAGCAAAGAATGTGATTATCCTTGTTCACTCTTTCTTGTCTGGCCAGAAGTCTCTGGCAAGCTTCAGGATGGGCCACCTCTGATTCAGGTGCCATTTCTGGTGAAGTCAAAAGTCAACCCAGGGTGAGAAGTGGAGAGGTGGAGTGAGAGGTAACATTATAATAAATACAACTGCCCAAGCACATCCCACCAACAGAGCCTAGGAACAGGTATGATTATGATTCCCCTTTCATGGAACCTATTTACGAAGACAGACACTTTTATAATGGTGGAAAACACAAATTCCTAAAGGGATTAGACAAGCAATATACATGAGTGAAACAGTTCTGGTATAAGGCAATGGGAGATGGTGGCTCCAATAAATTGTTAATGTGTCAACATGTTGCCATAACTTTCAGTTTTTAAAGAGGTGCTGCTAAGTATGGATTTTAGTGTAAAGTTTCTGAGTTTTAAAACAATTGTGCAAGCCAAACCAAACCTGTCTGTGGGCCATATTAGTCCTGCAGGCTGTCAGTTTTCAGGCCCTACTTTAAAAACTGATATACAAGCCAGATATCCTAAAAGTAAGGTAAATGACATATGGGCAATGGGCTCATTATTGTAATCTATGTTTTCACCATATATCATTTGCATATTAATCCCTCACTAGGTATTTATTAGCTAACTTTTTTTTTTTTTTTCAGATATTGTCTCGCTCTGTCACCCAGGCTGGAGTGCAGTGACGTGATCTCGGCTTATTGCATGCTCCGCCTCCTGGGTTCACGCCGTTCTCCTGCCTCAGCCTCCCGAGTAGCTGGGAATACAGGTGCCCGCCACCACACCCGGCTAATTTTGTTTTTGTATTTTTAGTAGAGATAGGGTTTCACCATGTTAGCCAGGATGGTTTCGATCTCCTGACCTCGTGATCCGACTGCCTCGGTCTCACAAAGTGCTGGGATTACAGACGTAAGCCACTGCGCCTGGCCTTGGCTAACTTATTAAAATAAATTATTTGCTTTGGATTATTTTGAGACTCTCATTTGCATTTTCATCATTTCAGAGCTCCTCCAACTTCTTGCCCAAGCTCATGTGATACTATCTTTACCTAACTAGGAGAAGACAAGACTCCAGGGAGGTTTTAGCCTGCGACTTCATAAAAGATCACTTTTGAGAGATGATCTCTCATTAATGACCTTTCCTCTGATTTCTCAAAGACCACCCAGGCCTCTGGCTTGAAGATGAAGCCAGGACTAAGCCAGCAGGGTAATCGGGAAAAAAAAACAAACCCTCATGCCTTGGGAGCTGTAGAAGATAGATTTTGCAAGGTTGGTTGCAAAAGCCAGAACAAATAGGCACGTACATGTTCATGGGAAGGTGGTGAATAGATGGAGAGTGGAAACATGTGATCACCAAGTTCACCAAGTTATTCACAAGATTGACCATGCTTTGTTGAGAAATCTCCATGATACTCAATGTTCAGGGCAAGTTTCCAGAGGCAATGAGTGTTGGCTGTTTCTCCCAATCAAGAATAAGCCTACTCCACAGGGTTGAGTGATGCTTAAATACCTCTCCAAGGGGAAGATGAATGTGGCCCATGGGCTGTTTCTTACAGAAATACATGGTTTGGGAAGAACCAGTGTCATTTCCATTTGCCAAACATTATACCACATGATTGGGGGAGAAAAGAAATCCTCAAATGTCAGTTGAATGTTTTGTCCCAGAGATGAGTTTTGAGAAATAGAGCCAGTGCAAACCTAGCATAGAAATTCCTGTGAGTGGGGTCTTCTCCCTTCTTTTTAAAATGCCATGTGTTTGTGTGTGTGTGTGTGTGTGTGTGTGTGTGTGTGTGTATGCCTGCATGTGCATACATGTGTGCCTGCCCATGTGTTTTCTTGAAATAGGATATTTTAATAGAAAAAACACATTTGTTAAGTGTACGGATGAATAAATTATCTTAAAATGAACATATTCATATAACCACCACCCAGGTTAAGAAATAGAATATTATCAGTACTCCATAAGCCCCCCTACCATGCCACTCCTAGGTTTTTGCCCCCTCCAATTCCCCAAAGATAGCCATATCTTGGTTTCTAACACCATAGTTTGGTTTTATCTGTTTTTCAACTTCATATAAAATGAAACCTATTGAATATACTTTCTGTATCTACTTTTTGCAATAATCAATTTTACTACAATATAATATTTTATCATAAGAATGTGCTATATTCTTATGATGAAATATTATATTTTTATTCTACTATTGAAGAAAATCTAATTTATTTTCAGCTTGGGGCCATTATACATAATGCTGCCATGAAATTCTTGTTCAGACTTTAGGTGTTCTTAGAAATGTAGGAATTTCTGTTTGATTTATATCTAGAAGTAAAATTCTTGGGTCATAGGAAAGGCATATTTCAGCGTGGATAGGCACCATAAAAGAATTGTCCAAAGTGGTTGTACCAATTTATACCAATGAGTGAGAATTCCTATTGGGTTTTGCGTTTTCACCAGCTCTTGTATCATTGGGCTTTTTAACTTTAGCCATTCCGATGTATGTTTTCATCCAGCAGTTGGAAACACAGCAATTTTTAAGGTTTATTATACTATGCAAACTTCTGGTTGCATGTGACTTTGGTGTCACTCGAGTATATAACCAATATTTTTAAAATCTTTTATTATAATATTTTTAATGTACCCATGTACACGATGTTTATACAGCATTTCAAACAAAATCCAGTAGGCCTTAAACTGAATCTGAAAAAATGCAGAACCAATCTTCATACCCTTGTTTATGTGCCCCACCACCACCCAGCACTCTTCCCACCGTCTTTTGCCCTTTTAGAACTCTCTCATTCTGCAGGGCTGAGCTCCATCCCCTAACCAGGCCCCCTGCAACCTCCCGACCCCTACCAGCCAAGCCTTCTTTGATTACATCACCCCTCATTTATTGCCTGCTCTTTGCAATTTCTATAGCACTTTCAGTGTTTTTCAGACTTTTCTGAAGTACTTGTAAAATTACAAATTACTAGGCCCCATCCCGGGAGAGAGTCCTTGGAAGTGTTTTGGTTTACAAATACGCCAGGTGATTGTGATCATTGGGGATATCTGATGAATATCCAATGCCACAGAATTTAAGAGAAATAGATAAAAGTAGTCCCAAATTATGACCACCCCAGTTAAGAACTGGGTTCTTAATATGACTGGTTACTTACTCAGTTCCACCAAATATCCTCCTCCTGCCACTCTCACACCTTCCCTAGACCTAGCCCCAAGAACTGCAGAAGATGCAGATCCTAGAGACTTCACCTATGAACCAACCCATTGGAAAGTAAATAATGCAGCCTTGCTACTCAAAGTGTGGTCCCTGGACCGCAGCATCAGTACCACCTGGAAACTTGCTAAAAAGGCAGAACCTCGGGTCCATTCCAGATTTACTGAACCAGCATCTGAAGTTCATCAAGATCTCCAGGTGATTAATATCTATATTAACATTTGAGAAGCACTACTTTATTATGTGTTTGCAGAGAACTACTAGATGGTCTGGGGATCCCTGAGCAACATAGAAATGGCATGAGCTTTGGAATCAGACAGTCATTAGTTTGAATCTCAGTTGTGTGGCTGGCATGAGCTTCGGAATAAAATGGTCTTTAGTTTGAGTCCCAGCTGTGTGGCTGACAGGAAAGTTACTTAATTTCCATATCATCAAAAGTCATCGGCAAAATGGGGCTAATAATTTCTACCACATGGGGATGTCTTAAAAGTTAATGAGGTAACCTAAGTAAAGTACCTGCTTCACAATAGGTGCTCACTCACTGATGGCAATTTGCTTTACATAGTGCCTGGCACACGACAAGTGCTCAAAATGCTATTACAGCTGCTGGTCTCAGAGGAGGTGGTCTAGATATTATTGTTATTATTACTATTATTTTATTTTGAGACGGAGTCTTGCTATGTCACCCAGGCTGGAGTACAGCGGCATGATCTCAGCTCACTACAGCTCCCAGGTTCAAGTGACTCTCCTGCCTCAGCCTCCGGAGTAGCTGGGATTACAGGCACCGGCCACCACACCCAGCTAATTTTTTTTATTTTTATTTTTAGGAAAGACAGGGTTTTGCCATGTTGGCCAGGCTGGTCTTGAACTCCTGACCTCAAGCAATCCACCTGTCTCACCCTCCCAAAGTGCTGGGATTACAGGCATGAACCACTGCATGGCCGATAATATCATTATTATTAACCTGAAAGTGTTTACAATCTAGGAACAAAGTAAACACATAAAAAGTTGAAAAAAGATTATTATTACAAGAGACTCCATCCCCAAGTTGCAGGTCCTATAAGAATTAGGATTCTAAGAAAGTAAGCATTAAATATATTTCAGAGCAGAGCAACTAACATATCTAAGCCTTTAGTTTATGGTACGCATAGATTTAACTATCTTATTCCATACACCCAACTATAAATTAGACAGGTACTATTATGATTGCTCCCATTTTACCACTGAAACAATTGAACTTCACAAGGTTAAGTAACTTGTCCAAAGTCACTTGAATATTAAGTGGTGAAGCCAAGTCTCCAGAACACAGACCTTTTTTTTTTTTTTTTTTTTTTTTTTTTTTTTGTGGACAAGTTCTCACTCTGATGCCCAGGCTGGAGTGCAGTGGTGCCATCATGCTCACTGCAGCCTCAACTTCCTGGGCTCAGGTGATTCTCCTAACTCAGCCTTTGAGTAGCTGGGACTACAGGCACATGCCACCATGCTGGGCTAATTTTTGTATTTTTTTATAGAGGTGAGATCTCACTATGTTGCCCAGGCTGGTCTCAAACTCCTGGGCTTAAGTGATCCTCCTGCCTCAGCCTCCCAAAGTGCTGGGATCATAGGCATGAGCCACCGTGCCTGGCCAAAACACAAACTTGTAATGCTGAACAATTTTCTTCAAGTGATTCTTCAAAAGTGAGAGAAGCCACTATAGCTGGAGTGAGTTAGGAGACTTCTCTGAGGAGACTAGGATTCATCAGAGCAGTACAGACTGTATAGAATTTGACAGAGAGGTATTCAAGAGAGATACATTCTTATAACACTGGCAACATCTTGGATACAAGATTATGTCATAGTTCACAAAGTGCATTCACAAACTTTCATTCAGGGCTACGAAGATAGAATATAAATCATCCCTGTCTTGATGATCTTAACATCTATAGCTTTTAATTTATTCTTCAGCTACCAAAGGAGCTTGGTATTAGCTTCATTATGCAGATAAGAAAAAGAGAAGTTTAAGTGGCTCATGTATGATAATAGCAATAATAGGTGATGATCCTGGAAGCTGAACTCAGATCTCCAGAATCTAAGTCTAAGGTAATTTTATTATTTGCCCCTTTAGGAAAAGAGATAGATGCTAGGATAACCAACCGTCATGGTTTTTTCAGAATAGAAGATTTTCTCAGGATGCAGGACTTACAGGAAAGTCCTGGGTAAACCACGGCAAGCTGTCCACCCCAATGGAAGCTTAAGCCCCAAATGCATGCTTGAGAAACAACCCCTTTGGTTGAACCAAAGTGTTTATTGTGCTAAGGTAGAAATGCTGCTGTCACCAGTAAAAGATCCAGTACTCCACACTGTGTCCATTACCTACTCACTTCTTAGTTCTCAGCAATGCAGTGGCTACAGAACAGGCCTTCCTTCTTTGAGCACAGACTGCACTCCAAATTTTTATCTCTGTACTTACTTCTTCCCTCAGAACTTGCTGCTGCTATTGTGTGTGTGTGTGTGTGTGTGTGTGTGTGTGTGTGTGTGTATGTGTGTGTGTGTGTGTTGTGGTGTAGACCAGTGCTTCTCAACCTTTAATGTACATACAAATCATGTGGGGATCTTGTTAAAAAGCAGATTCTGATTCATTAGGGTTGAGTTAAAGTCCAAGACTCTGCATTTCCAATAAGCTCTCTGATGTGAAGGTTGCTGGCCATGGACTACACTTTGTAGAAGAAAGAACACCCGTTTTTGCAAAAGGAAACAGGAGCCCTTAGCCTTAAACAGCATTTAAATTGGTTGAATCCAAATAAATAGTTGATTTCCCTCTACCCTGAGACCTTCCCCTGGTGTCTGACAAGTACAAGCTTGCTCTCAAATAATCTGGATTAAAACCTACCACTGGCTAACTGGGTTACCTTAGGCAAATTATCTAATTTCTCTAAGATTCAGGTTCCCCACTGGTCAGGTCAGGTTGTTATTCTACTCACAGTCTTATTGTGAAGAATAAAGATAATGGCTACTGAGTATACACCACATTCCCAAATAAACACACATTATCTTTATTCTTCACGAAAAGACTGTGATCCGTTGATATGGTTTGGCTGTGTCCCCACCAAAATGTCACCTTGAATTGTAATAACTCCCATGTGTCAAGGATGGGGCCAGGTGGAGGTAATCGAATCATGGGGACAGTTTCCCTCATACTTTTCTTGTGGTAGTGAAAAAGTCTCATGAGACCTGATGCTTTTACAAATGGGAGTTCCCCTACACAAGTCCTCCTGCCTGCTGCCATGTAAGGCATGACTTTGCTACTCATTCACCTTCCACCATGATTGTGAGGCCTCCCAGCCATGTGGAACCATGAGTCAATTAAACATCTTTCCGTTGTAAATTACCCAGTCTCAGGTGTGTCTTTATTAACAGTGTGAGAACAGACTAACACATTCATGTTACTGTTAAAAGTTTCCCTTGCTGGAATGCTTATACACTGCTGGTGGGAAAGTAAATTAGGTCAGTCAATGTGGAAAGCAGTGTAGTGATTACTTGAAGAACTTAAAACAGAATTACCATTCTAACCAGAAATCCCATTATTGGGTGGATACCCAAAGGAATACAAATCATTCTAACATAAAAACACATGCATATGTATGTACATTGCAGCACTATTCAGTATAGTAAAGACATGTAATCAACCTAAATGCCCATCAACAGTAGACTGGATAAAGAAAATGTAGTATATACACACTGTGGAATACTCCGCGGCCATGAAAAATAATAAGATTGGCCTAGCGCAGTGGCTCACGCCTGTAATCCCAGCACTTTGGGAGGCCAAGGCAGGTAGATCATGAGGTCAGGAGTTCGAGACAAGCCTGGCCAACATGGTGAAAACCCCATCTCTACTAAAAATACAAAAATTAGCTGAGTGTGGTGGTGGGCGCCTGTAATCACAGTTACTTGGGAGGCTGAGGCAGGAGAATTGTTTGAACCCAGGAGGCAGAGGTTGCAGTGAGCCGAGATCACACCATTGCACTCCAGTCTGGGCGACAGGGTTAGACTCTGTCTCAAAATAATAATAATAATAATAATAATAATAAGAAGAAGAAGAAGAAGAAGAAGAAGAAGAAGAAGAAGAAGAAGAAGAAGAAGATCACAGTCCTTCACAGCAACATGGATAGAGCTGGATGTCATTATGCTAAGCAAACTAACACAGGAACCAAAAACCAAATAGTCCGTGTTCTCACTTATAAGTGAGAGCTAAACAATGAGAACACATGGACACAAAGAAGGGAACAACCAACACTGGGGCCTACTTGAGGATGGATGAGGGAGAGGATCAAAAAACTACCTATTAGGTACTATGCTGATATGGTTTGGCTGTGTCCCCACCCAAATCTCATCTTGAATTGTAGTTTCCATAATTCCCCCATGTCATGGGAGGGACCCAGTGGGAGATCATAGGGGCAGTTTCCCCCATTCTATTCTTGTGATAGTGAGTGAGTTCTCAGGAGATCTGATGGTTTTATAAGTAGATTCCCCCTTCACTCAGCACTCATTCTCTCTCCTGCTGCCCTGTGAAGAGGTGCCTTCCACCATGATTGTAAGTTTCCTGAGTCCTACCCAGCCATGCAGAACTGTGAGCCTATTAAACCACTTTTCTTATAAATTACCCAGTCTCGGGTATTTCCTCATAGCAGTGTGAGAACAGACTAATACATATGCTCATTTCCTGGGTGATGAAATAATCTGTACACCAAACCCCTGTGACACGCAATTTATCCATTTAACAAACCTGCACATGTATTCCTGAACCTAAAATAAAGAATTTTTTTTAAAGTTTCCCTTGTTCAAAAAGATGAAACAAATTTTGAAAATCCGCAGCATCATGAGTTGAGAAAGTGGAAACTGTGACCTATTTCTCAGAGATATTTGCCTTAAAGCTCTGATGACCCACAGAAATTCATCTGCAAATAGCAGCATTTCTGGTTTCCTTCATCCCTTTATTCAACAATATTTACTCAGGCATGTATGTGATGTGCACACACAGGAATGAACAGAACAGGCCAGGCTCCTGCTTCCCCAGAGCTTGCCTTCTCAGCAAGGCTTTAAAAAATGCAGAGCGAGGGACTCAGAAAGATGAAAAGGACCCTCGAATCACATTCCAAGGGTTTCCTGGCATCCAGAAATGACTCCCGGTTCTAACATTGGGGGTGCCCTTGCATGAAGCCATTGCCCACGGACTGCTTCTTGGTCTGGCTGCTGAATGTTCCAATGGAGTAATCAACACACTGACCTTTACTTTCCTAATAGGTCAAAAAAATGTGAGGTGAAGAGACGATTTCAACAATATTGAGAAGAGGCCACTTCTAGAGAATGTGCTTCTTGGGAGCAAAGTCTTTCCTGTCCTGCACTGTACCACACACGTATATGGACTTGCTAGCTCATGTTGGACATGTGTCCACATGAGAAATGGCAGGAAAAACCACTGTACGTGGTAGATGAGTAGACAAATTGAGCTACAGGTGGAGGACTATGATGAGAACCTCTTCACAGGGATGTCAAGCTGCATCGGTGCCTCTCCCTCCCCTAGGAGTCTTGGGCTTAAAAGTATGAGGCTCACAATGTCTTTGTGGATGAAGACTGAGTGACCGAATTCATGCATCACTGGCAGTGGCATAAACTAACATCCGAAGACCTCATCCCAGCAAGCAGGGAGAATCCACTTCAAGATCTACAACAGACTAAAGCTTGGCACTCCCTGACAAAATTATTCCAGCTGGTTTCCATCCACGCAAGACGCTAATGTGTGTTAAATGCACTTGGTAAGCAGCGGAGCCCCACTTCATCTTCCTTTTACTGAGCAGCTATCTCCCAGGGAGGAAGATCCAATAAATGTCGAGAAGATTATAACTCCAGGCTGTCCAAGGAAATGAGGTAGGTAGCTGGCTTTTGCATGAGGGAATTTAGAAGATTATCAGAACACCTAATTAGAAGAGATTTTGTTAAGCTCCTCCTGCCAACTTTCCTGTAGATAAGGGTCAAACTGTGGGGCCCTGTTCTGGACCATGACGGAAGCAGGCAGCCATAGCCTCCTCTCAGCATGACACACCCTTCAAGTTAGTGGAATCTATGTAAACAGCTGATTCCACTGATCACGGAGGCTTCCCTCTGGTGTCTAATAAGTAAAGGTTCCCTTTCAGTGTTTGCCTCTTCTCCATGTCTCCCTTATGAAATGTGATGCTAGCTATAGAGTTGGAAGGACAAAAGAGCTGAGTAAGTGTGATTTATTATCCAGGATTGTTTTCAAACTTTTTCCAATTATACACATTTTTCTTCTGGCTTTGACAGACCTGGATGTATGAAGCTATTCTTGTGGTCACTAATGGGCCAAAAAATTGGGCCCCAAGTATTTCCTTAGGGATGTATTACTGGCCTTTAGTAAGTTGCTTATGGCATTAGTTCTGTTGAATGCAGTTAATTAAATGAGAAAATTAATGCTTACTCCCGCTTCCCCCTACTATCTGCCTTCCTGCCCTCCATGTACACCAATACTTAACTTGGGCTCATTTCAGAAGGGAACCAGGAAGCTGTCAGATCAACAGAGTTGGAAGCCCAGGCTGGTTTGGAGTGCTATCTTCAGAATTTATCTATTCTCACCCGCTGGGGAGCAAATAATGGGCTGAGGAAGACAAAAGGGCTGTATTTTAAAGTTGTGGGGCAAAAAGCAATGGGTTGGTGGACATGGACCATGGTTTATGGTCCCAGGTTGGATGCTGATTTGATGTGTGACCTTGAACAAGTCACTTCTCTCTTTGTATTGCAGGTTCCTGATCTGTAAGTAGTGGATAAGGATACTACCCATATCTTGTTTCTTGGCTTTCTTGTGGATCAGAGGCTCATTCTTTTATCCCACCCACTTACCTGTTAGCATTCTTTAGAATATTGGTTTGTGTTCCATTCTTCCTATGTCTTCCTGCAGTGATCTCAGTTCTAATCTTTAGCTTTGGCATCTATGCAGGTGACCACAAAATTTGTATCACCAGCTTCAACTTCTCTCCCAAGTTACAGTCTTAAATAGCCACAATACTAATTTGGATACCTTGTAGGTGGGTATTTTGCTTTATAAAATTTACTGTCCTCCTATCAAAACTCACCCAGGACACACCACAATCTTTAAATAAAGACCACAGTATGGCATAAGCAGGGTATAAACTCTGAGTTCCAAATCTAGTACTTCTAACTGTGTGACTTGGGTGAGCCACTTAAGCATACCAAGCTTGAAGTGGTGATGGTCAGGCTACGGTAAAGACTGGAGACAGGATAGAGAAAAGTATTGGCAGACTACCTGGTATGTCATAGAAATTCAATAAATCATATCATTCTTCTTACTATTAAGCTCTTCTTGGAATTTATATAATGCCTTTACTCTCAGATTACCTTTTATGTCTATTACCCATATTTCTCAAATACAGAACAAATAAGTATTTAAAAGGTTGACTGTGTAGAGATGTTCTAGACACTGAGCCTTATTTTCTCATTGAGTTCCACTATTCATTTGGAGATAAGTTCATCTGGAGACAATAATAATTTTAAATTACCCTAAAACTCTAAGAATGCAGCAAAGTCTTCTTCAAAACAGAACATTGATAATGTTATGATAAAATTCTAGTATTAGCATTCAACAATCCATCACTCACATAAAAATGTATGTAAACTGAAAATACTATGTCCAAATTGTGGGAAACAGTGGGATATGAAAGGTTCCTTCCCCTCATTAGATTTAGATAAGAAATGGGGAAGGATTCCTTATTTAATAAATGGTGCTGTGAAACTGGCTAGCCATATGTAGAAAGCTGAAACTTTCAGCTTTCTGAAAAGTTTGTAGAAAACTAGATCCCTTCCTTACACCTTATACAAAAATTAATTCAAGATGGATTAAAGACTTAAATGTTAGACCTAAAACCATAAAAACCCTAGAAGAAAACCTAGGCAACACCATTCAGGACATAGGCATGGGCAAGGGCTTCATGTCTAAAACGCCAAAAGCAATGGCAACAAAAGACAAAATTGACAAATGGGATATAATTAAACTAAAGAGCTTCTGCACAGCAAAAGAAACTACCATCAGAGTGAACAGGCAACCTACAGAATGGGAGAAAATTTTTGCAATCTACTCATCTGACAAAGGGCTAATATCCAGAATCTACAAAAACTCAAAACAAATTTACAAGAAAAAAACAAACAACCCCATCACAAAGTGGGCAAAGGATATGAACAGACACTTCTCAAAAGAAGACATTTATGCAGCCAACAGACACATGAAAAAATGCTCATCATCACTGGCCATCAGAGAAATGCAAATCAAAACCACAATGATATACCATCTCATACCAGTTAGAATGGTGATCATTAAAAAGTCAGGAAACAACAGGTGCTGGAGAGGATGTGGAGAAATAGGAACACTTTTACACTGTTGGTGGGACCGTAAACTAGTTCAACCACTGTGGAAGTCAGTGTGGCGATTCCTCAAGCATCTAGAACTAGAAATACCATTTGACCCAGGCATCCCATTACCGGGTATATACCCAAAGGATTATAAATCATGCTGCTATAAAGACACATGCACACGTATGTTTACTGAGGCACTATTCACAATAGTAAAGACTTGGAATCAACCCAAATGTCCATCAATGATAGACTGGATTAAGAAAATGTGGCACATATACACCATGGAATACTATGCAGCCATAAAAAAGGATGAGTTCATGTCCTTTGTAGGGACATGGATGAAGCTGGAAACCATCATTCTCAGCAAACCATCGCAAGGACAAAAAACCAAACACCACATGTTCTCACTCATGGGTGGGAAGTGAACAATGAGAACACTTGGACACAGGAAGGGGAACATCACACACCAGGGCCTGTGGTAGGGTGGGGGGAAGGGGGAGGGATAGCATTAAGAGATATACCTAATGTAAATGATGAGTTAATGGGAGCAGCACACCAACATGGCACATGTATACATATGTAACAAACCTGCACATTGTGCACATGTACCCTAGAACTTAAAGTATTAAAAAAAAAAAAGAACTATCTGAACATCCAAAAAAAAAAAAAAAAAAAGGTGCTTTGGCAATATTGGTTTCATAGCTAATCAAGGCAGAGTTTCTATCCAGCTTGTATTAGTCCATTTTCACACTGTTGATAAAGACATACCTGACACTAGGGAAAACAAGAGGTTTACTTGAACTTACAGTTCCACATGGCTGGGGATGCCTCAGAATCATGGCAGGAGGAAAAAGGCACTTCTTACATGGCAGCAGCAAGAGAAAATGAGGAAGAAGCAAAAGCAGGAACCCCTGATAAACCCATTAGATCTCATGAGACTTATTCACTATCACGAGAATAGCACGGGAAAGACCGGCCCTCATGATTCAATTACATTTCCCTGGGTCCCTCCCACAACACGTGGGAATTCTGGGAGATACAATTCAAGTTGAGATTTGGGTGGGATCACAGCTTTTTTAAAGCTTCTCAGACCTTTTAAAATAATGACCTCTCTTCAGAGACCACATTTATACTTTTGCCACAAGATAAAATGAAAAAAAAAAAAATAATAACCCATAATATACTCCTGAAGAGGAGGGTCAAGAACCTTGAAATACAAAGGCAAGCGGAATTGCTCTGGAATCCCTGGTCCAGTCACTCACTTGTAGTCAGTTACATTTCTATTTCTCACCTGTCCTCCTCAGACCCAGTACTGGGAACAAATGCCTGTCTAAGTGTTGTATTGTCTCTGTTACTGTTGCTGTCATCATTGTCATCATCTTGTTGTAGCTTTAGGGCTTTTCTATTTGCAAAACTCAGTGCTTCAGCATGAATAGTTAAATGGGGTGAACATACTTCTTTTGAAATTGGCTCTCTGTTATGTAAGCAATGTTGTAATAGAAACATATATATTTAGATTAATGAGCTAATGAAAGATGGTGGTATCGTAATTGTCAAAATATATCTATGGGAGGTAGAGAAGATACAGATTACTCCTTTTTTTAACAGGAAGGAAAACTGTGTAAGACCAGTTATATTTTTTGCTCATAACAAAAATGACCAGTGTGTGGCCCTCTTAAATGATGCTTTGCCACTAGTACCAAATTGGGGGTGGGAGAGAGTCATCATTTTCCTACAAGTAAGAAAAACACCGAGAACACACACACACACACAAGTATATGGACACACACAGAAAAACACACAAACACACAAACACACATACTTGCACATGTTTCTAACTTAGATATGACGGCTTAAAGGAAGAATTGAGGGAATACAACAGACCCTTAGCTTGTAGTAGAAACTTTTAACACTGGAAAGTTCTAACTTTAGAAGGTCTTCTGAGCTCCAGTGGGCAAGAAGCTATTTGGCATACTGTAAATAGACTAGAACCACAACATCAAGGGTAGGAGACTGATAGTTACAGATTCTTCCTTAGAGATTCTCTAGTTACCAACTGTCATAATATCTATTAGCAAACAACAGCAATAAAAAAAAGCATCCTTAGAAATTTGGAATAGAAATCTCCTGTTTTCCTGTCTTTTACGTGGTCCCCTTTTCAAGTACTTTCTTATATTCTAGAAGAAGAGATTCAACAAGCAATTGGATATTATACAAGTGATTCACGCATTAGAAATGTAATTGAATTTAATGAACTTGATGGTCCTTGCCTACCCTAAGATGCTGTGATCCTATAACTTTCATGTCATACAGCTGTGATGACACCATCTCCTTCTGCATCCTATGATGTCATTGTTTGGTACCATAGCAAGTGAGATATGCACCTGTATGTTCATGTGCAAACCATCCAGGAGAAGAGTAACTAATTTTTGTATCAGTTAAAGAACAACTGGTTAATAAATTAATTTCTCTTGGGATCATAACGTTCAACTCCTCGGGATATTATAAAAATCTAACCCTGTCAACACCAACCAAAAACCTATGTGTTCAGTATAAGATGACCAGAATCAACACTTGCATTTTGCATTTAGAAAAGTGAAAACTGAAGAGGCAAGAATCAAAGGCGAAGGTTACATGAGGATCCAGGTCTCTGGTATTTGGGTTCCAAAATTTTCTTGGTAAGCTCGCTTTTCTTCATGTTGAACTGTACCCAATTTATTAACAAAGATAATTCAGTGCCAAAGTTCTAAATTGCATGGAATGGTCACCATGAGTGCATGTGGGAACCCAGGACAAAATAAATGTTCACTGTAATACAAAAGAGATGGTAAGTTGTCTTGAGTATATTTCAGTGTTATTGATATTTTGTCCACAAGATGGTAGCGTACACTTTCCAGTTAATGTAAAGCTGGCCTGTGATCCTAATTTCCCGTAAACTAGAGAATGGTTGGTGTTGAACGAAGGCCAGCCACTCTGGATATCACTCAGTATTTTTTTTTTATTGTGATGAATTGTTGATTTTAAGTATATTTAGTACTGCTATAGCAAGGTGGGGATTCAACTGAAATAAAGAACACTCAGAAATGCATTGCATTCCAGCTTCTTAAAGGGAATTTGAGAAGTGGGAATACTTTGGACATCTAAAAACCACACACCAAGGATCAGATACTGACATTTTTAAAAAAAAAATCCACTTTAGTACATTGTGCAAAAGACATTCAGGATGTCAAGTTCAATTAATCTTTGGTGAAATTTTGCACTGTAACAAAGTTCCTTCCATGAAATGAGTTCAAGAGGACTATAGATGTTTTCCCCTCAAATCCAGAGGGAAAGTAAGACCTTAGATGTTATGACATTTCCATGAGCTAAATAAGAGGGCAGTATTAGCAAGCTAGCCTGCTCTTCTGTTGTGTGCCTCTCTCCCTCAGCTAGCCCCATGTCAGAGGGGACAAGACACAGATGGCAAAAACATCTGGCCTGTCTGCCTCTATTGACCAGAGGGCCTTCTTTGAGGTTCTCAGGCTTACTTTATCTTTTTTTGAACTCTTTTTAAAATGAGAAGCTCAAGTGGGATTTCCTTTCATCTTACTATATTATTTTCAAATTAAATTAGGTCTAATGCCCTGTATCAGAATTACAAAAGCAGGGCTCCAGGGCATATAAGTGACTTCCTATTTTGTTTTTCAGAACAGCTGAGCTCCCCACCTGGGAAGGAGAGAGACAGATGAGCCACGAGCAGAAGGTGGGGTAGAATAAGAGCTGAGGGCAGGAGGGGAGGCCCTGCAGCCTCAACTCTAGGGTTTGCCCTTCCAATGGGCTTCAGCATCAAATCAAGCTTCCTCAGACCTCCAGAGTCCAGCCCTATCACAGCTATCTATTTTATTCCCCTTGTTCTGCAACATGCATCCTCTGATCTAACCTTAGAGAGGTCACTTTGCTGCTATCTATTTGGTTCTCACTGCCTTTATTGTTAGGCTTTGCCTTTCACATTGGTTTTTGGTTCCAGTAACTCCAACCTCAATCAGAAATTCCATGGCTCCAGCTTACTTATGAGAATTTATTTCTCAAACTTTCTCAAGAAGCAATGCAAACGGCGGATGTAGTCACCTTTTTTTTAAGGAGTATAGAGTGATGATTATGAAAATAAGAGAAAAGTATACTTTAAAACATAGAAATAGGCAGCTTTTAAGTCTAGCCATGATTATGACTGGGTAACCCTTCTGCTTTCCATTAAAAACTGGGTATCTTCTCTTCTAGGTCAACACATTTCATGATATGTCTGCCTAACTATATGGCAAATCCAATGAAACCTGATGGGGTTTTCTGTCCCTCTTACCCCTGATAGGGTGTTCTTTACTATAAATAACCCCATAAATTATATGTGATGAGCTAAATATTAGCAAGAGGAGTTCACCTCAAAAAATGCCTCACTCTGTAACCCCCAGAGGCCTTAAGCCTGCTTCTGTGGAGGATTGCAAGGCTCTGTTAAGGCCAGAGTGATGTTAAGATGCTGCAGAAATGTGTAAAGGGGTGGGAAAACCATAGAGATAGAAAGGAAGCAAAGATGGAAAGAGAGCAGCAGAAGAAGGACCCCCGGTGACCACTGGTGACTCAGCGAATAGACTGAATGGGAACTCTGGTGTTGCACCATGCTCTGGATTCTCTACATTTCTGCATTTAAATAATGGTTATGATTGTTTCCTCCTAGACATATACTCTGTCTGCTTGTCTTTCTAGATAACATAAGGCAAAACAGAGAGTTATAGAAACATGGTTCCTCGGTTTGAGATTGAGTGTCTCGAAGAGCTCTTCAGTGTTTTGAGGCACTCATCATCTTTCATGCTTGATCCATTTATCATCTATCTACCTATCATCTATCTATATTACAGTGTAATAATTTTTTTCACTTAATAATCCATCATCAACCTTTTCCCAGATGGTTAAATAATTTTTAAAAGATACGATCTTCAACAGCTGCATTACATTCTATCATATGGAAGCACCAGGTGTGCTTTGGCCATCCGCACATGGTTGGGCATCATTTGACAGAAGCTGTGTGAAGATGGAGTGACTGATCTCCAAGACATTGTTATCTCCTTGCCCATGGAAGAGGGAAATCGTAGGCTGGACTGCACATGTTGAGGAGGAACATTAGCCCTGAATAGGTGATTGTGCCACACCTTCAGACTGAAAGTCTGAGACTCCAGCTGACTGAATGGGCTTCCAGTCATCCAGGCCAGAGCACTGCAGGAGGAAAAACACAGACAAGTGCCACGACCTGGGGCCATTGTTCAGCTCTCTGCAATTGTGGCCTCTTTCCCATTGGAAAGAGGGTCCTGACCTTATAGTCTAAAGGACATGTGCTTGACCCCAGAGTCACCTATGAAGGCAAGTATCGATTGACCTAAGCTCACACAAAGATTTATGTGTGGGAAAGTGGTGCTGCCTGAGGCCCACACTTAAGATTTACAGATGTTCTGCATATAATGTCATTCCTCTGTGTAGTGGAAATGAAGAAAATGTTCTGTTCTTAATTAAGAATCTAGATGGAGTTCAGGAGAAGGCACAGCCCAAAGTGAGCCCCGGGATCTAGGAGGTGGACCAGTGCCTGGACAGGGTGACTGGAGAGCCTACGTACAGGTTCTTTCTGCTACTGGGAAGGTGGAACACACTCTAAGTCCTATTACTATTATGATTAAATGCCCTCATTTCCTCTTTTATCCCAGCTTTTGTCTTTTTCAATAAAAAATAAATGTTCTGCCACGGGGCTGGAGATGAGGCATGCAAGTAGGAAACTGATAGGTTCCCATTGACTATACTCCCCTCTCCCCTTATGCGCTGTGCTGAGGTGGGAAAGAGAAGCAACATGAACAAGTACAGTTGGCTTAGGGGCTATTAGCACTCACCCAGGAATAGGGAGGACTGGGTCAAAGAACCAAGAAGAATGAACCAGAATGTGACTCCTGATGCCACCCCCATCTGAAACCTCAGCTCCAATTCAAATCAATATTTACTAAGCCCTACTTCTATGTCAGGGACTATACTAAAAAATGATAATCAAAAGATAAATTTATTTGTTCATACTACAAATATTTATTGATGGCCTATAATATGCCAGGCACAATGATAGGCCCTGGGGAAGCAATGATGAAACAGATAGAAGATCTCTGCTTTCATTGACCTTCCAGTCTAGCAGGCAATACAGATATTCAATTCAAAACAATTTAGCATTTTAAAAAATCATGTCATTATACCATTCTCTTCCCCACCCAAGTTCTGGATCACCTGAGAGAGACACGGGAGTCAGAATGGTAGAAATCAAAACACCAGGCCCGGCATGGTGGCTCACACCTCTAATCCCAGCACTTTGGGAGGCAGAGGTGGGCGGATCGGTTGAGCTCAGGAGTTCAAGACCAGCCTGGGTAACATGGCGAAACTCCATCTCTACAATCATACAAAAATTAGCTAGGCATGGTGGTGCTTGCTTGTAGTCCCAGCTACTTGTCGGGCTGAGGTGGGAGGATCACTTGGGCCTGAGAGGTCAAGGCTGCAGTCAACCGTGTTTGCACTACTGCACTCCACCCTGGATGACAAAGTGAGACCCTGTCTCAAAAAGAAAAGAAAGAAAAGAAAAGAAAAGAGAAGAGAAGAGAAGAGAAGAGAAGAGAAGAGAAAAGTGAAGAAAAAGAAAAGGAAGAAATAAGCACACCAGCTTTATGACTGATAAAACTGTTTGGAGCATGTGGCTTACTTAGCCAAGAGGGCTTTATAATGTGCCCCTGAACTGAATTTTTTCCACAAAACTATAGGCCTCCTTCACAGGGAACTAATTTAATCATCCGACTTATAGTCCCTGCAGAAAGACAGAGCCAAACATCATTAAGGTTCTCTGCCAATAGCACCCATTGCCAAGCAATCTGTGCCCACTTTCACCTTCTCCTATCTGACCAGCAGCCAACTCAGGATGGCCCTTGCCAATCAGCTGGGCCACACCTCTGGCTAAGCTCTGTTGGTTAAGAGAAGAAAAAGCTGAGATGGGATAAGAGACCAGAATTTTTACTCTAGTAGAGACCCCTCCAGAGAAAGTCAAAAGAGCGCAGGCTAAACACACTCCTTACAATTATGAAGAGTGCTCCAGAAAGAGCAGCCCAGGGGATTGTGAGAGAGCATGACACAGGGGCCTAACTTATTCCAGGAGTGGGGTGTATGAGCAAGGCATGGTTTCTGCTCTCAGGTAATTTACAGCCTCACCAATGGGGAGGGGGAATCAACATAAAACAGTGATGATAAATTATCTACTAGCAACATAAATTAGGTTCAGAAGAAGTATGAAGAGGGGTAGCAATTGATGATTGGCCATCATTATTTCCTGTTCATCTTTTAAGTACACCTCTTACCCCTATTATCTATAGTATTAGAAGACAATGTCATGCAGAGATGGTCTCTGCACTATTTCAATGTGAGAATAAATCAATAATAAAGTAAAAATTTCAGTCATTTAGGGATAAATTCCAAATCTGGATATCTAGGGATTTTTTTTTGTTTTTTTGTTTTGTTTTGTTTTGCTTTGTTTTATGCTTTGTTATTAGATCTGTTGGTTGTCTAAGAAACCACCATATCAATTGAGCTTTATGACATCATGTAAGCAAAATCTGAAATCCACCCAAAAGTGCAAACACATCTCAAAATACTTAAAATAAAAGCTGTTTTTTATTATAAAATTAGTGTATATTTGTTAAATATTTTAGAAAATGCAGAAGTGCCCCATCATTTAAACTCAGCCATGGTTATCACTTTGATATATTACTTCCTTTGCTTTGATTTTTTTCCCTCTGCATAATCTTTATTTTGTTTTCTTAGTGGTTTTGTTTTGCATGCATAATCAACTCTCAGTTATCTGCAATGGATTAACTAATTTGTGGATTAACCATCATTACATATCAGGCAAATAATCTGTGAGAAAATATTAAAGATATCACAAGTCAGTGAAAACCTTTATTAAACACATATCTATTGAATGCTTATTATGTGCCAATCACTCTTCTATGTGCTGGGGAATCAGAGATGAACAAGAAAATATGACTCCACTTCCCATTTAGCCTACATTTATCACCCCTGTATTGGAAGGCATCTATTGTCTGGCATTGTAATCAGCTGACACACAGAATTAACTACGTGAGGGAACATCTTCTCTTCTCTCACCTACAAGGAGAGGAGACATTCTTTACAGCATCCACTCTGCCCCTCACAACCCAGACAAACCAGGTTGGTGGCCCAGCAAAGGGAAACACTTGTGACAACTGTGAATTTTATAAACTCAAGGCTAGAGAGGGAGGTGTTAGGTGAGAAAAAGCAAGATAAAAGAGGAAGCACATTTCAATTCCACTCCTATATTCGGTTTTGGTTTTGTTTTGAAACAGTTTTGCTCTGTCCCCCAGGCTGGAGGGTAGTGGCATGATCTTGGCTCACTGCAGCGTCTACCTCCTGGGTACAAGTGATTCTCATGCCTCAGCCTCTTGGGTTGCTGGGATTACAGGTATGCACCACCACGTCTGGCTGATTTTTGTATTTTTTTAGTAGAGATGGGGTTTTACCATATTGCCCAGGCTGGTCTCAAACTCTTGGCCTCAAGTGATCCTCCTGCCTTAGCCTCCCAAAATGCTGTGACCACAGGCATGAACCACCACACACAGCCTGTTCATTTGAATTTTAAGCTTATTTATATTCACTCTATGTGTTGATTTGTAAAGAAACACTTTTTCAAAAAATTTATTCTAGGCCCCACCCTCTCCAGAAGAAGCTCTCAGTTTATTAAAATCTTTTATGCCTCTCTTAGTTCATGACTAGTATTTTATGACTAGTACTTTATAATATATATAAAATATTGGGATAGTACATATAGTTATATGGATATATGGATATTATATCTGATACATTATTATGTATCCATTATACATACTTATATATTTATATATTTTATATATATTACAGTTGATATATTTTTCATGTCTTCAGGTTATTAGATATCTATAAAGGAATTTTGATTATTTATATTGTCTCAAATTTTTAAACCACTAATTGTTTTTCAATTGATTCTTTTTAAAGTATCAAATCATCTATAAATAAAAATAATATTCTATCTTTTTTTTTTTTTTTTTTTGAGACGGATTCTCGCTCTGTCGCCCAGGCTGGAGTGCAGCAGCATGATCTTGGCTCACTGCCTCCACCTCCCGGGTTCAAGCGATTCTCCTGCCTCAGCTTCCCAAGTAGCTGGGACTATAGGCGCGCATCAACACGCCAGCTAACTTTTGTATTTTTAATAGAGACGGGACTTCACCACGTTGGCCAGGATGGTCTCGATCTCTTGACCATGTGATACACCTGCCTTGGCCTCCCAAAGTGCTGGAATTACAGGCGTGAGCCACCATGCCCGGCCTCTATCTTCCTTTTTAATGCATCTGCCTTTTATACCTGTTCCATGTCTTTTACTCCTGTTCCATTGGGATTAGAACTCCCAATGAATAATAATAGTGGTGATAGCAACATATTTCTTTTGATCTTAGTTTTTGTCAAATATTCTGATATTTAAGTGTTATCTTTGGTTTATGATAGTTATTTTTACCATGTTAAGAAAAGTCTTCTGTTATTAGTGTTTTAGATTTTCACAGAAATGCACATTATGATTTATTAAATAGATTTTGGGCACTCATTTAATGATCAAAAGATTTCCTTTTTTATCTCATATATTATTGGATTCATAATTATAAAACTATTTGCATTTTTTACTTAGATATTCCTTGGTCCAGGTGGAATTGTATTAAAGAATTAAATTGGCTAATACTTCATATATACATTTCCTTCCATATTTATGAGAAGATGGTTTAGAGTTTTCTTTTACCTCAGTATTTTTTTTATCAATTTTGGGCATCAGGTTTATGACACTTTATGGATCAACTGCAAAATTTTGTACTTTTTGTATGTACAAAACTTTTTTTTTTGAGACGGAGTTTTGCTCTTGTTGCCCAAGATGGAGTGCAATGGTGTGATCTCAGCTCACCGCAACCTCTGCCTCCCAGGTTCAAGTGATTCTCCTGCCTCAGCCTCCCTAGTAGCTGGGATTACAGACATGCACTGCCATGCCTGGCTTCTTTTGTATTTTTAGTAGAGACAGGGTTTCTCCATGTTGGTCTCAAACTCCTGAGCTCAGGTGATCTGCCCATCTCGGCCTCCCAAAGTGCTGGGATTACAGGCGTGAGCCACCATGCCCGGCCTGTATGTACAAAACTTTTAATTAGCATCATAAGCATTATATTTTCTTTAAAAGTTTGTAAGAAACTCATCAATGAAATCATTTGGTTTTTCAGTGTGTTTTATTTATTTTTGCTTATTTTTTCTTTTTCCCTAGGATATAGATCATGATGCTTTCTATGTCTTCTTGAATCATCTTTGTTAATTGATGCTTTTACATAAATATTGTTCACAATTCATTGAGGTATCTACTTAGACATTTCACTCATTCTAATTGTACTCAGAGGAGTTGTTTAAAATAATTTCTTAATCAACTACCTGTTTAAATGAGTGCAGTTCTTACCTCCAGTGATTTCTATTATATTTAACTAATGATGAAGTTTTTACTTTTGACTCATCTCTCAGTCACCTGGCATAAGTAATTTTTATATTTATTTATTTATTTATTTATTTATTTATTTATTTATTTATTTTTGAGATGGAGTCTCGCTCTGTTGCCCAGGCTGGAGTGTGGTGGTGCGATCTCGGCTTACTGCAAACTCTGCCTCCTGGGTTCACGCTATTCTCCTGCCTCAGCCTCCCAAGTAGCTGGGACTACAGGCGCCCGCCACCATGCCTGGCTAGTTTTTTTTTTTTTTTTTTTGTATTTTTAGTAGACATGGGGTTTCACTGTGTTAGCCAGGATGGTCTCGATCTCCTGACCTCATGATCCACCCGCCTCGGCCTCCCAGTGCTGGGATTACAGGCATGAGCCACAGCACCTGGCCCATTTGGGATTTTTTAAAAGAAGTGCACATAGTATATTTTCTAAACCCTCGTATATTGGAAATTTTCTTTTGTAGCTTCGCATATAAATTATGACTTCACTATGTATAAAAATATCGGTTACGTTTTTCCCCTTAAAAATTTAGAGACATTGTCCCATGCACTGATGTTATTTTACACCCAAAAGTAGAAGCCAAACGTCAGCCTGACTTCTGTAGATTTGTAGATGTGGCAGATACTGCCAGTTGCTGACTCAATATTCATTCTCTTCTTTCTTACTAACTCTGTTTTAGTTGGGTATATAAATATTCCCTGCCAAAACCATATTTCCCAAACTGCCCTGCAGAGAGGATGGCTATGTATCATGGTCCTGGCCAATGAATTAATTTTAGGTGGAAGTCACCAAATGCAGGCTTCTCAGAAAGGCCCTTAACAGGGAGAGAATCACGTTTGAGCATGTGTTCCTTTTGCCTCTTCTTGTCTTCCTGCCTGGACACAGTGGCTGGAGTCTTGGCAGCCGTCTTGAGAGGATCACCTTCAGAATGTCAAAGGGGAAAGCTAGAAGGAAGCTGCTCCCTTGAATGACACAAGGGCTGCCTTTGGAGCTCTGAATTGCCTCTCCAGATGTATTAGTCCGTTTTCACGCTGCTGATAAAGACATACTGGAGACTGGGTAATTTATAAAGTAAAAGAGGCTTAATGGACTCACAGTTCCACGTGGCTGGGGAGGTCTCCCAATCATGGTGGAAGGAAAAAGGAACATCTTACATCGCAGCAAAGGAGATAAAGGAGAGCCATGTGAAAAGCGTTTCCCCTCATAAAACCATCAGCTCTCATGAGACATATTCACTACCAAGAGAACAGTATGGGGAAAACTGACCCCATAATTCAATTATCCCCCACTGGGTCCCTCCCACAATACGTGGCAATTATGGGAGCTACAATTCAAAATGAGATTTGGCTGGGGACACAACAAAACCATATCATCAGACTTCTTTTGCATGTGAGAAAAACAAAACTTATCTTCTTTAAGCCATCAATTTGGACCTCCTGTATTAGGTAGCCAAACCATCTCCTAGCTAATCACTGAGTAATTAATTGTATTGTCATGATCCTTGTCAAGTTTTTATTCATACATGTATTTTTTTAAAAATTGTCCACAGTCTTGGAGTATGTATTTTTATTTGTTTCCTTGGAATTTAATTGGGCTTTGGAATGATGTGCGGAAGACTATTTCTAGGCAAAGACAGTTTTAATTATTTTTAGTTTGACCTCTGTTCTCTGCCTTTCATTTCCATCATCTTCAATTTAAAGCATAACTAAAGTGCAGTTCATTTGCACAGCTGCTCGCCTGTGCCTAGCAGGCATTTCCTCAGGATGGTTCTCTGGCCCACAATGGAATCTTTCCTACCTCCATCGTGTGGTTCCCTGCAACTCTGAGCTGCACAGCTTGTGCTATTATCAGAATGGCTGTGTACCTGTTACGTCTTCCCTATAGTACTTTGCTCAGGAGAACTCTACCTCTAGAGGGCAAAAGCACAGGGGTAACCACCTCACCCTCACGCCAGTATCGCCACCACCCAACAACCTCCTGCTTTGCTTTCTGGAAGCAGGCTGCAGAATCATGTCTGGAAGCAAAAAGCAGAGCACCCTACAAAATGATCGTAAAAGACGGATCAGGAACAGGATGGAAAGGAAAACTTCTATGGCTTCTTACCTAGTAGAAACGTGACTACCTGGTTTTCTGATGAGTAAAGGTTTTCAGTGACTGAGCCAGACAGCAGAGAATGAGAGAAAAATATAATATTATCCCACCTTGTCCCAGGAGTCCAGGACTGTTCAGTCTTCTTGGGCGATGCATTGGTAGGCCATTGATGGATTTTCTCATTCAAACTCCATAGACAAGAAAATGTGTGGAAAATTATCATAGATTCTGGCAATGAATTGTGTCAATAGTTATGTTCAATGTTGTGATCCGCCCCACTCCTGGCACAAGACGACAAATGTTTATATTTGTGTCCTTGAAAAAACATGCCACATATGAATGGCATGATATTTAACCACATTTTATAAGCTCTTATTGTTATTTTAAAGGCAAGTTGAGTGAGACTCCACCAGGGGCTGTAGAATCATAATTAATAACTCAATAATCTACAAAGAGGCAACTTATTTAATCATTACTTAAAAATTCAGATTATAATTTTTGCTATCATGAATAGTCGTAAATACCATATTATTTCCTCAAGAAAGAATTCCAAGAGTGAGATTATTGTGTCAAAGTTATCACTGTGTTTAAGGTTTTTGGCATATATTAAAGACATTGATTAAGCACCTTTAGAAGTCATCATCTGAATGTCCCTAAGTCTTCTTGTTCTTTTGCAAACCCTAGGTATATAAAATCTTTCTTGACTGGTCTATAATTCTTCTTTACTTAATTTAATCTTCTCAGTAACTTCATAAAATTTTGATGTATTATTCTCCCAATAAGGGACTGTGGTTTAGAGGGGCCATTTGTCCAAGATCATGAAGTAAATAAGAAGCTAGTTAGAAGCAATTGAATTGGAGTTGTTTTGAGAAACACACTCTTAACTGCAAATTCATTGCATTTCCACCTTTCCAAACCACTTTTCCTAGCATCCTTATTTTACAGATAAAGAAACTGATATCCGAAAGATAAAGGAGCTTGTCAAAAGCCGCAAAGCAAGGTAGTGGCATAGACCCAAGTCTTTATTAATAAAATGATACTGTATTCAAGATCAGTTTGTAACAATTATAAATAATATGAAGAACTGATCAAATACAGTATCCCAAAACTTTGTGAATCATTATGGAGTATTTATGCTTTTGTTTCTATAGCCCCAGTAGAGTTTGGCCCAACTTTTCCCAGGGTACTTCCCACTTTACCTTTCTGCTCCAAACAGAACATCATGGAGCTCAAATCCAACCCCAATCTGAGTCCAGAATTTAAGGAAGGGGCAATCGAGAAGACAGATTTCAAGAAGAAAAGGATGCTGAAAAGGAGAGCATTTCTTATGTCCAAAGTGAGGGATCATTTGCACAGCTTTCCCAGTGGAAAAAAAAAAAAACCTCTCCTTGGAATATCTCTTTCTACAAAAATGATTGGCTTTCCCATCTTGTATCCAAAATTTATTTACTTGTCTTTTTTTATGACTATGCAAGGGGCCTCAAGACATTTTTCTCTTTATCTTTGGATTTTCTTTTTTGTGTTGTTCACATTGTGCTTTGGAAAATAAGGTTCCTGTTATGAATGGTTAGCAATTCCAGGGAAGGAGTTTTCATAGTTTCCCAATCATAAAACATAACGTTTCCACAAAAACATCTTTGCACAGACATAAATTAGGAGGCTAATGTCACAATGACCGACTCCACACCCACTATTCTCCCCCATCCTTACATGGCTAAAGATAACTGTATCCATCGTAAAAGAGTAAGTCAGCCTGCAAGCTGCAGCAGCTCTGATGAAGGCTACAATAAGATGGAAAGGGGATTCCCGTGTCAGAATTAGAGTTTTGTTTTGATTTCATTCTAGGACCCACCCACCACTAGCCTCAATTACTCCTTCTGTCCCCACACACAGATGCTATACCACAATGGGCAACTTAATGAGTGATTCCCACACTTTCTGCTTCCTTTCCTGCCTCCTTTGCTCATACTGAATCCTCATCTGAAATACCTTTTTTCTGTCCACTGAGCAAAATTTCAGACAGTGAGATACTCAAATTTTATCTCTTATTCAGGGACTTTTTAGCCACTTTCATAGAAAGAACTAATCATTTCCTGCTTTGTAATCTCATCCACATGGTTTACACAATTAGTTGAAAAATGTCTCCACTATACTGGGTTTTTGTTTTCTTTTATGTCCCTCACTCTAGTCTGTAAACTCTTTGAGAGCAGGCACAGTGATCTTTTTGCACCTGTGCAGCCTAAGCATCTAGCAAAGGGGTCTGCATACATTTCCTGTAAAGATCCAGATGAGCAGTTACAACTACTCAACTCTGTGGTTATAATGTAAAAGCAACCAATATGTAAGCAAATGGAAGTGGCTGTGTTTCAATAATACTTTATCTTCAAAAGCAGGCCGTGGGACACATTTGACCCACAGGTCATAGTTGTCAACCTCTGATCTAACATAACATCTGGCACATGCACACACGCACACACGCGCACACACACACACACACACAGCTCAATAAATGGTTATTGCTGAATAGCCATACTTTCTAATAGTCTCATTATAGTCACCAGATAACATCTTATAATGCCATCATAAAAATATGTGCTTATTATATGTTAGGTACATAGTATTTAGTGGCAGCCTGCAAAACCAAACAATATATATCTTTCTTTGAATCTGTGAGTAGTAACTCAGACTACCTTATCTAAAAAAAGTAGACAAAAAATTAATTTGAAAATGGCATTCCGTGATAGTCAAAATTCTCAGATACAGGAATTGAAAGTTAGTAAGGAGAAAGTATTGGCCCTGTGGTGACTAGCAACTATTCCTGCTAGAGTTGAGAGAGGGCTCTGACCTCCTGATACTGAGAAGTGGTAGGGCAAGGCCCCCAAATACAGGGAGATGGAACACATGGCAGAGGAACCAGCTCTTACATCACTGAGTAATGACAATGTTAATAATAAGTATTATCACTATAGCAAACACTTAACTGAGTAGTATACTTACTATGTGCCAGGCACTGTTCTAAGTACTTGGCATGCATTTAATTTTCACAAAAATCCTCTGAAGAAAGTATTTCTTTTATCTCAAATTTACGATGAAAATGAGGCTCAAAATGGTTAAATAATTTATTGAGGGTAATGCAGCTAGCAAGTGGTGATACTGGCAATGTAAAATTCAAGGATTGGTGTTGGTGTATGCAATAGATGTGGTTCTTAAATACAGGTGTATAGACTACTGAACAAGAATCACCTGAGGAATTAATACAGAGTCCTAGACCTCATCTTTAAAAACACTGAGTCAAAATGCCTGTGGTGAAATCAAATAATCTCTCTCGTTTTTTTGTTTTTTGTTTTTTTAAAGTTGCCCCATGATTCCAATGTGTAGCTATAGTGAATTGAATGGTAGCTTTCAAAAAGATATGCTTTGTTCTAATCCCTGGAACCTGTGGGTGTTACCTTATTTGAGAAAATCTCAGTGAGCCCTAAATTTACTAACAAGTGTCCTTATAAAAGACATGCAGAGGAGATAGAGAGGGAAGAGGAGAAGGCAATGTGATATGGAGGCAGAGATTATAATGATGCATCCACAAGTCAAGAAATACTAACAGCCAGGTTCGGTGGCTCACACCTGTAATCCCAGCACTTTGGGAGGCGGAGGCGAGTGGATCATCTGAGCTCAGCAGTTTGAGACCAGCCTGGGCAACATGGCGAAACTCAGTCTGCACAAAAAATACAAAAATTAGCAGGGCATGGTGGTGCATGTCTGTGGTCCCAGCTACTCAGGAGGTTGAGGTCAGAGGATCACTTGAGCCCAGGACATGGAGATTACAGTGAGCCAAGATCATGCCACTACACTCCAGGGTGGGGACAGAGCCAGACCCTGTCTAAAAATTAAAAAAAAAAAAAGACAAAGAAAAGAAAGAAAAAAATGCTAACAGGCATCAGAAAGCTGAAAGAGGCAAAAACAAATGATTTTCCGCTAAAGCCCCCAGGGGGAATATGGCCCTTGATTTCCACTTTATGAATTCCAACAGCGTGACAGAGGAAGTTTCTGTTGTTTTAAGCCATGCAGTTTGTGGTACGTTGTTATAGCAGCCTTAGGAAAGTAGTACAGAAACACTCTCACTTCTACTTTATAATTCCCAGGCCCACGTAGGCTGAGTATGAGGGAGATATAATGGTGTCTGATTTGAAGCATATACTACATCATGTAAAACAGAATCCCATCCTTGCAGGGTATTGTCTCCCAACTGATGTCATAACCAAGTCTTCATCAGCCACCATCTTTCAATTAGGCCAGCTAGTTCTAAGTAATGGAGGTGTGTAGTAAGACTAGCTGATTTTATGGGCATGCATCCATTGCTGTACATCTGTTGTTGTGGCATGAGATTCTTGATCAGATACAATGCTGTGCAGAATACCATGACAATGGATAAGGCATTTCATTCGTCCATGGATCATGACACTAGGAGAAGTATTATATGTATAGAAGGCAAATCCATTTCTAGAATATGTGTATATTCCAGTGAATGTGAATCTCTGCCCTTTCCATGATGAAAGAAGTCAAATGCAATCAATCTGCCATCAAGTAGCTCACTGGTTCCCCTGTGAATGGTCCATATCAACAACCCAGTGTTGGTCTCTGTTGATGGCAGATCGACTCAGTAGTTTTATTTAGGTTAGCCTTGATTAAGGGGACGTCCATGTTCTTAGCCTATTCCTGCCACCATGACCATTTTGTTCATGGTCCCAATGAACAAGCACTGATGTGGCTGGGGAAAGAGTGATTACATCTACAGGAGAGTGCAACATTCTGTCCATCTAATTATTAAGCATCTCTTCTACAGGGATAACCTGTGGTGGACATTTGGATGAAATACAAATATCTTCACCTTCGGTGCCAATTCTGAATAGTCTACCCACATACTTCTTCTGTAGACTTTCTTGCCACTAATTTTCCAATCCTGTTCCCACTAAGCACCTGACCATCCAACTGCCCATGAATCAACATAGGAGCCATACTTCTGGCCTTCTATCACTTCAAGCATCATAGACAATCAAACATGCTGCTCAGAGTTCTTCCCACAAAGGGAATTTTTCTTCACCACTGTCCTAGCATAAGAAATATGGGTTTTCTCTTGTGGGTAATGGGGAACCTGAGAGAACATTAAACAGAGAATTTTAATAATTAACTTTTAAACAGAGATTTGAATAACTCACCAAGCCAATTATTATATGGTAACAAACCCCACTCCTAGAAATAAATGGGCTCCTTCAAGGCAGAATTCTGTCTTGAAGGGATTTTTACCTATAGCCCCTTCTTAATACCAGAACCCTGATTCTAATCAAAAGTAAAGTCTACTTAGGTTTAAAAAATACATAAAGCAATACCTAAATGTTTATTTAGCTGGGAATTTTGGAAGAAAGAATTTATTGAGAATGTCTAAGCTTACAATCAGCAACACAAACCCTTATACAATGAATTATATAAACATGTGCACTATAAATGTTCTCATATTAGTGTTCAGTTATTTCTCATTAATTAGGTGGTGAGAAGTCTTAGGCCATGCAGCAAAGAGGCTAGTTTTCCAGAATTGGATCCACTTCTTCTAGGCATCCTTGCTGTAATGTTTAATTTTTATTTTAGGGTCCTTGTAGTATTTAATAATTTCCTATTGAATGCTATACTGAATTGCCACAAACTTAGTGGTTTAACACACAACAAATTTATTTTCATACAGTCCTGTAATAAGTCCAAAATCAGGTCACTGGGCTAAAGTCAAGGTGTCAACAGGGCTGATTCCTTCTGGAGGTTCTCAGGCAGAATCTACTTGCCTTTCCAGCTTCTAGATCCCCCTACATTCCTTGGCTGGTGGCTCTTTCTCCCATCTTCAAAGCCAGGAGTACAACATCTTCAAATCTCTCTCCTGACTTCCTGACCTCTGCTTTCATCATTACAACTTCTGTGAAGAATCACAGAAGTGATTCTTCTGACTCTCTTCCCTCCCTCTTGTAAGGACCCTTGTGATACATTGGGCCACCTGGATAATTCAGGGAAACTTAATTATCTCAATGTTCTTAACTGAATCATATCTGCAAAGTCCCTTTGCTATGTAAGGTGACATATTCACAGGTTCTGGGGATTGGGATGTGGACATCATTGGGAGATCATTATTCAGCCTACCGCAGTTCTTAACGCTCTTTACTGAGATGAGTTAATCTTTGCTTGTGAATTGCTTGAAGTACCATTTTTGCTGTTAACTGATTCCTACAGAAGATGTTGCTTTCCTCTGAAAATGCTCCCTGCAGCTTTCTCTGTTAAGGAGAGGGGCTGTGTGAGGCTGCACCCCTGTCCTTCCCAGGTACACTCTACATCTGAGTTCTCTTTGATAATTCTGTTCACTACTGGGAACTGACATTTTCCATGGGGATATTGGGCTGGAATGTGCATTTTAGACCTTATCTGGCAGAATACTTTTCTCCTTGGAGTTGCAGCCAGAAACAAATTCCCTTTTGTACAAAACATGAATACCATCTTACTTTCTGTGAAAACACAAATACCTCCTCCAGCCACACTGTGTTGCTAAAGTTTCAGAGGCCTGAAAAGGAGCACACTTCTTCCCCCACCCAAGTTCTGAGCCAATCAAGAAATAAGACCACCAAGTAAGGCAGAAGAGAAATCAAAACATCACCTTTATGGTTATATTTGAGAATTTTGCCTGAAACACTAAGCAAATAGGCTTCCTAATACTGAAACCTAGAATTAGGCCAATTTTCCCATGCTATGACAAGCAGCATGAGTACTATAGGTCTCCACATGTGAAGTCTTACCCTAGAAAACCTTATGGCTTGGAGACACATGGCAGGACACATGGTTCCTGCAGGCAGCTCATACCTAAGAGCGAGTGGCTGAGCTATGCATACCCACTTCTTTTCTCAAACTCGACAATTAGATTATTTACTCTACTTGCATCAGAAGAGGCAAGAAATGAGACAAGATCCAGGAATGTCCCATTAGTGAAGCTTACTTCACATGCAAGGAAATGGCAGTAACGTTGGAAGGAACTTCCACTACTGCCAATAACACACTTGGCCCAGATAGGTGGATACAAAAGCTAAGGAGTAGTACTAGAGCATTACCATCTCTGATCAAGCTGTCTACAACAGTGTTGCTAAGAATTCTTCAAACACAGAAATGTTATTTCTTATATAATTCTTTCTTTTTTAAAAAAAAAAAAGATGGGACATATGAAATGTCAGTTATATGTAAATTCACTCATAGGCGACTGAGCCAAGTCACACAAACATGTTCTTGTTTTAATTTGTATACATAATTGCCTAATAATCATCCTGGTTCACCTCTGAACAGTTTGCTTTAAGAGGCACTGGTGTTATATAAAAATATACAAAATGGACAGCTTGAGTCAGAGCATAAAGAGCTGTTAAATGACACATATTTACCCTGTCTCCCTGATCCCAGTCTCTTTCCTTACTGATGTTCCAACCAGATTAATTTACTTGAAACCTACTCTGTTCACATTACCTATCCACATGATTTCACAGTCAAACACAGACTCCTTAACCTGGAATTCAAGGTCTCAACCTGTCACCAACCTTCTTTCCTACTAGTTTTCTTCACACACCCTTTGCCTCGAACTATACTCTTCATCATTCTATACACACGGCCAGGCATTTCCTGCCCCTTTACAACTTGTCCCAATATTCTCTCTTTCAACTTTATTCACATTTCCATGTTTCTTGATCCGATCTTCATCCTGACATGCAATTCAAATGTCACAACCTTCCAGCTCAAAGGAATCTTTCACTTCTCCCACCTGCCCATTCAATTCCTCTCTGGGCCTTGGACACTAAGTCTGTTGCAGCAGAGACTACATCATGTTTTTATCTTTTGTTTTCTAAAGAAGGATAGCCATGGATAGTTGTGTGGGTTGTGCATGGTAGTCTTGCCCTGAAACACCTAGCAGACTGCCTAACAAATGAGAAGTACTTGATCAATCATTTTTAATAAATGAATGAATGACTGTGAATTGAGGATATTGGCATTACATTGGTAATTACAATTACCAACGTAATGAACTCAGACCTTAAGACACTGAAAAGCCTGAAGTCAGAACTTAAGGACTAAAAAAAGGGAGACAAGGCTAAAGGGAGCTTAACTCTTTTATCACATGAACTAAGATCTAGGCTCCATTTTAGGTCTGATGAGACTCCTCCATCACGCACGCACGCACGCACGCACACACACACACACACACACACACACACACACGACAGAGTTTCTTCCTAGCCCTGTAGATCCTTCCTTCCAGGATCACTGTGTGTGGTCATCATGGTTGTGCAGGGTCCCCAGCAGGCCTGTGCTTACCTCACTGCACCCACTCCCCACCTTCAGCCCTTGCCAGGACCCATTTAGTAAGAGTCGATCTTACCGCTGAGTCCCTGTCGCCCATACCAGGAAAACTGCTACTAGAAACAATATCCAACGCCAACTCCACTCTTTTCATGGGAACCTACCTGGCTCTGGGAAGAAAGAGTTAGAACATATTATCATAACAATAACCCTGAGAGCCCCCATTGTCAAGAGATCAGATTCTGAATAGGTGGACTGTTCTGGACCTGGATGGCTGCCTTCAAACACAGCTTGCTTATTCAACAGAACTTTGTCCCTGAATAGGTATCACACTCAGAAGAAGGGGAAAACCTAGCAAGATAACAGCCCAGAGCTCTCCAAATGAAACCAGGCCCCTGACCACTTTCCTTACCACTTATGTAGCCAACTGAGATGAGTAAACAAACCAAGGAGTCCTGACAGGTTATCCAGATGGCCTGAGCAGTTAGTGCCACATCTCACCGTTCTCTTATGGACCTCAGTGCCAGAATTTGGAACACATCCATCTGTGCAGACAAGTTACACAGAACTCAGGACAAAAGGTGATATTGCTTAGAATCTCAGATTGCAGGTGTTACAGCTAACAAACTTGGGCTTGAATTCTGATCTACAGCTCACAGGGAAAGTTCACTTTCCCTCATTCGCATTCCACCGTTTGGGGATGTGAATTATGGGATGGGAGGGAAAGAGCCAAATTTTCCTTTGTGCCCTCAGGACAGTATGTAGTTATGAGTACTGATCCTGGATCCAGACAGGCCCAACCTCCACCACCAGGCCTGCCACTGCACTACTTAACATCTCTAAGCTTCAGTTTTCTCATCCGCAAAATGGGACTGCTTATAATAGAACTGAATTCAAAGGTTTCTTGTGAGGGTTACATGAGATAATATTGGTAAAGTGTTTGGTCTAGAGTAAGTCCTCAATAAATAATAGTTACTTTTAAAGGAGAAAATGACATGCAATTCAATAAACATTTTTTTCTAAGTGCTACTATATTAGAACTTAGACTGATTTTCTCTTTTACCAGTTTCGACTAGCTATTATTCTTTTAAAAGGTAAATAGTCCCTGTCATTTCTAAAATTCCTTTATAGCTCATGTGGTTTGAATACCTACCCTAGGCCTGGTCATGTAACACATTTAATACATGAAATCTCTTTTAGCCCTTACTGTGGTTATATATATGCAAAGCAGGTGATACTATTCCTGCTTTATAGCTGAGGAAACTGAGACTCAGGAGAGTTAACTGCTTTGCCAAATGTATTAAGTAGATATATTTGAATCCAAGGGTCCTGACTCTGAAATTTCCTCAGAGCCTAAAACTAATTCATGCGCAATAGCCAAATGAGAACCAAAATATTGACTTTATCCATGACCCAATAAAGTAGAAATTGTCTACATTGAGGAACACAAAATGAGACTCTTCTCTCTCTAGATCCAGACCTGGAGACTCCTGTAGCAAGGGATGGGTCTCCAGTTAGCCACTAAGCTTACATGTCCAGCCAGTCACAAGTCCACCTCACCTCCTACCTGACCCCAGAGGAGAGCAGCTAAAAGAGGATGGTGACATTTCCCAGGTGTCAGTGTTTCCACATGGAGATAGGAAACAAGGGTTAGAGGCAACGCGAGTAAGAAATAGAGGAGACTACACCCATTAGTAAGAAGAAATGGCCTAGGTTCTCATCATCCTGATTTGCCACTCCTACCCAAGGGATGAGGGGCTGTCGGAGTGAGCACGGGCAGAGAACAGCTGAACAGTTCAGCTGAGATGCACCATTTTAATGGAAACATGTCAGGTGAGGAAGGGGAGGTAAAGGGCCTTTTGTAATCATTCCAATTCCAAAGCTCACTTCACACCATCACATCTGTCCATATAGGAATGTACACTGCTCAATAGATAACAGAACTTTTTTATTTCAACTTATAAAACTGTCAGCACAGTTGTCAAAGAAAATAATGCCACCTCTTGGTCAATCCACCTAGTGGGAATGCCACCAGACCCTTGACAAAACCTCTAAAGAGAAGGAGGGCGGAGAATGAATTAGAAATACATATAATAGTGTTTTTATCCCCCTGGAATCAGTTGGGAGCTCTATTGTCTTAAAAATTTGGAAGCCGGATTTCTTACTACAAATTATGAGCCTTTCAGGATGGTGGTTGAAAGTTTGGATTTTGCTGTTAGAGAAATCTGGGTTTGAATTTTGACTTAGTTGTGCAGAATCGTTCTTTTTGGCTGGCTAATATTTGAAATTCCTTCCAATGTTTGGAAAATACCCTTCCTTGTATGAGTCTTCATAGGAGGTATGGCTCACCTCCCACTTTGGAAAGCAAATATCATTTCTCCAACCTCCTTTACAGCTGAACTTTAAGCATGAGGTCTAGAATCTACCAAATAAATGAAGCCAGGTAAATTTCTAAATTAGGAGCTACTGACACTAAGAAATAGGGACCCTGTAGAATCTACTATAGGTCAAGCAAGATCAAGTTCCTATGGTTGCAGTCCAGTGGTGCCAGTGGAAATGTCCTAAATCCGGTATCAGTGGCCTGGGTGTTAGTGTCATTAATGGACCTTGATTCTGGCTAAATAGCTCATGATCTTGGTACTCCTGCCCCCACAACAATTTTGCATATTAGTAATATTCTCTAAATACATTTCTTTTTTTGATTAAATCAGCCAAGTTAATTTCTGTTGTTTTCCATCAATAATCTTCATTTAACATTAGGTAAATTATCTTTTTAAGCCTTGAATATTCTTATATATACTGAAAAAAACCCAGTACCTGTCTCTTAAGGCTGATATAAGACTAATCGATTAACTGAGGGTATGCATGTATATATATAGACAGAGAGAGAGTGCATGTTTACCATGATGTCAAGCACATAAATGTAAATAAATGCTAGCTATGAACATCTGTTCTTTTAAATAACAATGTAAAAATATAATTACTGTGAAGTTTAAGTAGTACTTAATTTCACCAAAAAACTTTAATTAAGCAGAGATGATCAAGCAGGAAGCCCTTTTCTTGATATTTCAAGAACAAATGGTTATTTGCCCATTATCATGTGAAATAACCCTTATGTTTATAATTCAGGAAGAAAGAAACTTAAAAACTTTTTTTTCACTCCTAGTATGTCCTGGAAATATACCTCTTACCAGTAGTGTGTGTGTGTGTGTGTGTGTGTGTGTGTGCGCGCGCGCGCGTGCGTGTGTGCATTTTACATTTATTTTTTAAAGCATTCACATTTTACACATTTCCATATAGGTAAAAACAGTACATTAACTAATAATGCTTTCTGCTGAAAGCAACGGAAAACTATGGCTTCAATACATAAACATTTTCTTCTTTCACATATCAAAAAGCCAAGAGGAAATTTGTCGAGAGTGATGTGATTGTCTAAAAATTCTGCCAGGGATTTAACCTCTTTCTATCATCTGCTTCATTGTATTTAAAGTGATGGTATCACTGTTGTTTCATCACAGTCACAAGATGGCTGTCACACCAATAGCAATTCAATCCATTTGCATTCCAGGTGGTAAGAAGAAAAAGGCAGAAAGAACTAAGTGTCAAAGAATCATACTTTCTGAGTCGAGTTTTTTGAATAAAATTTTCCCTGAAGTCCCATCCAGCAACTTCGAGTTAGAGATTATTGAGTCACACGTGCATTCCTAATCCAACCTCTGAAAGCTTCCAGGGAAAAGCAAATTGTGACTGAGGATGTGTCCAGGAACCCTACGGTGTCTGCCATGAATACTAATATGGTCAAAGCCTAGGTGGATGAATGTCCAAAGATGGCATAAGAAAAACAATCTTGTATCCTTCATTTTATAACAAGAAAAAAGACTAAGGACCATGTATGAAGAATAATGATTAAAATATGGATAATGCAACAATAGCTATCAGTAACTAATATTTGTGTGGGACTTACTATACTCCAGGTACTATTAAAAACACTTAGATAATAATCATTATATGAGAAATTTAAACTACAATAAGAAACAAAGAAGGTCATTATATAGTGATAAAGGGGTGTATTAGTCTGTTTTGCATTGCTAAAAAAGAATAACTGAGATTGGGTAAATTATAAAGAAAAGAGGTTTATTTGGCTCTACAGGCTGCCCAAGAAGCATGGCACCAGCAAAGAAGGCTTCTGTTGAGGGCCTCAAGAAATTTTAATCATGGCAGAAGGCAGAAGGGAGCAAGTGTGTCACATAGCAAGGGAGGGAGCAAGAGAGAAGGGGGAGGTGCCATGCTCTTTTTAACAACAAGCTCCTATATGAACTAATAGAGCAAGAACTCACTTATTACTACAAGGACAGCACCAAACCATTCATAAGGTATCCACCTCCATGTCCCAAACATCTCACTGGGCCCCGTCGCTAACATTGGAGATCAGTTTTGGACTATATCAAGGGGCTAATTTATCAAGAGGATATAATAATTGTAAATACATATGTACCCAACATAGGAGCACCTAAACATATAAAGCAAATATTAATAGACATGAAAGGAGAGCAGATTGTAATACAATAATAGTAGAAGACTTCAATACCTCACTTTCAGCAATTGGCAGATCATCCGGACAAAATATTAATAATGAAATATTGGACTTGAACTATATTTCAGACCAAATAAACCTTACAGTCAGATACATGACATTCCATTTAACAGAGACAGAATACACACTCTTCTCAAATGCACATGAAACATTCTCCAGGATAGATCATATATTAGTCCACAAAACAAGTCTTAACAAATTTAAGATGATTGAAATTATATTGAGTACCTTTTACGACCATAATGGTATGAAACTAGAAATCAAGAACAGGAGGAACTTCAGAAAATCTACAAATATATGGATATTAAACAGCATGCTCCTGAACAACCCATGAGTTGAAGAATAAATTAAAAGGGAAATTTGAAAAATATCCTGAGACAAATGAAAATGGAAACACAACATACCAAAACTTACGGGATGCAACATAAGCAGTTCTAAGAGCAAAGTTTATAGCAATAAATCCCCACATCAACACAAAAGAAAGTCCCCCCAAAAAACCTAATGGTATACCTCAAGAAACTAGAAAAAGAAGAACAAACTAAGCCTAAAGTAAGTAGAAAGAAGGAAATAATAAGATCAGAGTAGAAATAAATAATAGAGACTAGAAAAGCAATAGAAAAGATCAACAAGACTAAGAGTTGGTTTTCTGAAAGATAAACAAAATTGGTAAAACTTTAGCTAGATTAACAAAAATGAGAGAACTCAAATAAAATCAGAAATCAAAAAGGAGACATTACAATGGATATCACAGAAATGCAAAGGATCATGAGACTATCATGAATAATTATACATTGACAAATTGAATAACCTAGAGAAAAATGAATAAATTCCTGGATATACACAACCTACCAAAAATTAATAATGAAGAAATAGAAGAAAATCTGAACAGATCAATAATGAGTAAGAAGACTGAATCAGTAATAAGTTTTCCATCAAAGAAAAGCCTAGTACTTGATGGCTTCACTGTTGCATTCCACAAAACTTTTAGAGAAGAATGAATACCAATCCACCTCAAAATTCTTCCAAAAATTTGAAGAGGGAATATGTCCAACCTCATTTTACAAGGCCAACATTACCCTGATACTAAAACCAGATGAGGACACTACAAGAAAAAAAAAAATACAGGCCTATGTCCCTGATGAATATAGATAATAGTAAACTGAAATCCACAGCATATTAAAAGGACCATTCACCATAATCAAGTTGAATTTTTCCGAGGGGTGCAAGGATGATTCAACATACACAGACCTATAAATGTGATATACACCACATTAATAGAATAAAGGACAAAAACATATGATAATCTCAATAGATACAGGAAAAGCATTTGACAAAATTCAACATCTTTCATGATAAAAATTCTTACCAAATTAGGTATAGAAGTACAATAAAGGCAATACAACAAACTTGTAGCTAACATCATATTCAATGGTGAAAAGTTGAATACATTCAATGCAACCAAAATTCCAATGATGTTTTCATAGAAATAGAAAAACATTTCTAAAATTTGTCTGGAACCACAAAAGATCCCAAATAAACACGGCAACCTTGATAAACAAGAATAAAGCTGGAGGCATCACAGTACCTGACTTCAAAATATACTACAAAGCTATAGCAAGCAAAAGAGCATGGTACTGGTATAAAAGCAGATACATGGACCAATGGAGCAGAATAAAGGCCAGAAATAAACTCATGCATTTATAGTCAATTGGTTTTTGACAAAAGTGCCAAGAAAACACAAAGGGAAAAAGACAGCTTCTTCAATAAATAATGTTGGGAATAAAGGATATTCACATACAGAAGAATAAAATTAGGCCCTTATTTCATATCATATACACAAATCAACCCAAAATGTTTTAAAGATTAAAACATAGACCAGAAACTATTAAACTACCAGAAGAAAACATAGTGGGAAAGCTTTATGACATTAGTTTGGACAATGATTTTTTGGATACAACCCCAAAAGCACAGGCAACAAAAGCAAAAATAGACTAATAAGAATGTATCAAACTAAAAATTTCTGCATACTAAAATAAGCAATCAACAGAATGCAAAGGCAATTTATGGAATGGGATAAAATATTTGCAAGTCATACATCTTATAAGGCAGGGGTCCCCAAGCCCTGGAGACTGGTATGGGTCTGTGTCCTGTAAGGAACCAGGCTGCACAGCAGGAGGTGAACAGTGGGTGAGCCCTACCTCCTGTCAGATCAGCAGTGGCATTAGATTCTCATAAGAGTGCAAATCCTATTGTGAACTGCACAAGCAAGGGATCTAGGTTGTGCATTCCTTATGAGAATCTAATGTCTGATGATCTGAGGTAAAACAGTTTCATCCCAAAACCATGCTCCTGTACCCCAGTTCATGGAAAAACTGTCTTCCACGAAATGAGTAGGCCAAAAATATGGGGACTGCTGCTATAAGGGATTAATAACCCAAATATATAAGGAACTCAAACAATTCAATAGCAAGAAAATAAATAACCTGATTCAAAATTGAGCAAAGGGCATTCTTTCTCAAAAGAGTATGTACAAATGGCAAACAGGCATACATAAGAATGTTCAACCTCACTAATTATCAGTTAATTGCAAATTAAAACCACAATGAGATGTTTCACACCTGTTAGAATGACTACTATAAAAAAGACAAATGAAAACAAATGTTGACCAGGATGTAGAGAAAAGGGAACCCTTAGATACTCTTGGTAGAAATGTCAATTAGTACAGCCATTATGGATAATAGTATGGAGGTTTCTCAAAAAATTAAAAATAGAACTACTATATGATCCAGCAATTTCACTTCTGGGTATATATCTAAAGGAAATGAAATAGTATGTAAAAGCATTCCCATGGTCACTGCAGCATTATTCACAATAGCCAAGACATAGAATCAACCTAAGAGTTCATCAATGGATGAATGGATTAAAAATATATGGTATATATATATAATGGAATTCTATTCAACCTTAAAAAAGAAGTAAATCTTTTTATGACAACATGGATGAACCTGGAGGACATTATGTTAAGTGAAGTTAACCAGGCACAGAAAGAAAAATACCACATGATCTCACTTAAATGTAGAATTCAAAAAAGTTGAACTCAGGAAAGTAGAGAATAGAATGGTTGTTACCAGAGGCACTGGGGTGGGGGCATTGGGGACATATTGGTCAAAGGATGCAAAATTTCAGTTATATAGAAGGAATAAGTTCAAGAGATTTACTGTACAACATGGTGACTAAAGCTCATAACAATGTATTGTATTTTGAAAACTGCTCAGAGGGCAGATTTTAAGTGTTTTTACCACAAAAAGTGAGGTAAAATGTATGTTAATTAGGGTCACTTGAGCCAAACCACAATCCATACATATTTCAAGACATCATGTTATTCACGATGAATACTTACAATTCTTATTTGCCAATTTATAAAAGCTTAAAAATGCTTATATACCTTATTTAATCCTTACAACAACCTTATGAAGTAGGAATTATTATTATCCCTGTTTAGCGTATGAGGAAACCAAGGCACAAAGGAATTAAATAACTCAAAGAAAGTCTCTTAGTTAATAAGTGCTCAATCTGCAATTCAGATACAGGGAGCAACAATTCTAACTCAAGTTTACTAAAAACATAAGAAAACGATCTTTTGCTTATTTTATCTTTTCTTAAAAATAAGGGATTTCTCTGGAAGTCAACAAATATTTAATAAGCCAACCTGAGTCTGAGAGTGAAATTTCCAAACTCAAATGATCAAAATATCAGAACAAAAATACTAGTCAGTCCATTATTTAGCATAGAACCCATCTGTTGGGACTCGTTATCCTAAATGGTAGGCTGTGGGAGAGAACTTTTTCCTTGCCTTGAAAGTATTACCGCTAGTGATATCAGTAATATTCTGCTTATAGGCCTCCTCAACCTGCTGGTATCAGGATGTTTTAGAGAATAGCAGATGCAGAGAAGGCAGCAATCACTTCATGAAAGTGGCCTGAAGTGGAGGCATCACCTCTTCACACCAGCGGAAATAATTCACAAGCCCCAGGGAGTCACCACTCCTGTCAAACACCACCAGCAACAAGAAGTTTAGATATAAGCTAACTTCTCATTGGTTTAAAGCAGTTTTCCTCATTCTTTTTTCATTATTGTTCCCTAAAAAGACTTATTTATTTATTTATTTATTTACCAAGATGGAATCTCGCTCTGTCGCCCAGGCTGGAGTGCAGTGGTGCGATCTTGGCTCACTGCAACCTCCGCACATTTTTTCCTAATTGTCCCCACCATGATATGTAAATACCACATATATATTATATGTCTGTTTATGTAGTGTGGCCCTTTGGAGGTCCACAAACCATCATAAGATCTGAATTTTCTCATCCTCCAAGAACCAATTTTCACCCTCTTGGGGTGATACTGCTTTTGTAAGAACGCATGGTATTACGGACTTCATGTTTGTGTTCCTCCCGAAATTCATGTTGAAACCCTAACCCCCAGTGGAATGGTATTAGGAGGTAGGGTCTTTAGGAGAAGGTCATGAGGATGGTGCCCTCCCGATGTGATTATTGCGCTTCTAAGAAAAGACACAAGACAGCTTGCTTCCTCTCTCTGCTTTCTGGCCATGTGAAGACAGAGCAAGAAGACAGCCACCAGCAAACCAGGAAGAGGAATCTCATCAGAACCTACCAATGCTGGCACCACAATCTTGAACTTTCCAGCATCCAGAACTGTGAGACATAAATTTCTATTGTTTAAGCCACCAGTCTATTTTGTAATTTGTTAATAGCAGCCCAAAACTAAGACACGTGATTCAAAGTGATTAGCTTATGATTCTAAAAGTCATTCTGGGAAATGGAGCTGCCTCATGGCCTCACCAAAATTCTAATAATGGTCAAGTTCCCATAAAAAATTAAGTTAAAGCCTTCCTTAAATGTAGTAGTCATTATTGCTATTAATAGTTTTGGAATGTAGTCAGATTGCAAACATACTTCCACATGGTTTGGCAGGGAACATGTGACTAGCTCTGTCCAGTGAATTGTAAGTTAAAGGATCACATATGACTTCCAGGCCAGAACATTCTATTGCTGGTTCAAAACCTACAGCTCACTTTTCCTCTATCCAGTGATAAGCAAAATTCAAGATGGCAGCTTCTTTGTCGGCCTGGGTTCCAATGGGAGGAAGTATGGAGGAGAGCTCCCAACTGACCTCAGTGCATAAGAGATAGACCACTCAGATTTAGAGGTTGTGTTTACTGCAGCACAACCCAGGTTACCTTGACTGACACATTGGGTCATTCATTTATTTATTTAAATGAATGAGAACCCACCATATGCTGGATACTGTCTTAGGCACTCAGGATATAGTTGTAACTAGACAAATCCTCATCCACATGGAACTTATATTCTAATAGAGGAATCTAGTGAGATCAAATTCAGCAATGCTTCAGCCCAGACAAGAAGGAATATATTAGGGAAGAAAATTAATCCTTCTTCTTGAAGACAAAGCTAAAATTATCAAATTCCATCCCATGATTTACTTTCAACTCTCTTCTCCAAGATGAAGCCAAGTCCAGAGAATACTAATTCCTCTGCCCCTCTCCCAGGACACCAGAGGAATGTAAAATCTTGTCCTTTTAATTTTGAAGGTAAATGATTTGGGAAGGTTATTGGGGAATCTTTGAAGAAAGAGCAGGATTCAGCAAACTGAAAGTGTGAAGGGGCCTTCCAGATTGTAGGAATTTAAAGGGACAGGGATGTGAAAGTGCGGATACCCCTTGCCCACACTAAATCCATCACAGAAGCACCAAGTGATTAAATGAACTAATTTACCAGAACATCAAATTGGGCTCTTAAAAGTGATTTTATTTTGTCTAAGCCCCCATAATATTCACAGAGAGATGTTCATTTCCCACAGGATGAAGCCCATTCTTCCTTAAGAGGAATCCTGGACAGATAATACAAACAATTAAACGGAAATAAACCATTTTAACCACCCCCTACCCCCGACACCCCCAACCTCTGCAGTTCAAATGCTCCAGCCATCAAAGCTGGCCAGCCCAAACCAGCTGCTTAAGATCATCCTTTGAGGTACAATGAACTAGGGCTTTGTTAGATCTGGAGTGAGAAAGGATTTCAAAGACAAGTGCCCTGCTTGGGAAATGATTTCCTGATGACCTCTTCAAATTACATACTTTTTCTCAGAATACAGTTAGGTCCTAGTCCTTATTCCCTCCACTATGAATCTCCCCTAAACCCCAGAGTGAAGCATGGCTAGAAGAAAATGATAAGAGAAATGGTGAGATCTCCCCAACCCATGACAAAATTTCACTGATTAACCACTGCCTAAAAATATAAAATGAACTAGAGACAAGATGTCCTCCATTTCTGACTCTGCACATTCTGGATAACTTGATTCTGTGTCTTTATATCTTGGTTTAATTTCAAAAAACAAAAGGTTTCTAGATGTTAAGTCTTGTAATTAGATCATTTTTAAATTTCTTGCCTTATTGACACTGTCTAATACTAACTAATGCTATTTCTTTTTTCTTTTTTAATTTTTTTATTCACACATAATATGTATACATATGTGGGGGGAAACATGATAATTTGATACATTTATATAATGAGTAAAGATCAAATCAGGGTAATTGAGATATCCATCAACTTACAGCTCTTTCTGAAGATTTTCAATACTTGGGTAATTCTGCTTGGAATTTTCAGCTAAAAACAAACGCATATTTGAGGTTTAACATCAATTGATGCTTTTTTTCCTGTAAAGTTGTTTGAGATAACAATAATTTTTAAGGGATACATACCATAAATTCAGCTGTCTGGCTTTAACCTAGGACTAATATTATTGCTCAGAAATTTATGAAAAGGCTGTCTACATGAAGAATTAATATCATAATATCAGAAGGGAAAAAGAATAGAAAACAAACGTGAATCGATATAGTTACTAGAAGCAAACACACACAATGAGACTCAAGTATCAATTATGTTGAGAATGTTCATAATAATCTGCTGTTAAAAAAAACATACTTGCCTGGAAAACAGGATTAGGAGTGAAAAATTCTGTTTTCTGACATTAACTACATGGATGACCTTGGGAAAGTAACTTTGCACACTGACTGCCAGGCATCGTAGGAAGCGGTTTTCATGAATGAACGCATTTACTCTTCATGTTATAACCTTCATGGCAAGTATTATTATTATCCCCACTTAAGAGACAGGAATCTGGTGTTCAGATAAGTTAAATAACTTACCCAAGATCACAAGTTTCAAGAGCAGGTCCTTTACCTTAACTCTTTCATTACCAGATGATCTTTAAAGTCTCATACAGGCTTAACATTCTGGTCTTCTAAAATCTTTAGTTCTAACACTGCACCCTACTGCTTCCTTTCTAAAATTATGCATAATTCTACCAGTGACATGTTTACGGGTTTTTTCCTCTTAAAATGTTTTATTTTGAAGACATCAGACTGAAAACTTAGATGAAATCTTTTGCTTAGTTTAAAATTTTAAGAGAAGATGAAAAACAAAGAAGGAAGAAAACTCCACTGATTATTTCTTAAACATTTGGCCCAAAAGAGTGACCTGTAGCTGTATGTAAACTCTTACTGATTTTTCTCAAGGGAATGGAGTTATTATCAATCAATTGAAAGAAGCCCAAAGTGATGGAAACCAACAAGCATATGTCATAGGAACATTTATTCATTCCTTTATACTTTTTTTGTTCGTTACTTTTCAAATAGTTCCATTAAACCAAGACTGATTTAGGGCCCTACCATCTCACTCTGATTTTGTTTGTTTGTTTATTTATATATTTATTTATTTTAGAGACAGGGTCTTGCTCTGTTTCCCAGGCTGGAGTGCAGTGGCACTATATAGCTCATTGCAGCCTTGAACTCCTGGGCCCGAGTAATCATCACCATGGCAGTGACCATCAACACACCCAGCTAATTTTTAAAATTTTTTGTAAGGCAGGATCTTGCTGTTGCTCAGGCTGGTTTCAAACTCCTGGCCTCAAGGTAATCCTCCCGCATTGGCCTCCCAAACCACTGGGGATTACAGGCATGAGCCACTGCATCCAACTTGACTCTCATTTTAAAATTGCAAACCAGAAAATCATTGTGGCAAAGTAGCTCAGCACAAGGACTCAGAAGGCCAATGTCTGAATTAAAACCTGTCTTCTATGTATTTGCTAATTGTGAGACTATGATTTAACCTCCCTGTGCCTCACATACTCATGTATAAAATGGAGACAGTAGTACCTTCTTCCCAAGGTTGTTTTGAGGTTAGCATGCCATGGAATACCTATTAAGCACACAATACATGGTGGCTATTATTCCAATTACTTTATAATTATGAGAACGCAGTTTGAAGCTGATATGGTTTGGATCTTTGTCCCCACCAAATTGCAATCCCTAATGTTGGAGGTGGGGGCTGGTGGGAGGTGATTAGATCATGGGGGCAGATTTTTCATAAATAGTTTAGCAGCATCTTCTTGGTACTGTCCATGTGACAATGAGTGAGTTTTCATAAGATCTGGTTGTTGAAAAGTGTGCAGCACCACCCCGCTCCCTCTCTTTTGCTCCTGCTCCTGACATGTGAGATGCCTTGCTCCCCTTTGCCTTCCGCCATGATTGTAAGCTTCCTGAGGCCTCCCGAGAAAGAGAAGCCACTATGTTTCCTGTACAGCCTGCAGAACTGTGAGCCAATTAAACCTCTTTTCTTATAAATTACCCAGTCCCAGGTATTTCTTTATAGCAGTGCAAGAACGGACTAATACAGAAGCCCTAATCGCAAATTTCTAACTCTCCTGAAGCAAATATTTTCTTTCATGAACTTCTACACACTCAGGAAATTTAATTCCTTAAGAATTATGTTAGAGCATTTTCTATGAACCAGACACTATTCTGTATACTTTGAGTATAAGTAAGGCAATGCTTCCTTTGAATCTCACCAGACAGGTACTGTTATTATATCCATTTTACAGAAGAGGAAACTGAGGCATAAGGAGGTAAGAAATCTACCCAAAGTCACTAAGGAGATAAATGATACAGCTGAAGTTGTAATCTAGGCCCTAGGGCCCAGCGGCCCCAGTTCTACATTCTCTGAACTCCCACCCCTGCTTTGCCATTCTCCCCCTACCCTGCCCCAACTCAGGGCCTTTGCATAAGCTGCTCCATCTGTCTAGAACACATCTGCATTGAACCTGGACCCTCCTTCACATGGATAATTCTACCCTTCTCTTTCTCAGGACTTCTCCATCACCTGTTCTACCTCCAGGTACACAACAGGCCATCCATAGTTCTCCTCACCTCTGACGTTCAGCCTCCTCAATGTAAATGCTACACTGTTTCCAGGGGCCCCTGCTTGGCCACCATCTCCATAAAGGTGGGGACTGGGCCTTATTTTTCTTGGTGCCTACCACCACAACATCTGGGAGCACAGAGTAGGTGCTCAGTAAATGTGACTGGTACAAAATCATTTAATTCACCTCTTTACTAAGCACCTAGTAGGTCCCTAGCCTTGTGCTAGCCCTGGGAATACAGTGGTGAACAAAACACAACCAGACAGAATAGTAATAGAAGGATTTTAGAGAAATGGTTAAGTCTCTGGACCTTAAAGACAGATAACCTAGGCTCAAATCCAAGCTCTGTCAAGTTTTGTGAGGCTGGGCAAGTTACTTAGATTCTGTGATGATTAATACTGGGTGTCAGCTTGATTGGATTGCAGGATGTCTAGATAGCCGGTAAGGTGTTGTTTCTGGGTGCGTCTGTGAGAATGTTGCCAGAGGAGATTGACATGTGAGTCAGTGGACTGGACCCACCCTCAATGTGAGTGGGCACCACCCAATCAGCTGCCAGCGTGGCTAGAATAAAGCAGGTGGAAGGAGGTGGGATAAGCTGTCTTGCTGGGTCTTCTGGCTTTCATCTTTCTCCTGTGCTGGATGCTTCCATCTGTTCCTCTTGCTCTTGGACATCAGACTCCAGGTTTTTTGGCCTTTGGACCCTTGGACTACTTACACCAGTGGTTTGCTGGGGCTCTCAGGCCTTGCCACAGACTGAAGGTTGCACTGTAGGCTTTCCTGCTTTTGAGGCTTTTGAACTCAAACTGAGCCACTACTGGCTTCTTTCTTCCTCAGCTTGCAGGTGGCTATTGTGTGGAACTTCACCTTTGACTGTGTGAGCCAATTCTCCCTAATAAACTCCCTTTAATATAGACATATATCTGACTAGTTCTGTCCTTCTGGAGAACCTTGACAAATACAGCTTCTGTGTGCCTCAGCTTCCTCACTTATCTAGTGGTACTATGCATAGAAAAGTATCATCATTACACCATTGCTCTAAGAATTAAAAGAGTTAATTTACTTCAAGTGTGTAGAACAGTCCTGGCCTCCTAGGAAGCACACAGAAAGTCAGCTCTTACTGTTAACTGTCATGGAACTTACATTCTGGGGGGTGGAATGGAGAGAGGATAGACACATGCCAACCCAAAATGTAATACAATGGGATAAGGAGATATTTGGCTAAATGATATAAAATTGCCAGATTTGTAGGTCAAAAATGGTTACATAGAGGCAATTTTATATGGTACAAACTAAAATGTACAGAGAACATAGAGAAGGGAGCAACTAATTTTGCTTGGAGAAGTAAAGAAAAGCTCCATAAAGAAGTTGCACCTTAACTGGGCACAGTGGCTATTACCTGTAATCCCAGCACCTTGGGAGGCTGAAGTTGGAGGATTTCTGGAGGCCAAGAGTTTGAGACCAGCTTGGGCAACATGGTGAGACTTCATTTCTACAAAAAAACAAAAAAGTTAGCTGTGCATGGTGGTGCATGCCTGTAGTACCAGCTACTAGGGAGACTGAGGTAGGAGGATTGCTAGAGCCCAAGAAGTAGAGACTGCAGTAAACCATAATCATGCCATTGTACTCTAGCCTGGACAACAGAGCAAGACCCTGTCTTACAAACAAAAAAGAAATTGTACCCTGATGGAGCCCCACAGGATGGGTAGACAGTCACTGGACAGAGAAAGGGAGAAATGGTATTTAAAGAAGAAAAACAGCAGGAGCAAAGAAGGGGGCTTGATAGAGTGTGACCAACAGACGCTTACAGAACTCAGAATCTCTTTTGGGAATGTCAGAATTGAATACTGGAAAGGAAACAAAGGATTGCTAATCACACCAAGCTCATTCTGCCTTCAATGTTTTAAGTGATATTAGTGTTTTCTAAAGAGTTAAGAAAGCATTATGGCATAAAAGCAAAAAGTATACATGGGTTTTGGTGCCAGAAAGACCTGGTTTGAATCCCAACTCTACTATTTACTGAGTGAGTGAACTTGACGAAATCACTTAACTTCTATGAGCCTCAATATCCTTATCTGTAAAATGGGTTAAATATGACTTACCTAGGAGGATGTTTGTAAAGATTAGAGGAAATGTATATAAAGAATTTAGCAGATTATCTGATACATTAGTGTTTTTCAATTAAGAGTAATTCCTTTACTAGTATTGCTAATGTCTTTGAAGCCTCGGTGCTTTATAGAAAAAAATTCACTGGTAACCTGAAGGGACTAGTAACTCTAATTATAATAAGTCTAGGTGATTGGCTGGGCGCAGTGGCTCACGCCTGTAATCCCAGCACTTTGGGAGGCTGAGGCAGGCGGATCACGAGGTCAGGAGATCGAGACCATCCTGGCTAACACGGTGAAACCCCGTCTCTACTAAAAATACAAAAAATTAGCCAGGCGTGGTGGCAGGCGCCTGTAGTCCCAGCTACTGGGGAGGCTGAGGCAGGAGAATGGTGTGAACCCGGGAGGCGGAGCTTGCAGTGAGCCGAGATCGCGCCACTGCACTCCAGCCTGAGTGACAGAGAGAGACTCCGTCTCAAAGAAAAAATAAATAAATAAGTAAGTCTAGATGATTTAAGGTAAATGCTATGATTCCCCAGTCAGAAGACTTTAAAAAGACCAAGAATTATTGTGCTGAGAAGATGCATACTCCAAAGAACAACTACATCAATTAATACTTGCATAGCAAATGTCCATATGTGAAGTACTTTCCCATGGGTTAACTCATCTGCTAATCACAGCAGGCTTATGATGGAAGTTTATATTAATGGAAGTTCATATTAGTTCCCCATTTGGAGAGAAAACAAGCTTCAGAGAAGTCCTTGCTGAAGGTCCTTAATATTGATGAAAATGTAGACCACGGCTTTGTCTCTTCCTTAAAAGACTAAAAACGTAATTTGTTTGGAAGGTTTAGAATGTTGTTACCGGATGGTCTGTTAATAGTGCAGGAGATTATACAATCATAAAATTTTTGAGTGGGGTTTATCGAAGCCCATCTCCCTTAGCCATCTCATTTTACAAAAGAAAATTGAGAAAAGAGGAATTAAATGGCTCTTCTGTAGTCACTTTGAAAATTCATGGCTGTGCTTCTAGTTGAAGATGGCAGATTTAACATATGCTATACATTACATTCCATCCCCCAAGCTCACTAAAAAGACAGTAAAGGGACTGATTTTAAAGACATTCACTCATAAAGACAAAAAGAATTAGGAGGAAAACAACAACAACAACATTTTGGAAGATGGAAAGCAGATGGTAGAGGGGTAACTGGCTTAGCCGAACCATGAAGGCTGAAATTTAAGTTGACAGTGGGTGAAACCCAGAAGCAACCTGCTTTGCATTGCAAAACCCTGGAAAGGCTCAGAAATTGGAAGCAAGAAGTACATATGAAAGTGGGGATGCAGGTGAGGCAGATACAGAATTTGTTAATTGTTTGAGAAGCAGTTTCTTCACCCTCCTGGCAGGAGACTGAAGACTTACTCTCTGGAGAACATGTTTCAGAAAGATCTAGACAAGGGATGGCAGGCACTACTCAGGGCAGGAGCACCCCCACGGAAAACAAGGAGAATTACTAAAGGGGTACATTCTGAATGGTGAGAATCCCAACCTCCTGGTCTACTTTGGCTCCCAGAAAACTGACAGCCTAAAGACTGAATGATTCTGCTCTAAGTGCTCAGTGAAAACCTAAAGATGCTAATGGTCAGGGATCCTCTAGTGAAACAGCCCAGCCAGATCATCTTAGTAACACCCAGTAGTCAACAAGTCCTATCCATGCACACAGACGTTTCTTCAGCTGCTTCTTGCCCCTCTCTTGGGGTTGCCAGATTTAGCAAATAAAAATGCGGTCTTTGGGACATATTAAAAATGTATTCATTGTTTATCTGAAATTCAGATTCAAATGACTGTTCCCTATCTTGTCTGGCAACTCTGTCCTCTCAAATAAGAATGGACATCCAAGAATCACCAGACATTTCAGGAAAACCTCAACAAGAAAGACAGTAATTTAAACATACTAATGGGGGAAAAGAAACAGAAAGATGAAAAAAATGCAAAGAAAAAATAATTTCAAAAATAGTACCATTCGTTTCCTCAAAAACTTAAGACAGGATACTGTGGCTTTGAAATAAGAACAGTTTGTTATAAAAAGAAATACTCAAATATCATCAAAAGGCTATTGTTAATTACAGTTATTGGAGCAGAAATGAAGGAAAAGCAGAAGTACAGAAAAATAAAAATAGGAAATGGAGGGAAAATTATAAAAGAAATAATTCAAGAAACTTTCCCAGAATGGAGGAAATGAGTTTCCAGATAGAAAGTACCCTTTAAGCACAAAGGATGACAAAATGCTCCCAGTAAGGAAATAGTAAAATAGAAGGGAACAGGTAGGGAGGGAAGGGAGGAAGGAAGGAAGGAAGGAAGGAAAGAAGGAAGGAAGGAAGGAAGGAAGGAAGGAAGGAAGGAAGGAAGGAAGGAAGGAAGAAAGGAGAAGGAAAGGAGAAGGAAAGGAGAAGGGAAGGAGAAGGGAAGGAGAAGAGAAGGAGAAGGAGAAGCAGGAGAAGGGAGAAGGCAGTTGAGCTAAGATATATATATATATATTTTAGTTCCAGGACATCAGGACGGAAGATGCTCAATAATTATTAAGCAATTTGTTTATAGATGCTCTAGTCTAACCTTAATAGAATACAAAAGTTTAATAAGTCTATAAAGCCTTAAGAAATGAAGTTTCATAACAATAATGTTGTACAAGAATAAACACAATGTAGTCAAAAGAACTCCAGGTCAGGAATCACAGACATATATTCTAGTCTTGTTTCTGCTTCTGTATAACCTTATATGTCTCACTTCATGTCTTTGGACACCAGTTTTGTCACCTGCAAACTTAGCTTAGGTTATAACATTCTAAATTCTATTTAATTAAGCAGTCATAACATATAGATTATATAACTGAGTAATTAAACTTTAAAAGTTCATATTTCAAAATACTTATTAAATGCACCAATATTCTCTTTCTTGAATTGCTTTTCCTACTTTTTCTATATTTCATATTATCTTATTTATATATAATAAATTCACATTTCTATAACATTCCACAGGTGTCATTTATTCATTCATTCCCCAAAGTCCAATTGATGCTATTTACAGGTGCAAGATAGACTGTAGTGAATTATACAGTTATGGTACATGTCCTCATGGAACTTTCACTTCGGTGGAGAAGATGGTCAAAAATAGCAATTTAAATAAATACATACTTGCTATACAGGATAAGACCTATGAAGGAAAATAAGATTCTATGAAATAATATAATAAAGTGAACTATTTTTAGAACTAGTACTTAGCAAAGAAATTCCTGAGAAGGTGGCCTTCATTCAGAAAGAAGATAAATAAGAGTTAGGTAGGTGAAGAGTAGGAAGACGCTTATAAAGGGGAGGAGAAAGTACATATACGGGCCTTAAGGGGGAAATTGCACTTTCAAGAAAATGACAGTTGACCTGTATTAAGGGGTGAGATTCTCCAGGGGGAGAATGGTGTGGCATGAGGTTGACAAGGAGGCAGTGGATAGATTGTGCTGGGTCTTTGAGTCCATAAAAAGAGGTTGGATTTTATTTTAAGGGCAATGGGAAGACATTAAATTATTTTAAGCACTGGAGTGACCTCATCTAATTTACAACATACGATCACACTTGCTGTTATTTTATCATTTTGGATCTTTGATACTATGCTTTGGGATAAGTAGTGCAGATATAATATAGCTCATTGTTGAGAAAATGAAGCACCGGAGGTGAGGTGGCCGCCTTGTGAACAGGTTGAATGGTTGGTTGCCATATAAAAGACCCAGAGGAAGACCTTGGGTTTCCCAACTCGAATCACTTAGTACATTGCCTGGCACAAAACAGGAGCTCAATAAATATTTGTTAAATGAATGTACACCACACTAGGACATTTTAGCTACTGAGATCCACGGGTCTTGGTAAAGAAAAAGGTCTATGTGTAAATCAGCCACCAGGGGGCGGGTATGCTTCCCCCCACATAATAGAAACATTGACCTTGGCAAGGACAACTGGTAGGGAAGAAAAAAAATCTTTAACTGAACAAAGTGCTTTCTCCAGTTTATACCAAAAAAAGATTTCATGAAATAGAATTGGCAACATCACAACAGACCCTTTGTTATGTGTTTGAGCTGACCATTTGTCCATGAGACTCAGCTATGGACAGCCTCCTGACTTAGGGTTCCTCTGACTCTTAAAAAAAAAAAAAAAAACAAAAAAAAAACCTCCAAAATAAAGTGTAATAAAAGGAAAGTACAATATCTCCTGACAGAATTCAAACTGTACATGCTGAACAAAAGACTTATTTTTTCCACTCAACCTTGCTGTTTTGAATTTCCTTGAACTTACTTCAAAATAAAGTTTGGGAAGAAGAAAACATTGTCTGTGTCACAGAAATGGTCCAAGATGGCTGGAGGAATCTACCTACTGAAGAGGGCTCCAATCACCCAAGGTGAGATAGGATGACTGTTTAATACATGTGGCAATAAAAACAAATAAAACACATATACACCATAAAAAAAAAGCCTTCGAGGACTTGGGTTCTACCTGCCAAACACATTTTCCCTATTAAATAAAGGTTGAATTTTTGTCAACAACCAATTGTTTGACAATATTGGGTGTGTTTTGCTCTGAGCCAATGCATGCTCTAGACACAGGTTTTCTCTACACACGTTGTCAGACTTCTGAGTTGAGGGATAGGAGAGTTTCCAGAAAGCATCTCGTAAATGTAAGTCAATAATCTATAATCAAACTATGAGGATTGATTGGTCATTCACTATGTACTCAGATTTAATCCTGTGGGAGAAATAAACAAGTTATTGAGACATGGTCCATGTATCAAATAACCAAGTGATTTTTTTTGTTAGTTATTGAGGGTGTTTTTAAATATATATTTTTATTTAATTTGAAGATCCAACATTCAAGTAGCTGGCTGAGTTTAAAAAAAAAAAAAAAAGCTTTTCTTCTGGATGTGTAGGGTAATGAAAAAACTTGTGAAGGTCTAGAAGAGGCCCCTCTTAAAGTTCTATAGCCAATTATAGCACCTTCTGCTATTTGTCCTTCCCCAAATCCTCTCATGGGTGCAATGTAGGCAAAGAGGGTTGGGTGTTTAGAAAGAGTATAGGAGACTTTGTGCTTAGTGTCTCAAATGTCTCACTATTACAAAGCGTTGACCATTTTGGGTTTTGCTTATTTGTTTGTTTTTTTGTTTTAGAAGGAGTACAAATTTCATAATATCTTGTCCCAGGAGCTTCTGTGTAGATGACATTCAGATCTTTGTTTCCTATTTTCACTTAATTATTTCAATAAAAAGGCATAATCACTCTCAAAATGTTTTTTTAATTTTTATGGGTACATAATAGGTGTATATATTTATAGGGTACATGAGATGTTTTGATACAAGTGTGCAACACATAATAATTACATCATGGAAAATGGGGTATCTATCACTGCAAGCATTTATCCTTTGTGTTACAAAAAAATTCAATTATACTCCTTTGGTTATTTTTGAATGTACAATTAAATTATTATTGACTATAGTCACCCTGTTGTGCTATCAAATGCTAGATCTTATTCAATCTATATTTTGGACCCATTAACCATTCCCACCACCCCCTTAACAACCCACTTCCCTTCCCAGGACTTGGTAACCTTCCTTCTACTCTCTAACTCTGTTAGTTCAGTTGTTTTGATTTTTAGGTTCCACAAATGAGTGAGAACTTCTGACGTTTGTCTTTCTGTGCTTGGCTTATTTCACTTAACAGAATAGCCTCCAGTTCCATCCATGTTGTTGCAAATGACAGGATCTCATTCTTTTTATGGCTGAATAGTATGTAAGTATCACATTTCTTTATCCATTCATCTGTTGATGGACACGTAGGTTGCTTCCAAATCTTGGCTATTGTGAACAATGTTGCAACAAACACAGGAGTGCAAATATCTGTTTTACATACTAATTTCCTTTCTTTGAGGTATACACCCAGCAGTGGGATTGCTTGTACATATGGTATTTTTAGTTTTTTGAGGGACCTCCAAACTGTTCTCCATAGTGATTCTACCAATTTACATTCCCACCAACAGTGTATGAGGATTCCTTTTCTCCACATTCTTACTAGAATTTGTTATTGCCTGTCTTTTGGATTCAAGCCATTTTAACTGGGAAGAGATGATATCTCATTGTAGTTTTGATGAGCATTTCTCTGATAATCAATGATATTGAACACCTTTTTATATGCCTGTTTGCTATTTGTATGTCTTCTTTTGAGAAATATCTATTCAAATACTTTGCCCATTTTTTATCAGATTATTAGACTTTTTTCCTATAAATTGAGTTCCTTATATATTCTGGTTATTAATCCCTTGTCAGATGTAGAGTTTGCAAATGTTTTCTCCCATTCTTTTGGTTGTCTCTTCACTTTATTGACTGTTTCCTTTGCTGTGCAGAAGCAGTTTAACTTGGTGTGATTCCATTTGTCCATTTTTGCTTTGGTTGCCTGTGCTTGTAGGGCATTACTCAATAAATTTTTGCTCAGGCCAGTGCCCTAGAGAGTTTCTTCAATGTTTTCCTTTAGTAGTTTCATAGTTTGAGGTCATAGATTTAAATCTTTAATCCATCCTGATTTAATTTTTGTACATGGTGAGGGCTAGGGGTCTAGTTTCATTCTTCTGCATATGGATATCCAGTTTTCTCAGCACCATTTCTTGAAGAGCCTGTCTTTTCCCCAGTGTATGTTCTTTGCACCTTTGTTGAAATGAGTTCAGTAGGTGTGTGGCTTTGTTTCTCTATTCTGTTTCATTGGTCTCTGTGTCTGTTTTTATGTCAGTACCATACTATTTTTGTTACTATAACTCTGGAAGATAATTTGAAGTCAGGTAATGTAATTCCTCCAGTTTTGTTCTTTTTGCTTAGGATAGCTTAGGCTGTTCTGAGTCTTTTTTGGTTCCATATAAATTTTAGGATTTTTTTTTCTATTTCTATAAAGAATGTCATTGGTATTTTGATAGGAATTAATTGGTTTGGGTAGTATGAACATCTTCACAATAATCATTCTTCCAATCCATGAACATGGAGTATTTTTCCATTTTGGGGTTTCCTCTTCAATTTCTTTCATCAGTATTTTATAGTTTTCATTATAGAGATCTTTTCACTTTGGTTAAGTTGATTCCTAGGTATTTAATTTTATCTGTGCCTAATGTTAATGGGATACTTTTAAAATTTCTTTTCCAAGATTGTTCACTGTTGACATATAGAAATGCTACTAATTTTTGTATGTTGATTTTGTATCCTGCAACTTTACTAAATTTGTTTATCAGTTCTAATAGTTTTTTGTAGTCCCCACATTTCTCCAAATATAACATAATATCATCTGCAAACAAAGATAAATTGAGTTCTTCTTTTCTAATTTGGATGCCCTTTATTTATTTCTCGTCTGATTGTTCCAGCTAGGACTTCCAGTACTGTGTTGAATAACAGTGGTGAAACTGGGCATTCTTGTTGTGTTCCAGATCTTACAGGAAAGCCTTTCAGGTTTTCCCCACTCAGTATGATACTAGCTGTGGGTGTATCATATATGCCTTTTATTATGTTGAAGTATATTCCTTCTATACCTAATTTTTTTGAGGGTTTTTATCATGAAGGGAGGTTAATTGTATCAAATGCTTTTTCAGCATCAATTGAAATGATCATATGGTTTTTGTCCTTCATTCTATTGGTAAGATGTATCACACTGATTGATTTGCATATGTGGAACCATCCTTGCATCCCAGGGATAAATCCCACTTGGTCATAATGAATGATCTTTTTAATGTATTGTTGAATTAGTTTGCTGGTATTTTGTTGAGGATTTTTGTATCAATATTCATCATAGATACTGGCCTGCAGGTTTCTTTTTTTCGATGTGTCTTTGTCTGGTTTTGGCATCAGGGTAATACTGGCCTCACAGAATGAGTTTGGAAGTATTCCCTCCTTCTCTATTTTTTGGAATAGTTTGAGTAGGATTGGTATTAGTTCTTCTTTAAATGTTTGGTAGAATTCAGCAGTGAAGGCCTTGGGTCCTGGGCTTTTCTTTATGGGAGACTTTTCATTATGGCTTAGGTCTCATTACTTGTTATTGGTCTGTTCAGGTTTTTTTATTTCTTCATGGTTCAATGTTGGTAGGTTATATGTGTCTAGGAATCTGTCCATTTCTTCCAGATTTTCCAATTTGTTGGCACATAGTTGCTCATTGCTACTGATGATCCTTTGAGTTTCTGCAGTATTCATTGTAATGTCTCCTCTTTCATCTCTGAATTTATTTATCTGGATGTTCTCTCTTTTTTTCTTAATTAGTCTGGCTAAAGGTTTGTCAATTTTGTTTAACCTTTCAAAAACACAACTTTTTGTTTCATTGATCTTCTGTGTTGTTTCCATTTCAATTTTATTTGTTTCTGCTATGATCTTTACTATTTGTTTTATTCTAAACAACACAAGATTAGGTTTGGTTTACTCTTCCTTTTCTAGTTCCTTAAGATGAATTGTTAGTTTTTTTTTATTATTATTTGAAGTTTTTCTTCTTTTTTCATGTAGGCACTTATAGCTCTAAACTTCCCTCTTAGTACTGCTTTTGCTGTCTCCCATAGGTTTTTGTATGTTGTGTTTTGATTATTTGTTTCAAGGAATTTTTCAATTTCTTTTTTAATTTCTTCATTGACCCACTGGTCATTCAGGAGCATATAGTTTATGCTTGTATTTGTATCGTTTCCAAAATTCTTCTCGTTATTAATTTCTGGTTTTGTTTCATTGTCATCAGAGAAATGCTTGATATTATTTTAATTTTTTGAATAATTTAAGAATTGTTTTGTGACTCAACATGTGGGCTATCCTTGAGAATGATTTAAGTGTTAGGAAAAGAATATATATTCTGCAGCCATTGGATGAAATGTTCTGTAAATATCTATTAGATTCATTTGGTCTATGGCACAGATTAAGTCTGATATTTCTTTGTTGATTTTCTGTCTGGAAAATCTATCCAATACTAAAAGTAGGGTGTTAAAGTCTCCAGCTATTATTGTATTGGGGTCTGTCTCTCTCTAATAATATTTGCTTTATATATCTGGATGCTCCAGTGTTGGGTGTATATACATTTAAAATTGTTATATCCTTTTGCTGAATTGACCCCTTTATCACCACATAGTTTCCTGTTACCTCAGTTGTTGTCTTGAAATCTATTCTGTCTGATATAAGTATAGCTATTCCTTCTCTTTTTTGGTTTCCTTTGGCATGGAATATCTTTTTCTACCCCTTTACTTTCAGTCTATGTGTGTCTTTATAGATGAAGTATATTTCCGGTAGGCAAAAGATTACTGAGTATTGATTTTTTTTTTTTTTTTTTTTTTTTTTGAGACGGAGTCTTGCTCTGTCACCAGGCTGGAGTGCAGTGGCGTGATCTTGGCTAACTGCAACCTCTGCCTCCCAGGTTCAAGGGATCTCATGCCTCAGCCTCCCAAGTAGCTGGTATTACAGGCATGCGCCACCACACCCAGCTAATTTTTGTACTTTTAGTAGAGACGGGGTTTCACCATGTTGGCCAGGATGGTCTCGATCTCCTGACCTCGTGATCTGCCCATCTCCACCTCCCAAAGTGCTGGGAATACAGGTGTAAGACACCATGCCCAGCCTGTTTTTTGTTGTTTTTTTTTTTGTTTCTTTTTTTGTAGTTGTTTGTTTGTTTGCTTGTTTTTACCTATTCAGCCAGTCTATGTCTTTTGATTGGAAAGCTTAGTCCATTTACATTCAATGTTATTATTATAAATAAGGTCTTACTCCTGGCATCTTGTTATTTGTTTTCTGGTCTTCTCTTCTTTCTTTCCTTCCTGTCTTCCTTTTACTGAAGATGACTTTCTCTGATAATATGTTTTAGTTTCTTGCTTTTTATTTTTTGTGTACCTGTCATATGTTTTTGGATTGAGGTTACTATGAGGCTTGCAAATACTATCTTATAATCTATTATTTTCAGCCAATAACAACTTAGCACTGTTTACATAAACAAACAAGCAAGCAAAAAGAAAATGAATAAACACTCTGCCTTAACTTCCTATCACTTTTTAACTTTGTGTTGTTTCTATTCATATCTTATTGTACTGCCTATGTCTTGAAAAGTTGTTGTAGCTATTATTTTTGATTGGTTCATCATTTAGTCTTTTTCCTTAAGATAAGAGTAGTTTACATATAACAGTACAGTATGATAATGTTCTGTGTTTTCTGTGTATCTACTACTAAGAGTGAATTTTGTACCTTTGGATGATTTCTTCTTACTCATTAACATTCTTTTCTTTCTGATTAAAGTACTCCCTTAGCATTTCTTACAGGACAGGTCTGGTGTTAATGTAATCCCTCAGCTTTTGTTGGTCTGGAAAGATCTTAATTCTTCTTCATGTTTGAAGGCTATTTCTGCTGACTATACTATTCTAGGATAAAAGTTTTTTTTTCCTTCAGCACTTTAAATATGTCATCCCACTCTCTCCTGGCCTGTAAGGTTTCCACTGAAAAATTTGCTGCCAGACATATTAGAGCTCCATTGTATGTGTTTGGTTTATTTTCTCTTGCTGCTTTTAGGATCTTTTCTTTATTCTTGACCTTTGGGAGTTTGATTATGAAATGCCTTTAGGTAGTCTTCTTTGGGTTAAATCCGCTTAGTGTTCTATAACCTTCTTGTACTTGCATATCGATATCTTTAGGTTTGGAAAGTTCTCTATTATTATCTATTTGAATAAATTTTTTATCCCTATCTCTTTCTCTACCTCCTCTTTAAGGTCAATTACCTTAGATTTGCCATTTGAGACTATTTTCTAGATCCTACAGACATGTTTCATTGGTTTTTTCTTTTTTCTTTTGTCTCGTCTGTGTAGTTTCAAAAGCCTGTCTTCAAGCTTACTAATTATTTCTTCTGCTATCAACAGACTCTGATGCATTCTTCAGTTTGTCAATTGCATTTTTCAGCTCCAGAATTTCTGCTTGATTCTTTTAAATTATTTTAATCTATTTGTTAAATTTATCTGATAGGATTCAGAATTCCTTCTCTGTTATCTTCAATTTCTTTGAGTTTCCTCAAAACAGCTATTTTGAGTTCTCTGTCTGAAAGGTCACCTACTTCTGTTTCTCCAGAATTGATCCTTGGTGCCTTATTTAGTTACTTTCTTAAAGTCATGTTTTCTTGGGCAGCCTTGACATTGTAGATGAGCGTATGAGTCTTGGCATTGAAGAGTTAGGTATTTATTGTAGTCTTTGCAGTTTGGGCTTGTTTGTATTCATCCTTCCTGGGAAGGCTTTCCAGATACTCAAAAAAAAAAAAAAAAAACTTAGTTGTTGTGATCTAAGCTGTATCTACTTTAGGCACCCCAAGCTAGCAATGCTCTGGTTCCTGTAGACTCATAGAGTCTTGAACATGATCCAGAATTCTCTGGATTACCAGACAGAGAATCTTGTTCTCTTGCTTTACATTCTCCCAAAGTCTCTCTGTTCTGAGCCACCTAGAGCTGGGGGTGGAGTGACACAAGCACTCCTTTGGCCACCAGCACTAGGATTGTGCTGAGTCAGATCTAAAGCCAGCACAGCACTGAATATCACCCAAGGTTTTCTATAACCACTCCCTGGCTACCGTCCATGTTTTCTCAAGGCCCTGGGGCTCCAAAATCAGTAGATGGCAAAGCCAGCCATGCCTGTGTCCTTCCCTTCAGGGTGGCAAGCTTCCCAGTCTCCAGACAGGTCCAGAGGTGCTGTCCAGAAGCAAGGGACTACGGTCAAAAACCTTAGAAGTCTACCTGGTGTTCTATTGTACTGCAGCTGAGCTGACACTCAAACCACAAGATGCAGTCCTTCCCACTCTCCCCTACACTTTCCAAAGGCAGAGAAGCCTCCCCCGTGGCCACTGCCACCACAAGCCCACAGTGAGTACTGCCAGACTGCCACCAATGTACCCTTAAGGCCCAAGGGCTCTTCAGTCAGTTTATGTTGAATGCTGCCTGGTCTGGGACTCACCCTTCAGGGCAGTGAGCTCCCCTCTGGCCCAAAGCAGGTTCAGAAATACCATCCAAGAGCCAAATGCTGGGATTGGGGACCCCAAAAGCCCACTTGGTGCTCCACCCCACTGTGGCCAGAGCTGGTACCTAAGGTGCAAGACAAAGTCACCTGTACATTTCTCTCCACTTTTCTCAAGCAGAAAGATCCTTGCCCCACAGCCACCACAGCTGAGAATGTGCTGAGTCTCACCTGAAGCCAGCAAGTCTCAGCGTATCACCAAGGCCCACAGTGTTTTGGATTGTTTACCCGGTTATGGATGCTGGTTATTTAAGGTCCAATGGCTTTTCAAGTTAGCAGGACTGCCAGGACTGGGTTCTTCTTTTCAGGGCAACAGGTTCCCTTTTAGCCCATGGTGTGTCTAGAAATGTCATCCATGAGCTAGGGCCTCACACCTCTAATGGGTTCCCTATCCTGCTGTGGTTGAGCTGGTATCCAAGATGTAAGACAAAGTCCTCCTCACTCTTCCCTGTTCTCTCCTCAAGCAGAATGAAGGGGTCTCTTTTGGAGCTGCGATCTGTGAAGCCTGTGGTTAGGGGAGGAGTGATGCCAGCACTTCCTTAACCACCCCAACTGATGTCTCAGTAGGTCTAATTCCCCCCACAGCGCGCTGGCTCTGGGCCCATTTCAGCATTAGGACTCACCTAGCAGTTGCAGTTCTTGTGGCCCAGGCTGCCTTTGAAATTTATTTGAGGCCCCAGAGCACTTTAGCCCACAGTGGCAAGGCTTATGGGAACTTATGTTCCCATGCTGGGATTGGCAATTACTCTCAGTCTTGGGCTGGTTTAAATGCCCCCTCCATGGCTGGGTGTCATGTGAGTTTGGCCTGTTTTTTACCTTCTACTTGAACAAGGCAGCACTGAGTCAATGTCTCATAATTACTCCACTCTTCCTTTCCCCAGAGCATAGAAATGCTTCACACCATGCCACCACTGCAAGTGGTTTAAGGAGGGGTGGCATTGGTGATTCAGGACTGTTTCTCCTGCCTCTTCTGTGCCTCTTTCAGTGATACAAAGTTAAAACCAGGTACTGTGAGTGCTCACATGATTATTGGAGCTTATGAAGGTGCTTTTGTGTGTGTATAGATAGTTCTTAAATTGGTGTCCTTGTTGGAGGGACAATTAGTGGAGCCCTCCAGTCCACCATCTTGCTTCTGAAGAATTATCTCTAAATGTTGATGAATGTAGTCATCTTTGGGAGAAATGAGTTTGTTTTGAGAATGTTTATGTGAGGTGAATAGTTACTAGTATTTTCCAGTCATTAATTAAAATAAAAAATAAATAAAATTAAAAATTTAAATATTTTCCAAAACAAGAAACTGAATATAAAGTTTCTAAAAATATGATTAGTTTATTTAGCATTCAACAAATATATATTGGAGCCTACAATGCAAAAGATACTGCCTCGGATGCCATGCAAGATTCTAAGAAAGCCTACAGTACACTCTTTCCCTTCAAATATTTTATAAACTGGAAGAGATAGAAGTAGGATAATTAGGCTACCAAAATATGCAATATTAAGCAGACAATGATCAGGGTAAAAAAGCAGGCACAAACTAAGTTTTATAGGGTTTCAGAGAAGGAATTGATTCCACTGCATTTGAGCAAAAGTGCTCTTGGGGGAGCTAGGTAAAGGAAAGAATATAAACAAAGGGGCAGAAATTGGAAATTACTGGGAAATTTTGAGCCATCACATTTGATTAGAAAATAGATTAATTTTAGGGAAGTCCTGAGAATTGAGCCTTGAAAGATCTTTAAGACCTTAAATGCCATTTTAAAGGTTAGCTTAATTTAGCAGAGAGGTGAGACCAGCAAAGACTCATCAGGCTTTAAGAAGATCAATTTGCTGAAGTGGGTGGATCATTTGAGGTCAGGAGTTCGAGACCAGCCTGGCCAACATAATGAAGCCCCATCTTTACTAAAAATATAAAAAATTAGCCGGGCATGGTGGCGGGTGCCTGTAATCCCAGCTAATTGGGAGGCTGAGGCAGGAGAATTGCTTGAACCTGGCAGAAGTTGCAGTGAGCCAAGATTGCGCCACTGCACTCCAGCCTGGGTGACAGAGCGAGACTCTGTCTCAGAAAAAATTTTTCAAAGAAGATCAGTTTGTCTGAGTGTGTTAGATAATTGGAAAAGGAGAAAACAAAATCAAGGAAACAGTCACCAAACAGGCTAGTGCAAGCATCCAAGCAGAAAGATAAACTATGCATTCAGGTGAGAGCAACTGCAGTGGAAAGCAGGGAGTAGAGCCAAGAGCCAGTGCAGAAAACAACCAAACAGAAAAAGTGAGTTAAATAAATAGAGTGATGCAATGCAGAAGCAAATATTTTTAGTTTGCCTGACTCAGGTAACGTTTATACCATTTACAAAAGTAAAGAGGCTGAAAAGGCTGAGTCTGTTTCAAGAAGAGGGGAATGATTTGGGTATTGAACACTCTGGGTTAAGATGCCAGCAGTATACCAAAGGAAAAATCCAGCAGGTAGAATTGAGGGACTATGATCCAGGAGGCAAGAGACCTCTGGAGGCAAGGATTTGGGAGTCATTTCTGTAGAGGTAAGGGGTAGTCACCAAAACCATGGCAGTGCATGAGACAAGGGGAGGGGAGAGTGGAGTAAAGGCAAAAAAGGGAGGAGAGGAGAAGAATCTCAGGAATGCCAAGGAGGCATCATTTAGGAAACTTGAGAAAAACTATCCCTGGTTGAAAGAGAACTACTACTGTAGTGTAGCAGAAAGCATTCATTTCAAGAAGCAAGGGGATGTCAGCAGTGTCCTATGCCCTGTAGTGAGGGAAGGGTGAGAATAAGACTGAGAAAGAAAGAAAAAACTGACTTGGATGGTTTGAGAGTCATCAATGGTAAAATCATTACACCACCAATTATGTTTCAATATTGCAATTTGACCAGAAGTAAGATCCCAATCAGAATTGCAATCTGCAGATTGGAAAGAGATGAGGTGAGAAAGAGGAGCTAGTCAGTGCAGGCTGCTAATTTAACAATTCTAAAAGGAAGGAAAAGAAAGGTAGGGTGCACATTGAGAGGGCATTGTGTGGGAAAGACTGAGGGTCCTTCTTACAGAAAGGGTGAGACTGAAATTACTCAAGAGGAGATCACTGAGTGATATTTGATCATGAGCCCAGGTCAGGGCCTTCAATTTGAAAAGGAGAACAAACCTTCCCCAGATGCCAAAGGAAAGGAAGTGAGTGAAGAACAAAGGAACATTTTGAGACGGAGGGGAATAGTGAGCAGGGAAGATGGATGTTTCCAATGCAGAGGGGGAGCTGGTGGCATTTTAGAGAACTAGGTGGGGAGGGTGAGTCTGAAGATTTGAGAATCATGGAGAAGCTTTAAAACAACCCCTAGGCTGGTGTCAGAGGACACAATAAGAGTAACAAGTAAGGAAGTAAAAGGCTGGTAAGCAGCAGCATAGTTGATTCTGTGTGTGTGTGTGTGTGTGTGTGTGTGTGTGTGTGTGTGTGTGTGTGTGTGTCTGCCTGTCTGTCTCTCTCTCTCTCTCTCTCTCTCTCTCTCTCTCTCTCTCTCTCTCTCTATCTATCTGCCTGTCTGTCTCTTTCTGGACTCCTGGACTCTCAGGATCCTGTGGGCCTTGACTTTCAGATTGGTGACTACTCCCAGCCAGACTTCAAAGATGCAGAGTTGGAACTCCAAGGTTGGCAATTCCAGGCAGTAAGACCATGCCACCTGAGATTGCTGGGAGAGGCTTTTCCAGGCCCCTCCTGCAAGAAAACAGACACCAAAGAACAAGGTAAAGAAGTATGGAAAAACAGGGTTGGACCCTATCCATCTTTTTACTAGTCACTGCACTAAAATGTCAGAATCAGGGAAATGCCTGACCTCGTTTCTTGGGAAGAATGAGGCACATATCAAAATACATAAATCCTAAAAAGCTCGTTGTGAAGGGCAGAGTCCTAATAATTTGTATTTTGATAGCTTTTAAATATTTTTCAAATGGGTGTTTCCAGGAGTAAGGTAAATAGTCCCATTTTTGTGGGGCTTCTGATTAAATTCCAAACATATCAATGTTCTGGGGTGTGTCCAGTGACTCTGATACCTCTCAGCAGGTTTGCCAAGAAAGTGCAAATGTGAGTCTCAGGGAAACAAGGAAACCATTCTCCCAGTAGCAAGTTGCAGGGCTGTGCAAGGGAGAAATGTGCAGACTTTTGTCTCCCCTGTGAAGAAGAGATTAGAATTAGAATGGAATAAATTGTCGATGTGAGCAAGAGCTGTTACTATGTAACAATAACACTTTGTGTTCCATTCAAAGAACTGCAAGCCCTTTGACATGCCCTGAGCTCTTACTTTCTCTCTGGACTCCAAGAAGGGACTTGCTAAGCGCATCCCAGGTCCAGAGAGAATCTGCCCGCACCCCCCACCCCCGCCCCCCGCCCCCTCGCCACGACCAACTTACTGTGCCTCACTCTTTGCTCCTTCTTCACCAGTTACTCTCCTTCTGTTCCTTTTTGCCCACCTCTGCTCAGCCTCCAACACCAAACAGTCCATTTTTGCCTGGAGGAGGAAACAAGACTGTATTGAGCACACAAAAAGACATTTGCTTATTGAGATTGTAATGAGATCCTCAAAAAAGTTGTATAGACAAGTGATAGTCAAAATATTTAACAACACATTCGACACGGTCATCAGCCACCCAGAAACTACAGAAGTTTTACTGAAGCAGAGTGGATTCACCCACTGTGACGGGCATTACTTCTTATTTGCTGGACTGTGGAAAGTTCCCAGGACAGGGTAGGGCATGAGTGCCCAGAGTAGCAGGAATAGGAGATACTTGAGTGGCAGTAACTTTTACCAGCTGGGACAGAAGTATTTCAATGTTTCACCAACCAGTACTGCTGAATCTTAGCCATGACTTATGTCCATATAATAGATAAAAATTGGGCCATGGAGGTGTTAAATAACTCATCCAAAGCCACCCATTGAGTGCTAGGATTGGGACCCAGTGACTCTACTGTGAGGCCTTTTCCACACTCCCCACCTCACTGGCTCAGTACCTCTTCTCCCTCATCTGTCTCTTTCTGCTTAGAGATGAGAATATGTAGTAGTCTGGAGAGGGCATGCAAGGGCACCTGAAGACCCTCTCCCAGGAAAACTCTAAAGGTGTGTCTGTTAACTCTCTGCTGTGGTCCCACTAAAAGTATTCTCCGTAGTAGCAAGGTTAGGGGAGAAGATTGAGAAGAAAGCCTATTATTTCCTCTTTTCCCCCTAATGAGGCAAGAACCTTGTTTCTTTTGTTCCTCATGATGTTGTCAGAGTACAGCACATGATTGATTCCTAATACAATTTTGTCAAATGAATGAGTGAGTGAGTGAATGAGTGAGTGAGTAAAAAGGTATTTCTTCCACTTCTATAGTACCTTATATTTCTGCAAAGTGCCTTTATACTTTATCTCATTGGACCCTCAAGGAGTGTTTAGAAACATTTTTATTTCAGTTTACTAATAAAGAAGCTCGGATGCAGAGAGGAACACTAATTATCACAATACTAACTGGGGTGGAGCCAGGATTGCGACTTGCCAGCTCCCTGTCCAGGGCCCTTTCTCCCACATTGCAGTATCCCCTAAATATGAATAAAAGTTAATATAATTGGAAAAATGAGGTTACTTGTAATTTACAGCCTGTAATATACTTAGTGATGAGCAATGGCAAACAGGAGAACTGGATCTTCTTCTGTCTCCCGTTTACCACCCCAACCCCACCGCAAGTCACCAGACCCAAGCCAGTCCCTCACTCCCTCCAGGGCTCAACCTTGTGACCCTTGGGTAGCATCTGACTTCACCTCTTTGTGATTTTTTACTGAATTTCCACAGGAAATTATGTTTTGTGAACTATGCCAGCTGGCATAGCCCTCCCTTGCACAGCACCCTCACTAAGTTCAAATATGACACTTAATGGAAAGAAAAGACTGCATCCATCTACCTAACTAGGGAAAATATCTACTCATCAACTCCCTCCATGAAGCCTTTAGAGGATAAGGGAATTGAGTGGCTTCATACAGTTGCCTTCCTCTTTGTTCTCTTTTTATCTAATACAGAAGTTTTCAAAGTGTGGTTTCTGTACCAGAAGCATTGGCATCACCTGGGAACTTGTTAGAAATGCAAATTCTAGGCTGGGCGCAGTGGCTCACGCCTGTAATCCCAACACTTTGGGAGGCCGAGGCAGGCAGATCACGAGGTCAAGAGTTCAAGACCGGCCTGACTAACATGGTGAAACCTCACCTCTACTAAAAATACAAAAATTAGCCAGGTGTGGTGGTGCACACCTGTAATCCCAGCTACTCAGGAGGCTGAGGCAGGAGAATTGCTTGAACCCCGGAGGCAGAGGTTGCAGTGAACTGAGATAGTGCTACTGCACTCCAGCCTGGGTGACAGAGTGAGACTCCATCTCAAAAAAAAAAAATAAATAAATAAAGAAATGCGAGTTCCAGTGTCCCAGACCCACAAGAATTAGAGGTTCTGGGGGTGAGGTCCAGGGATTTGTGTTTTAAAAGCCCTGTCGGTGATTCTGGTGCATGCCAAAGTTTGAGTACTACTATTTTCTTATGTCCTGTTTTTTTCCTATCTAAGCCAGGGAATCACTTACTTTCTGTTCCCAGAGGTCTTTGGTGGACCCCTCTGCTCACTCAGTGCTCTAACCCTTCTTCTTTCCACATGAAAGCCTGTACTATGGTTCTGTTAATGACAATTTTAATTTACCTCCATGAAGTAAGGGCTGGAATAGATGATCTGGTGAGATTTTTTGAAATCTAGAAGCTCTGATTCTTCAGGGGAGCCATATCAAAGCAGATGGCTTAAGGAGGGCAAAGGAGGACTTCTGCCTTGTGAGTTTCCTTTTGCTGTAGGCCCCAGGACTGGAGTGAAGTGAGGACACAGGCCAGTTGCCAACTATGGTTACGGCCCCAGGAGATCTTTGATGTTCTCCCCTTGCTGTCTAGGTCCCTGTTTTCAAGAATTTATCAGAATGACCCAGACTTAGTAAATCTGTTCTATGTACCTTGGACAAAATAACTGCTGAGTCAATCCTGTAAGGAGTCTTGGATTGCCAGCCTAAAAACCTGTTTATAGTTGACTTCCTCTGGCAAACTGCTATGAGATGCAAAAAAACAGCATCATCAGTTTGGCACATACTGGACCATTCTCAGCATTTGCATTAGGTAGGTAGTCAGTGCAAGAACAGATCACAAATATATTTTAAAAATCCAATTCCTGCCTCTCTGTCTCCCTCCCCTCTTGCCCCTTCTATATTTTCCAAAATCCCTACCCCTGAAAAGATGACTTGAAGACTCAACAGGAGGATGATTTTTCCACATTCTGAAATTCTGACAATTAAGAAAGAAAGATCCTAATCTCTGTTCAGTTGCCAGGCTCTGATATGCTTTTCCTGTTTAAGCATTCATAATCTACCACTCATTGATACATCTTGCCAACTACAAAAACTACTTAACTCCTGACCTTTGTAAACTTTCCTCCCTCACAAGGTTCTTCAAGTTATGAAAGCACAGTAAGTGGATGGAGATGATTGGGTAGGATAAGACAAAAATGTTAGTCTCCACTGAAGATAACAGGCAAAGGTCCTAGAATTAAAGTTATGAGACATGAGTTCTAACCAGGCCTTTGCCTCTGGTGACATCCTGAGATATTGGGGCAGGTTACTTCCCCATTGTGGGTCACTGCGAAACAAGGGGCTTCAGCAAAGCAGATCTCTAAGCTGTTTTCCAACTCTGATATGGTGACTAAGCAGGTATGACATAGATATGTCCTGTTTAGGAGTGTCAGTGTCCTTATCTGAAAACCCAGGTTTGGTGATAGCAGGTAGACTTCAACTTTTTGCCAATTGGTTTTCGCTGAGAGGAATGTGGGAAAGGGTGTAATGGTTGACTAACAGGTCTGCCATAGATGTGATAGGAAGAAATTCCCAGAGTTTTGTGTGTTTCTTTCATAGTTCTTTCGCCCTAGCAATAGTTGTATGTATCTGTTTAGTGTATTTTAGCTGCCTAAAATATAAGTGCCATCCCGTCATAGAGCCCTGTGCCTGACACAGAGCCTATTAGCTGATAGGTGCTCAATATTTTTTGAATAAATGAATGAGTCTAAATAGCTTAAGGACCGTATCTTGAGCATTTGGCCAACAGCAGGACAAGGCTCCACTAGTACTGGACTCACATAGTTAGAATAACCTCATTCCATTTGTCCTTTAAGGGTCCTTGCCAAACCTGATTCTTATTTCCTCTAAGACTGACCTCAGACCTTCAACTTCATAGGGGAAAGGGCAGTGGTGGTAGGAGGAGGAATTTTCCTGGGATTCAATGAATACCTCTTTTTGATACTGCTTCTTTATAGTATTCACTGAGAGTTTGAATAGGGGGTAAGTAGCTTGAGAAAACGGGTTCTGACTTTCCAACCACCAGGTGAATTTTCATTGACGTAAAGACCCCATTCTCCTCCCTTTTAGTCTTCATTTATGTTGGAGGGTTCATACTGTTATAGTTGGGTATTAGGCTTTACGTAAGGTTGGGAGGAAAGAAGGCTTTCTTGGTGAGCTTGGCTCTGTGGCTTGGCAGTCGCACAATTAAATGACTTTATTCCCAAAACAGATGTTCAAGTTGTTTTAATAATATCTTATGATCCCTCCTCTAAATAAAACAAAAAATCACTCCATCAGAAAGTTCTTCAGGATTAGAAGTTCAAACTCTGCTGTCTGATTTTACCCACCAGAGGGTAGCACCAAGATGAATTTGGAATAAATCCCTGAGAAAACTCAGACATGGTTTGGGATGATTTGTTCTGGATTCTGTGTGAAAGTACCTGAGGCCACCAAGATATGTCTCTAAATGCCTCATAAAGTTTCTGGGAAGACACTGGTCTCCACTTGTTCCTAGGAATAGTGTTGAGACATTGAGTAAATCCTTATAAAGTGGCATGGATTCATATTCTCCATGAACAATCAGTTTACCCAGAAGTTTATTGTGAGCCCTTCCACTGTATGTGAAGTTTGGATTCAATGATTATTGAGGTCTCTTTAACTCAATCATTCTAAGACTTCTTGTAAGAATAATGTATTGACTTTTCCAGACTTGTCCAAATCTGCATTTAATTGGCCTGCAATAAGAAGTGGCTATTGACTTGAGGTATATCCTGGAGAGTCAAAGGATGACACATTTGGTCATATCCTAGAGAGTCAAATGATGACACTTTTGGTCATATATTAGAAAGTCAAAGGATGACACATTTGCGCATATCCTAGAGAGTCCAACGATGACACATTTGATCATATCCTAGAGAGTCAAAGGATGTCAAATGTGTCATCCTTTGACTCTCTAAACTATACCCTGAGTTCATATGAACTTGGTAGGATTGGGGGCTTTCTCTGAGGCCCAGGGACCCTTCTGTTTAGCTTTACATTTTCCCATAACACTCTGTATAATTTTCTCAAATTTTTGACAATTCTGGTTAATGTATCTAGACCCCCCAGTAGTAGACTGTAAGCCTCTTATGAACAAGAACCGTGTATATTTTTTTTCACCTTGGTATTCCCAGTCCACAGAAGAATGCTTAACATAAACAGGTCCTCTCTTAATAAGTATCTATTGAAAGAATGAATAAATGACTAGATGTAATAAGTGAATAAACATTCTTTCCATCAGGCTCTTGAAAAATGGGAAGTAAATTACACATCCCCAAAAATTAACTAATTAAACAAACTATTTATTCAGCACTGGGTGCTAGGCACTATGAGTGGAAAAGTTTCTGATCTTAAGGAACTCAGACTCATGGGAGCAGCAGACAAGAAACTGGATGATTACAGTTGAGGTCACATGAAAAAGGAGAACAAAAGGTTTTATAGAATTACAGAAAGCAATATCTGGCTTCTTCTGGAAAAGATTAGGGACAACTTCTCAAAGAGGATGATGCCCAGTCCTGAAGAGTAAATGAGGGAAACTCAGTGCAAGGAATGTCTCCTTCAAGCAAAAGATCCTCAACACAAAGGGTGAAACTTGTTTATCCCTCCACGTGCATAAATCTCCTATAGGGCCAATAGTCAAAGAGAGGATACAATATAGCACAGAAGTTAAGAATACAGTCCCTGGACCGGGCGCAGTGGCTCATGCCTGTAATCCCAGCACTTTGGGAGGCCGAGGCAGGCGGATCACTAGGTCAGGAGATCAAGACGAGCGTGGCCAATACGGTGAAACCCCATCTACTAAAAATACAAAAATTAGCTGGGTGTGGTGGCACACAGCTGTAATCCCAGCTACTCAGGAGGCTGAGGCAGGAGAATTGCTTGAACCCAGGAGGTGGAGGTTGCAGTGAGCGAAGATAGAGCCACTGCACTCCAACCTGGGTTACAGAGTGAGACTCTGTCTCAAAAAAATAAAAAACAAAAATTACAGCCCCTGAAGGTAGATTCCCTAGGCAGGAATTCTGCTTCTATCCTGCCTATAAGCTTGTGTGACCTTAAGCAAGTTAATTAAACTCTTTACATCTCCATTCTTTATTTCAGAACTAAAATAATAGTACTGATAACCTCATGGGATTGCATGAGGAAGAAATAAAATGAAACATGAAAAGCACTCAGAATAGACCTTAACAAAAGGAAAGACTCAATAAATATTAATTATTATTATAATCATTGTTACTACTGTTGAGTACTTCCTGGATGTGACATGTTGAGGGCATGGTTTGGGGACAATAAGAGATGGAACAGATGAGTTAGTGAGGGACCACACTGATTTGATTTGAAACAACAATAACAACTGTATCAACCCTATCTAAATAATGACCACTAATTTTGGTGCACCCACTGATCTTCCGTGGGATTGTTCTCATATTATTAATTGTTTGAAGAATGAAATTAAAAATCCATGGGTCTTACCATATTACATTCAAACCTGCCTCCTCGGTTCCTAGAACAGATTGGGAAATTAAATCATCCACATCATCGTCATCATCACCATCATCATATTTATAAATATGTGAAGAGCAATCTACCTTTCCAAATTAAATGTTCATTGTCAAATTTGTTTTAAAAACCTTTACTAAGCACCTTCCGTGTGCATGGGAGTCAGAGATGACTATGACATGACTCCTGCCTGCACGGCTCAGAGCCTTATAAAATAGGCAGATATATGCACAGAAAATTAGACTATAATAAGTGTGATAACTGCCACAGGAGAAGTACGCGCAAAAGCACAGAGAAGCAAGAGATAAAGCATAGAGAAAGAGCAACATGTCTGCCTAGGAGTCAGGAAAGTCTCCACAGGCAATAAATAAGAATATGGTGAACAAAGATAGGAAAGTCAAGGACTCTCAGATTCAACCTGATATACCTTCTACGCTTATTAAAGTACCTTGTACACAATGGAGCTCAATAAATAGCTATAAAAGTGTTGAATGGATGAATAGAGAAGCTAGTTTTTCACATCACTCCCTTCTTTTCTACCCCTCCCAACTACATCTTCCCACACACTCTCTTCTACCCCAAGGGGAACCTCCATTTCATTACTCATCCCTTGCACTGCCTAGCCTTTTGTAAACCTCTCAAAAGCCTTCTCTATGATTGCCTAACAAACACAGGTGTCCTGGTTAAAGCTTACAACATTTAAATCATGAGGAAAGACTGACACAAATGAGTATTTCTTGCTAATTTTCCACTGGAGAATGTGAAGTGCTGAATCAGAGAAGAACAGTGTGTGCTATGTGGTCACATAATGACCATGCCATGTCCCACCTGGCCTTTCCCCCTGAACAACCCAGCAGAATGTCAGGTCTGGTGAATTTCACATCTATGTACACAGACACCAAGCACAAGTTCCCACTAGTGCCAAGAGGGCTGAACATGACATGCCCTGTGTCTCCTCACCACTGTATCAGAAGGAAAGGAGATCTTATAGGAATCTAGGGAAATGGGACCCCTAAACCATTCCACAGCTGCAAGCAATGCTGTGCTTCACTCAGGGCCAGCCCCTGCATCTTGTTCAATCCATCTTTCTACTCTGCACCAGCCCCACTTCTGCTCTATCCCTTGGGCACCCAGATTTTATTCTCAGTACTAGACAGCCAACAGTCTAAAACGTCTTCCAAATAAAATCACATTTCCTTCTCTTTTCATCCCCAGGGCATGGTGTGTCCAAACCATGTGCAAACTTCACTCCTCATAAGTCACTTGTCTAATTGACAGAAGAGGGGGTTTTGTTTAGAGACTGACAAAATTCAAAAATTCATGTGACCCATATTCTCCAAATTCCTTGATGGTCTATTGTTTCCCAGGAACTTTGCAACTCCCACAGGCTAGAGAAGGGTCAAGTGACCGCACCCCAATTCTCTCCCCATTTCTCTAGTCTGAGAAGATGAGAAGTTCATCTGGGATTTACAGTGAAGTGTAATTTGTGTGGCCTCCTTGCATGAGGATGTGATGAAGTATTTGGATGCAGAGCTTTTTCTTATCTATAGATTGCACACAGTGCAATACAGAGAACTCTCCATGTTTTGAAAGAAAGAAAGAGAGAAAAGAAGGAAGAAAGAAAGAGAAAGAAAGGAAGGAAGGAGGGAGAGGGAGAGAGAAAGAAGGAGGGAGAGAGGAAGAGAGAAAGGAAAGAGAGAAAGAGAAAGGAAAGAGAGAAAGAAAGAGAAAGAAAGAAAGAGAAAGAAAGAATGAAGGGAGGGAGGGAGGGAAGGAAGGAAGGGAGAAAGGAAGGAGAAAAAGAATGAGAGGGAAGGATGGAAGGAAAAAGGGGGACTTTCAAATATTTGAGGAAGCATTCTAGAAAGTTCTAGGGGGACTAGAAAGTGGTAAGATTACAGAGAGAGAGAGAAATGCAGAGAGTAAGAGAATTGAAGCAGAAGGAAAAACAGGAGGATGAAAACAATAATAACAGGAGGCTCATATCCGGAAGTTTCTTCCTTTCAGCCGATCTGCCACTTAAATGCAATTCTAAGCTCAGAGAAGAGGTAGTCAATATCTGTGCACTGACTTCTGTAGGGTCTCAGAATACCATGGAGTAAATGGGTATCTAAGAAGAGGGTGACATCATGTTTCAGGGAGAGCCCTTCTTTATAATCAGAACCTGTGGGTTGTGGTCTCTGTTCTGCTGACAAAGCAAATGATCTCAGGCATGTCTCCATCCGTCTGGCCTCAGGTGTACTGTATCCTAGTCCAAGTGCAACCCCATCTAACAACCTTCCCTGTGACCACTGCAGTCCCTATCACCATAATCTCTCTCCTGGGGAAATGCAACAGGATCACAAAGAACTGAAAAGATTATCTGGCCCAGGCTCCCCAGACTTGGGCATATATTAGAATCATCTAAGTAGCTTTTAAAACTACAAAGTGCTGGGCTCCGCTGCAGCCCCAGTAAATGGGCACTGCTGGAGGGTGGTCCTGGCTACTGTATTTTTTAAAAGCCCTCTAGGTAATTCTAATGTGCCTATCAGGACCGAGAACCAACTGTTCTAGACCAATCACTGGGAAACAATTTATTGATGTATTCAAAGCTATTCTTGAGTGCCTACAGGATAGCAGGAACTGTTCTGTGCATTTAGCAGTGACCATGACAAAGTGCTATGCCCTTTTATGTTTGACTGGAGGAATACAGACATACATAAAGTAAAGAAGTCAACCGCAGAGTTATAGATAGTGGTATGTTCTTTACAGAATATAAGACATGAGGATGTAATAGAAAGTAACTGGAGGAGTGCTAGGGTGGTCAGAGAAGGTTGCTTTAAGGAGTTAACCTCGGAGCTGTGAACTAAATGACAGAAGAATCCTCCAAGGAAGTCTGGATAAAAAGCATTCCCAGGCAGTGGAGCAGCAAGTGTAAAGGTCCTGTGTGCTTGACTAAGAAACTGAAATGTCAGCATGGCTGGAGCAGTCTCTCAGTAAAACAGGGATAGTGACACCTGCCCCAAAATTATCATATTGTTATCTTTTAAATATGTGTGAAGTACTAGGAAACATTTGCAAAAGAAAAGCCCAATATAAATGCAAGAGGTGTCTTGTTTCATTGTTATCACACCTTTCTAATGTACTTCAGTGGCTCAGACATCCAATGACATAGCCCTGTGACAGCCCACTAACAGCTGTGGTGTCCAAACACTGCACCATGATGCAATTGCAGATTCTGGGCCTGGGCTTTTCTGGGAAGTCCTAGGTAACTTTTGCAGAGATGCAGCTATGTTCCAGGAATCTTCTGTAATAAAATGCTGAGACAGGTTTCCATTTATTAGATTCTAGTCCCTTTACGCAAAAGACAAAGTTGAAAGTGAAAGTCAAAAGTCCTTAAAATACACGAAAGAAAGATGATTTACCATGCTAATAAATTGGGTGGTGGGCTACCCAGATGGCCTCCTCCCAGGGCAATCTGGAAGTTTGCCTTTTGCAACATTCCACAACTTTACCCTAGAGACGGGAATAGACAAAGTTCAATCACATTATCACTTTCCACTCTCTCCCCAAAAAGGTACTTTGGGAAAAGGAGGTTAACATTTTTTTAAGCCAATGTTTGTTCTATTAATGTTTTTAATCATCTTTAATCCCACAAGTAATGTAGCTTGTGTTTTCCTTATTATGAAACTAAAATATTATAGAGAAGCAAAAAGTCACTTTGAATACTACCTTGATCCTCAGAAGTAACTACTATTAACAGATTGTTCCTATGCATTTATGTAATTACATATATGCCCATACCTTGGAAAATATTCAGACTTTTTTTTTCTTTTCACATAAATGGAATCATAGTGAAAGTCTTCCAGGACTGCACAGGATGCTTACTGCAAACAATGTAAACTAAAAGCTATGTATATGGCCACCAGTAGAGGAATGGTTGAATGCATTGTGGTGTATTCAAATTATGTGATTCTCTGCAGCTGTGAACTGAATGATGCCCACCCACATTGAGGAGAGCCATCTACTTTACTCAGTCTACCAATCCGAATGCTAATCTCTTTTGCAAACACTCTCACATCATATGCAGAAATAATGTTCAACAAGATATCTGGGCATCCCACAGCCCAATCAAGTTAATACACAAAATTAACCATCACACTGAGGTTTTTTGTTTTGTTTTGTTTTTTAACTTTTTGTGGACTTGATTTTTCTGTTCCCTCAGTCACGTCTCAGGACTTGGGGATGTGTGGACAGTTACATATATCAAATTGAGGCAGCTGGGGGAGGAAACAGGGACAGGCTCCAAACTTTCCAAGAGAAGTGCAATGGTGGGACACAGAGCAAGAGAGAAGATGCAGTTTGGCAAGCCAAGTATGATGACATCCAAGGGGATAAAGCAATCTTGTCATGGTTCAGGCAAATTGGTAGCAATTAGAACAAGGGAAGGTAAATTCCAGGAGGTGAATGCAGCACAGAGGTGGAGAATTCAGTCTACTTCAACATGCTCAGCAATGGCAAGCCCTGCTAATGGTAGCTGGGTTCTGGGGACTAGGCTGGAATTAAAGGTCAGTATTTCCAGTCCTTAGAGGGAGGCTACAAAGAACAAGGTAAGATCACCATCCATAGTTTTATTCCTTCCTTTCTTCATTCATTCATTAAATATCCTCCCTTTTATCATCAAACATTTCCTATGTGTTAAGTACTGTTCTTAACTGAAAATGCGGATTCTAATAAGAAAAACACAATTCCTGCCGTCCTATAAACACATAAATAATATATTTGCAGAGGGTGACCGATAAGAAATTAGAAAGGATCAAGTGCAGACTACGTGAGATAGGGGTCAGGGTAGGCCTTTCTGAGAAAGAGACATTGCTGCAACGACCTGAATAAAGAGAGGGCTAGAGCCAGATAAACAAATATAAGTGAAGATAGTTCCAGGAAGAAGAAACAGAGAATGTTTAAAAATGAAAATATTCCAATGGAATTGGATTGATATAATCCATCTTGCTTCATTCATTCATTCATCTGCCAAATATTTTTTTAGGGCCCATTGTGCAAACCCCCATGCTGCAACTAGGGGATATAATGATTAACAAAGTAGACAGGATTCCTGCCTTCATAGAGCTTATATTCTATTAGGGAGATAAATAAAGAACAGACATAATGAATGTATTAGGCCATTCTTGCATTGCTATAAAGAAATACCTGAAAGTGGGTATTTTTATTTTGTCAAAAAGGAGGTTTAATTGACTCACAGCTCTGTAGGCTTTGTAGGAGGCATGGTTTCAGCATCTTCACTATTACAAAAAGAACACCAAGGGGATGATCTAAAGCATTCATGAGACATCCACCCCGATGATTCAATTACCTCCCAACAAACCCCAATTCCGACATTGGGGATTTCAATTCAACATACTTAGGTGGGGATGCATATCCAGGTGATATCAATGAACATCAAGTGCAAAGGGCAAAGACATGAAGTTAAGTGTTTAAAGAACTGAAAGACGTCCATTGTAGTTGGGGTCTAGTGGGGTGGGTCTGGGAGAATGACACTAGAGATCAGAGAAGTTGATAGTAGTATGGTCTTGCAGAATATTATAAATCGGAAAAAAGTTTACATAAATTAAAAACATAATGGAAAGACATTTGTGGAAGGCTTCATGCAGAAGATGGGGGCAAGGGATGACATGATCTACTTAATATTTTAAGAAACACATTTTTTAAGTACAAGAATGAACTGGAGGCAAGCAATATGGTCATAGAGATATGAGTTAGGATGCTATTGGAACGGTCTTGGCAGGAGATGTTGGTACCTGGACCACGGAAATAGCAATGGAAACAAAAAGATGGCATATTTAAGAGATACCTCAGATATGGAATCCAAGGCTTCGTTGATGGATTGGAGTTAAGAGATGAAGGCAAGAGAGGAAGACAGGTTGATGCCCAGGTAGACGCTGGTCAGATGAATTGGGCGGATGATTGTTCCATATCCCATGGAGACTCAATTGACTTGCACATACCTCGTCTTCTCTTCTTCTGAATTACACTTCTCACTTTTAGTTAGTGCCTTTTGCAATGGCTAACAAACTGTTCAATAGCATACTACAGTCTCTCCACATGTTTTTAAATTAATTTTATCCTTTATTAAGAAGTAATACATTTACACAATTCAAAAAATAAAATGACACAAGCCTCATTGAATAAGGTGTATGACACAAGCCTCATTGAATAAGCCTCATTGAATAAGCCTCATTGAATAAGAAGTCTAACTGCTACTTCTGTCCCCGTCTGCTCTGCTACCCATCTAGCTCACCATTTTTAGATAATTACCTGTATCAGTTTTGGATGTGCAACAAATGTAGTGGCTTAAAACAACTGTTTATTTAGCTTGTGATCCTATGGTAAGCTGAACAGTTCTGGTCTGGGTGCTGCTGGCCAAACTGCTGAGTAGGCTCATGTGTCTGGGGTCAGTTGGCCATTTGGCTGGAGGCTGAATGTGTTAAATTGACATGGTGGTTATACTGCATTGACTTAGCTTAAATTCAAGTGTATTTCCTAGAATTCCCTTCCCTGTGTAATTCTGGATTAGGGCAGACAACACAAGCTATTTGCATGATACCTGGAAGGTAGAAGTAAAGCAGCAGTCTTTATACTTGCAATGTTGGTGCAGGGCCCAAGCACTGTTGCAACTCACGCATGCCATTGATCTGCTAGCTTACCCTTTGGCATGGGACAGCAGCAAGACACACAATTCCTCCAGCTCCCATGAATCTCCTCCTCTAGCTTCCCTAAATCCTGGGCCAGGCACATGTGCAGCTCCATAGCAAAGGAGTTAGATGCAATAGAAGACAGACATGGGTTCCAGTGTGTCCTCATTCTCTCTTGTTTTGTGCCCAGGTTTTCTTTTTGACTACCTGTCTTGCTTCAGTGACTTCAGAAATAGTATCAGATGCAAAATCAACAGCTTTCCCCAGATCTCCATTGTGGTTTCTGGTCAATAACTTTCAACTGTGCAAGGTCTAAGTCTTATGGTAAATCCCTTATTACATATCACTCTGCAGTTAATAGACTGCTAGATAGGTTACAGGAGGTAAGAAGTGGGTAGGCAGCTGGTTCTTGTGTCTCTCATTATCCACCAGGCCAGTCTGGGCATCTTCAGATGGCAGGCAGAGGGTTCCAAGAACAATAAGAGAAGGCAATTCCCAAATTCTGCTTGCATCACATTGGCCAAAGCAAATCCCACGGCCAATCTCAGAGACAGTGTGGCACAGTATTACCCAAAGAGAGTAGATAAAAAGAGGTGTGAACCTATAAGGCTATTATTGCAAAAAATATGTAACAGGAATGACACAGTATAGATTACTGCCTAGGCATTAGCTTACCACACCCAACTAGCCAAGCCAGTGACCAGAGATAGGAACTTAGAGGTATCTTCTTCACCAAGTAGACTAGGTGTATTAGTCCCTTCTCACACTGCTATAAAGAACTACCTGAGATTGGGTATTTATGAAGAATATAGGTTTAATTGACTCAAGTTCTCTAGGCCATAGAGTGAGCATGGCTGGGAGGCCTCAGGAAACTTATAATCATGACAGAGGGGGAAGCAAGCCTGTCTTTACCATGGCAGAGCAAGAGAGACAGAGAGAGAAGAAGGAAGTGCCGTACAGTTTTAAACCATCAGAACTCATAACTCACTCACTATCACGAGAACAGCAAGGGGGAAATCTGTCCCCATGATCCAATCACCTCCCACAAGGCCTGCCCCCGACACATGGGGATTACAATTTGACATGATATTTGGATGGGGACACAGAGCCAAACCACATCACTGGGCTCCCCACTTTTCCTGCTGTTTCCTTTAAACAAATCATTCAGGCATTTGCCCACAAACTTAAAGTGACTCATGCCCTATTCCCTTATATATATACTGCTAGTTGTCATGCTCTCTTTCTCTGTCTGATTCTTCATTCCTGTTTCACGTGACCTGGGGACAGAGGACTGACCACCCAACTCATTGTGCCCTCCTTGCCCGCAACTTTTTTCCCATTTCCTATGGCGGTGGTATATTAAATTTTTGCCTTCCATCTGAAGAACCAGGAACTACCCCAGGCCAAATTTTCCCCAGAGGTGATAGGGAGAACACAAGTTTCTGCTCCCAGTGGCAAAGCAGTAGTCAGGCAGGTGAAAACTGGAGATGGGTTAGACAAGAGCCTCAAGGGCATCTACCTGCATAAACAAATTTCTCATGTGAGGGATCCCCTAGTCACAGGTTGAGCAACTAGACATCTTCCAGGGATGCCACAAGTTTACTGTGAGAGGCACACTATACACACCTATGTCCAACTCTCCTTCATTTTCTGCTAGGAAAATGAAATGAAAATCCTAATTTAGCTGGAGGTTCTCAAAATAAAATGCCACACGACTTTTGTTGGTTTCTTCTGTATCTCTTCAGCACTTCCTCATGGGAATAAACACAGCTAATCATGAACATATATTTTACTTTCCTCCTTTTTTACACTATATATTGCTCATAACTTTTTGCTTAACAACATACCTTTGCAATATATGGTTTTCTCATTCCTTTATACAGCTGGATAGTTTTTGTATGTGAATGTGCTGTAGTTTACTTAATCAGTACCCCACCTATGAATAATTGTGTTGTTGTCAATCTTTTGCTAGTTCAACAGTGCTATAAAGAATTATCTTGCACTTGTGTCATTTTTATTTATACTGTTGCTCTTTTAAGTTAGCATATTTTCTAGTTTCCTCCAGTAATTATTTACGGAGATGAGATTTTTCCCTTTCTCTATATTTGTTATATTGGTGTTATACAGTCTGAGTATCCAACTTATCACCTGATGATAGACTCTGGAAAGCGCACCTATTCACTATCTTCAGGAGAGTCATTCTTAAACATTCACCTCAGTGGCCAAATAAAAATTCAGATTCCCAAGTCCCATTCTCTAGATCCTTTGAGAAGTAGCTTCAGAGTGGAGCTTCGAATCTGCATGTTAAACAAGCACCTCAAGATCATTAGGAATCATTGATCTGCCACATACATAGAAGTAGGCTTTCAAATATTGCTCATCTGGACCTGTAGAATAGCTAGCATACCAACAGGAAGATATATTCTCTAGAAAAACAACCCAAAATGTAAAGCAAACTTTACATGTAGGTTCATTTATTCTGTCTGTCCTGATAATGGTGATAACGAAACTGCCTCTACAAACCTTATAAAATTAATCACGGAAGAAGGGAGAGGGAGAAATAAAAATACACCAAGCTTGCAGCATATCTGGCATTTACAGTTAAGTCAGCTCACTCTCTAACCTGCTTCCTCATAGTTGTTTGGTGTCTATTGTCCTGGAATTATATCACATTTCAAAATTATATTAATAGTCCCCCTTAACTCCTCATGGATAACAAAACAGTGTGATAGGTTAAGTTTTCCCTTTGAGATATTCCTTCAGGTCCTGCATACCAATGAAACTACCAGCTCAGTTGGTCTGAAGAACCTCACTGACACCAGGTGGTCTGAAGGACCCCACAAGAAACTGACTCACTGAAGAATGCAGTTTCCATATCCTGATGATTTTATTCCTCTTACCCCTACCAATCAATCACCCCAACTCTCTAGCCCCTTGCTCTCCATGATCCCTTTATTAACCCCAGCACAGAAGTCCTTGGGGAGATGGATTTGAGAATCTCGTTACTCAGTACCCTGCAATCAAACTCTTTCTCTGCTGCAAATTCTGCTGCCTCAGTGTAATGGGTCTGTGACTACACAATGGGCATATAAACCTGTTGGTCTTACAACAATAATGATCTCCCTCACTGTATACCATGAGGAGAGAATTGTTATGCTGATGGGATAGGGTGTAAAATCAGAAGGTGGTTGTGAAAGATTGTTCAATTTGTAAAGAAGCCCAACCTATGTATAATAGGCTCTAAGATACTAAGAGGAAGCTTGAGTTCAATAAAGTCTCTTGAGACTCAAGGATTACTGAACTCTTTCTCTGAAAGTTTCCCAACATACTCCAGGAAAACAATAAAGAGTAGGTCACAGTAGTCGTGAAAAGAACCTGAGAACAAGGACTAAGCAGAAAGCCCAAAACTAAGTACAAAGTACACAGTGGGAAATAAGATTCAGGAATGAGGAAATGGCTCTGTTATTCAATTGAGGGCTTTAAGATGGTGTTAGACAGGTTTCCTCTGACTCAAAGTCACATTACCTGGGCCTCTGTTTCATACTTACTCCATTACCCATTATAAAATATTTATTAGTGAGGCTCCTAACTTATGTGCTCTTAAACAGCAATGGTTTTCTTCCCAAACACTTATCTCACATGTTTTTGGGGTGTTTAATTGATTATCACCTGTTTCTCTCTAGCAGGCTGGAAGCTCCATGAAAACAGGAGTGTATCTAAATTTTGCTCCTATTGCTTATCTGGCCAGCTCACTGATGTCATGACAAACCAGAGGCCATATCTAGCTATAAGCATATCCAATGGTGCCTGGCTCCATAAGCATATGAGTAGTAGAAGAAAAGCCAGGTTTGAACTGTGTAGAACTAGAACTAGTCTGTTGAAACTTTTCTGATAATCATACACATAAGACTGTGAAAGCAGAGGATACAGTTCTCATAGATGCCTATGTACAACAAACTTGAAAATGCAGTCTATATAATTGTGAATGCCAGGTGCATTTATTATTTTTCTGTCTTTAATAGGATAAAAAATGAAATAAAATTTATCATTATACCCATGTTTATAGGGTGTAAACCTATACTGACACTATTTTAAAAAGTTTGAGCAACTAAAAGACAATATTTCTTCTATTCTCTTTACAGAAGATGATATTATTAAACCACGGTCATGAAACCACCTTTGCAAAAGTATGACTGATACATTGAAAGAGATCTAACTTAACTGACTCCATTTTGCTTCTAACCACCAACCTGTCTTTGTTCATTCCTGGGCATAGGCTGAACTAACTTTTGGAGAAACTTAGTTTTATAGTTTATAGTTTAAACAAAGATGGTAACAGCCCTTTCTCAAAGCAGACCTCCTTCTTGCCTGGGGACTAGATTGCCTTTTTAGGACTAACATTAATGACAAGATTAGAAATAATGGTTTAGGAGTCATGCAGCTGGAGGCTGCAAGATTCTGACCCTCCCTAAACTGCTCCTAAGATCAGTGCTTGAGATACTTTGCAGACTCTGCATGTGATGGAGCAGCTGGCACCACCCAGATTAATAAACTGACTCATCTGATCTTGTGGCCCCCTCCCCAGGAACTGACTCAGCACAAGAAGATAACTTCAACTCCCTATGATTTCACCCCTGACCAATCAGCACTCCTGGCTCACTGGCTTCCCCCTACCCCCAAGTTATCCTTAAAAACTCTGCTCTCCAATGGTTGAGGAGACTGATTTGAGTAATAATAAAATTCCAGTCTCCCACACAGCCAGATCTGCATGAATTACTCTTTCTCTTGCAATTCCCTTGTCTTGATGAATGGGCTCTGTCTAGGCAGCAGGCAAGGTGAAACCCTCAGGTGCTTACAGTCATATGAAGAAGTAATCAAGGAATATGTTATCAAAAATGTAGTTAGAAAAATTATAATAGGGAGGCTGAGGTGGAAGGATCATTTGGGCCTGAGAGGTCAAAGCTGCAATAGGCTAGGATCATGTAACTAGCCATAGAGCAAGACCCTGTGTCTAAAAAAAAAAAAAAAGAAAGAAAGAAAGAAAAAAGGAGAAAAGCTATATCAATGTGCAGCCAATTAAAATTTTTATTTTGTGATATTTATGGTCTTTATCAGCTTTTTAAAATCTGTAATTTGTTGTGATTTTTTTCTATAATCACAATTTTTATTTTTTTCTTAGTTTCCCCAGAAACCAAGATATGCCTGTGGGCATGCCCCATGACCTTTCCACACATGCTTAGGTAGTGGACAGTTGTACAATTACTTTAAGTTGCAAATAGTCTCAGTTCAGAAAGTTTAATGTCAATCCAAGATATCATTTAAAAATCCCAAGATGACTTAGAGTTAATTCTTCTTTTCTCCTTAGTTTGAGTATATTTCAGGTTGCAGAACTGCAGAGGAAAAGGGGAATCTTTGTTGATTTCTGCTATATATTTTCTACCTTATGCTTCTCTTCTCTACTCCCTCCCTAGGTAGCCAAAAGTTTCTGACCTCTCCAAGGTTAGAAGGGAATAGTAAAGGAAGGTCTTAATGGAATCTCAGAGCTTGCCTGTTCTCTGGACCTGGCCCATTATATCTCCTCAGTGGTGTTTTGATGGGAGTGTCTGACGGTTCTGCACGGAGTCCCTCCCAACTTCAGGTCCCTTGATTCAGGCAGATGTGGATACATTTCTCTTTAATGGTTGCTCTTGATTCCTCCCTTATCCAAGGTGTTCACCTACAGATTCTTGCTGCTGGGATCCCTTTGCACTCCCAAAATCAAAAATGATCCATCTCTGACTCTGTCTCCTGGTAGCACATGTATGGTCCTTAGGAAGTCATTTTGTATTCCTTGCTCCAACATGCCTTGGGAACACAGTCCAACCCCAGTAGAGAAATTTTCTTCTGATAACAGCACCAAAACATTGGGCAGCCCTCCTCTTTTTTTGTAGATTCCCCAGACAGCGGTCAGACCCTGTACCCAACCACATAGTGGCTTCCTCAAAATCTCCTCTCACTACACAAGAAGTGAAGAAATAGAAAATCACCTCGCACCTCTCCCTTTTTATGGTCTTACCTGCCTGAGGGGGTCAAACATTTATCAAGCAGTTCCTCAGGCTCATTTCCTTTATAAATATGCAACTGGCAATCAGGGACTCCTTTTTTGAATTTTTCATCAATTGTATTTTGGAGCCTGCTTATAACTTCAATGTTAACACCCCATTATAGTCTTAATTGCCTTTGTTTCATTTCATGGTAAGCAGCTGTTTTCTTCTTTGGACTGCTAAATTCACTATCTGTAAAGAAAGACAGTGTTTATAAAATGCTAGATATCACCAGTTCAAATTAGCTCACTCTTTCTCTTATATTTCCTCATTTTTAACTCCTCTGGAAGGAATAAAATTGCACTGAAACACCTTTGGTCAATGCGTGGGCCTATATAAACACAAAATTAATTAATTATTTTAATTAACTAGTTAATTCCTTTAACATTGAAGAGGTATTGAGCATTTCTTTTGTGCAAGTCATTCTGCTAGGTACCAAAAAATCAAGCCACAGCAGAGGTTGTGTGAAGTAAAGATATGTGTATTATTCAGTATTGATTTCCTATCCCTTCTTTTTTGCCTAAACTCTTCTCAAAACCCAAAGAAGCTAAAAACCATACTGGAAGGAGGATTCTGCTAATGATACCTCAATGCCTTCCCTCAATGTAATACTAAACTACTTCACCTAAATAGATTGGAACTAAGAGGCTGTCCTTATGTTCTCCAAAGAGTGTCAGCCCTCTTAGCAGTATTTGTTTATTAACTCACAGGCACTAGACTCCAATGTGGTAGTTCCTCTGCCCAAGAGTGAACTATGAATTCCGCCAATGTAAATTTCCATCTCTCCCTGGCACCTGAATCTTCTCCTCAACTTCTGCCTTGATTCTTATTTTGAAATTAGTTATTTTCATTTAAATTAGGCCTTTCAAACCGCATTATTTGATGGAATTCTTTACAGCTCCTCTTGCTAATGCAAGTTGGTGACTAATTCCTAAGTCCTAGAAAAATGACTTTTTCTTTTTATTTTTTTCTATCTTTAGGGGTTCTGTTTGGCAAGGATCCTTCAAGAGCCCTGTTAAGAAGACAGAATACTTTTCTCAAGTGTTAACTTCCTCAATCAAGACAGGCTCTATTGAGAGTTGGATCTCTGTCTTGCCAATAATCTATGCTTTAGATGGGGGGTTGGGAGGAGAGTAAATGACTTTCCTGGAACCCAGGAGAATGAGTGACCTTAGATGACTCCTCCCAGAGACTTCTGAGAAGAAGCTGCAGCTGCCATTTTAGTTTTCTTACAGACAGTATTCTGTGTCTTTTTTTTTTTTAATGGCTTCAAGGAGTAAAATCAAATATATCTTCTTTATGACCATGTCAGGTTCTACTTCTGCTAAGTACTAAAGGTTTTCTTAGGTCTTAAAACAAGTGTCAGGGGTGTAAATTCTATAAAAAAGAAAGAACTGGATGTTCAAAAAACAGACCACATGGTGGCCACTTGAAAGTACAAGTTTATAGCAAATGGCTGAAACTTTCTAGTAATGCTGAAATGATTTTGTTTAAGTGTAATGTTTCCAAATATTTTTCAGGATTCATTTGGGAATGATTAAGATAATGTTACATCTTTTCAGTGTTATGAAAAAGATGGCTTTCAATCGGAGAGAGATTTCAGCAGGTCACTAAGGAAATAAAGCCAACCTAGTCATCTTCTCCCCCTGGTATGTGGAGGGAATGAGCTTTTGTTATTAGGGCACCTCAGGACATGCTAGTTGTCTGCTGAGTATCCAAAAGAATGAAGAACATGCACCCTCAGGAGCTCCCTGAGGAGTTTAGAACTGACTTTTAGTTAGAGTAGGGTATTGCTATCATGCCCATGACAACCTTGGAACCTCAGAAGGCATGCCACCAATTTGCTCTGCAGTCCCAGCAAGGATATGCTTCACTGCATTATACAAATATACAAATAAAATGAAAAGGACTGGTCAGAAGCATCTGGGAATGGGTCAAGAACAGAGTCTGTAAGGCATAGTTAGCCAACAGCTGAATGGGTGTTGTGAGGACAGGGTGTCTAGTGGTGGGGAAGCCCCTGCATGCATTTGGACAAGCCCTTGCTGACAAGGAGGTCTGCTGGATGTTTTATGTTCTGAATACATTCCCATGAAGGTTAGCCTAAAGCCACTGATGCATAATGGGGAGAGACACAGCTTAAACAAGGTAAGAGAGAAAAAAGCAAAGTTGATGCAGATAAAATATGATTTACAAGTCTCTGGGTTGGTGCCCTAATTGGTTCAAGAAAGGAGGGAGCAGAGTTAGTGAAAGTCCAGGCCAGAAAGCATTTACAGACTGGTCTTATTGACAATAATGAAATTCCAAATTAATATGGCTATATAAATCCTAAGGACATGCTATTTCATGGATTTATATAAGGTGGGGGGTGTTGGGGGAGAGAGAGGTTATGTTTAGTAATGAAGCATGTAGAAAAATGAATGAGATTATAGGTTTCTGGAGGCCAAGAACTCTAAAGTCAAAATGCCTGGGTTCAAATCCTGGCTCTGCCTTTTTTCAGATATAAAACCTTGAGCGAGTCACTTAACATCTCTATGCCTCAGTTTCCTCATAAGATTGTTGTATTAATCTTTATAAACCACTTACAGTGTCCCTAACACATAAGTGCTCAATTAATATTACTTATTATTCTTCTAATCTTATCATTATCATCATTATTTTAAACATACATCTGTAAAACACATTGTATTAGTCAGGGTTTTTCAGAGAACCAGACTAATGGAGTTCATATGCATAAAATATACTGTTGGGAGCAGGCCCCCCAAAATCTGGCCATAAACTGGCCCCGAAACTGGCCATAAACAAAATCTCTGCAGCACTGTAACATGTTCATAATGGCCCTAATGCCCATGCTGGAAGGTTGTAGGTTTATGGGAATGAGGGCAAGGAACACCTGGCCTGCCCAGGGCAGAAAACCACTTAAAGGCATTCTTAAACCACAAACAATAGCATAAATGATCTGTGCCTTAAGGACATGCTCCTGCTGCAGTTAACTAGCCCAACCTATTCCTTTAATTCAGCCCATCCCTTCATTTCCCAAAAGGGATACTTTTAGTTAATTTAATGTTTATAGAAACAATGCTAATGACTGGTTTGCTGTTAATAAATACGTGGGTAAATCTCTGTTCAGGGCTCTCTGCTCTGAAGACTGTGAGACCCCTGATTTCCCCCTTCACACCTCTATATTTCTGTGTGTGTGTATTTAATTCCTCTTGCGCTGCTGGGTTAGGGTCTCCCCAGCCGAGCTGGTCTTGGCAAGTGGCATCCATCATGGGGGCTCAAATCCAGGTCGAAGGGTCACCAGAGTGATGGCTGGAACAAAAAACTAACTGGAGGACACCCAAGTACTCTTAAAGCAATCCCCATGGTGAGTAAGAAGAGGAGCTCAGAAGCATCAGGATAACAATGGGACAGGTGTGGGGTCTGGTTCATTTCACCTTGGAACTTTTTCACACTGATAATGAGGAGGAACGAGAATATAACGAAGTAACAGAAGAGGTTACAAAGCATGTTTATTTACCAGCTAAAGCTAAAGCAGCAAAGGAAGGAGAGGTTCATCCCAACCCTTCTACACCCCCTTCTTATTATTTTGAAGAAAAAGACCCTCCAGATTTTTCTTTACCAGAGGACACTGGGAGAAAAGTAGTTGCCCCAGTGACTGTTCAAGCAGCACCTCGAATGACCACTCTTAGTTCTATTCAGGCAGGAATTCAGCAAGCTAGACAAGAGGGTGATTTAGAGGCTTGGCAGTTCCCTGTTAGAATACATCCCCCAGATCAACAGGGAAATATTATAGCTACATTTGATCCTTTTCCTTTTAAATTCCTCAAAGAATTTCAACAAGCTATAAATCAGTATGGACCAGGTTCTCCTTTTATAATGGGACTGTTAAAGAATTTTGCTGTTTCCAGTAGGATGGTTCCTACTGACTGGGACACTCTTACTCGAGCTTGTCTAACTCCTGCTTAGTTCTTACAATTTAAAACCTGGTGGGCAGATGAAGCTTCCATTCAGGCTGCTCCCAATACCCAGGCCCAAACTCAAATTAATATAACTGCAGACCAACTTTTGGGGGTTGGCAGCTGGGCTGGTTTAGATGCACAACTGGTCATGCAGGATGATGCCATAGAATAGCTTAGAGGAGTGTGCATTAGAGCTTGGGAAAAAAATCACTTCAAGTGGGAAACAATACCCTTCCTTTAGTGCTATAAAACAGGGACCAAGAGAACCATACATTGATTTAGTAGCTCAGTTATGGGAGTCTCTTAAAAAGATGATTGCAGATTCAGCTGCTCAGGATATAGTGTTGCAGTTATTAGCTTTTGACAATGCTAATCCCGATTGCCAGGCTGCTCTGTGACCTATCAGAGGGAAAGCACATTTACTTGATTATATCAAGGCCTATGATGGTATCGGAGGTAATCTGCATAAAGCTACTCTGCTAGCACAGGCAATGGCAGGACTGAGAGTGGACAAAGGAAATACTCCATTTCCTGGAGCTTGTTTTAACTGTGGGAAGCAGGGTCACACTAAAAAAGAATGTAGAAAAAAATCAGCCAGTCAGGCCGCCAGATGGGGGAAAAAAGAAAACTGCTGATCCTGAAAGATGTCCAAAATGTAAAAAAGGAAAACATTGGGCTAATCAGTGTCACTCTAAGTTTGATAAAGAAGGGAACCCAATTTCAGGAAATGCCATGAGGGGCCCATCCTGGGCCCTGTTCTAAACTGCGGCATTTCCAGCTCAGGCCATTCCCTCACCCCCGTACAATGTCTGTCCCCCACCACAGCCGGTGGTGCCGCAGTAGATTTATGCTGCACAAAAGCTGTAAGCCTTCTGCCTGGGGAACCACGCAAAAGGTCCCAACAGGAGTCTGTGGACCCTTGCCAGCAGGGACAATAGGATTACTTTTAGGAAGGTCTAGTTTAAGTTTAAAAGGTGTACAAATACATACAGGAGTCATTGATTCAGATTACAATGGGGAAATTCAAATTGTTCTATCTACTTCTGTTCCCTGGAAAGCAGAGCCAAGAGAGTGCATAGCACAGCTCCTGATTGTGCCGTAAGTAGGAATGGGAAAAAGTGAAATTAAACCAACAGGAGGATTTGGAAGCACAAATAAACAAGGCAAAGCAGCTTATTGGGTAAATCAAATTACTGATAAACGTCCTACCTGTGAAATAACTATTCAAGGAAAGAAATTTATAGGTTTGATAGATACAGGAGTGGACATTTCAATCATTTCCCTACAGCACATGCCATCCATGTGGCCAGTTCAACCCACTCAATTTAACATAGTTGGAGCTGGTAAAGCCCCTGAAGTGTATCAAAGTAGTTATATTTTGCATTGTGAAGGGCTCAATGGACAACCTGGGACTATTCAACCAATTATAATTTCTGTACCTATAAATTTATGGGGAAGAGATTTATTACAACAATGGGGAGCACAAGTTCTAATTCCAGAACAATTGTATAACCCTCAAAGTCAACATATGATGCATGAAATAGGGTACGTCCCTGGTATGGGACTAGAAAAAAATTTGCAAGGTTTGAAAAAACCGCTTCAAGTGGAAAGACAAAGTTCCCGCCAAAGATTAGGAAACAATTTTTGATGGTGGCCATTGTTAAGCCTCCAGAACCTATGCCTTTAAAATGGTTAACAGATAAGCCAATTTGGATGGAACAATGTCCGTTAAGTAAAGAGAAACTGGAGGCTTTAGAGAAATTAGTTACTGAACAATTAGAAAATGGGCACATAGCTCCAAAATTTTCTCCTTGGAATTCTCCAGTTTTCATAATTAAGAAAAAATCAGGTAAATGGAGAATGTTAACTGACTTAAGAGCCATCAATTCAGTTATACAACCTATGGGAGCATTACAGCCAGGATTGCCTTCTCCTGCTATAATTCCAAAAAATTGGCCTTTAATAGTCGTAGATTTTAAAGACTGTTTCTTTACTATCCCTTTAGCTGAGCAAGACTGTGAATGGTTTGCATTTACAATTCCTGCAGTAAACAACCTGCAGCCTGCTAAGCGTTATCATTGGGAAGTGTTGCCATAGGGCATGTTAAACAGTCCCACAATTTGCCAGATGTATGTGGGGCAAGCAATTGAACCTACTCGTAAAAAATTTTCACAGTGTTACATATTCACTATATGGATGATATACTTTGTGCTGCCCCCACTTGAGAAATATTACTCCAGTGTTATGATCACTTGCAAAATTCGATTTATCATGCTGATTTAATTATAGCTTCTGACAAAACTCAGACTATTACTCCTTACTCCTACTTGGGAGTAGTAGTCTTAGTAAATGACACTACCATTGTGCCACAGAAAGTAACCATACGTAAGGATCAACCAAAAACGTTAAATGACTTTCAGAAGTTACTAGGGTACATTAATTGGATATGACCTGCTCTAGACATTCCTACCTATGCCATGAGTAATCTGTTTTCTATCCTTAGAGGAAATCCTAGTCTTACTAGCCCTCGGCAATTAACAAATGAGGCTGAGGCAGAGTTACAACTAATTGAAAAGCAAGTCCATAAAGCTCAAATAAATAGAATAGATCCAGAGAAGACTCTAGATTTGCTAATTTTTTCATCTCAGCATTCACCTACTGGTGTTATTGTCCAAGAACAGGACTTAGTAGAGTGGCTTTTTCTTCCACACACTAATTTGTGGACTCTAACTCCTTATTTAGATCAAATTGCTACTATGATAGGAATTGGGAGAACTCGGATTGCTAAATTACATGGATATGATCCTGGAAAAATTATTGTCCCTCTCATGAAGGCACAAATACAGCAAGCTTTTATAAATAGTCTTACTTGGCAAACCCATTTAGCTGACTTTGTGGGTATTCTCGATAATCATTTTCCTAAAACGAAGCTGTTTCAGTTTTTGAAATTAACTAATTGGATTCTCCCCAAAATAACTGAATTCAAACCAATTGAAGGTGCTGAGAATGTTTTTATAGATGGGTCTAGTAACGGTAAAGCTTCTTATTCTGGCTCGAAAAGTAAAGTTTTCCAGACGCCCTATACTTCAGCTCAAAAAGCGGAACTTGTAGCTGTAATTGAGGTATTGACTGCTTTTGATATGCCTATTAATGTGAATTCTGATTCTTCATATGTGTTTCTTTCCACACAGTTAATTGAAAATGCTCAGTTATGATTTCATACAGATGAACAACTGATGACTTTATTTACCCAATTACAAACAGCAGTTAGGAGTAGAATGCATCATTTTTACATCACTCACATTAGGGCTCATACACCTCTTCCAGGACCTTCGACTAAAGGGAATCAAATGGCTGATCACCTAGTTGCTAATGCAATATCTAATGCTAGACATTTTCACAATTTAACCCATGTTAATGCCTCTGGTCTCAAACACAGATACAACATTAACTGGAAAGAAGCTAAAGCTATTATCCAGCGATATCTAACTTGCCAAATTGGTACATTCCTCATCTTTTACAGGAGGAGTTAATCCTTGAGGATTGGAACCTAACTCTCTTTGGCAAATGGATGTCACACATGTTCCCTCATTTGGGAAACTAGCTTATGTACATGTACGTGTGGACACCTTTTCCCACTTTGTCTGGGCTACATGCCAATCAGGAGAGTCTTCTGCCTGTGTTAAATGTCATCTTTTGCAGTGTTTTGCGGTGATGGGCATTCCAGCTTCTAGTAAAACAGATAATGCCCTAGGCTATACTAGCCAAGCTCTAGCTACATTTATCTCTACATGGAATATTAAACACATTACTGGTATCCCATACAATTCTCAAGGACAAGCCATAGTGGAAAGAATGAATCTCTCCCTAAAACAGCAGTTGCAAAGGCAGAAAGGGGGAGACAGAGAATATGGAACCTCACACATACAACTGAATCTAGCACTATTAACTTTAAATTTTTTGAGCCTGCCCAAAGGTCAGATATTATCAGCAGTTGAACAGCATCTACAGAAACCAGTTGCAAAGACAGAAGCAGAACAACTGATTTGGTGGAGAGATCTGATAACAACAAGTTGGGAAATAGGTAAAATAATAACCTGGGGTAGAGGTTATGCTTGTGTTTCTCCAGGACCGAATCAACAGCCGATTTGGATACCATCAAGACACCTGAACCCTTAACATGAGCCAGATGCCAAGGAAGAGACTCTGGGAGGATCCCGAGGACCCCCCAGTTGCAGCCATGTTGAGACTGACACTGAGGAGGACCCCAACTGTCATGAGCAACACCCATAGAACACAGCCACCCACCTGGGGACAGATCAAGAAGCTGTCTTAGATGGCGGAAGAAAACCTGAGGAAAGCGGGACAACCAGTCACAATGAATAATTTAATGGTAGCTATGATAGCAGTTATCACCACTGCTGTGAGTATTCCTTCAATAAGGGCTGACACAGAGAACAATTATACTTACTGGGTATATTTATCAATCTTGGCTGGCAATAATGCCTGGATGCAATCACTTTATGACACAGTTACACATGCTTTCTGATCTCAGCATTTACTACAATAAATCTGCTCCTATAATTGAGGCATACCACCCTCAAAAACCTATTTGTAAACAGGATTGGACCCAGTTGGAAAAAATAAATGTACTTTTTTAGGAAGATTGCATCGCAGAACAGGCAGAGGTTCTGCACAACGATTCCTATGGAAACATTATTAATTGGTCCCCTAAGGGGATGTTTAGCTTGAATTGCACCTCTCAGTCTGCATGCCATGGCCACACTATGTTCAGCTGGTCTGAACAAAATGGCCAGATGGTAGATACAATAAGAAGTACGGCAAGAGTTCCTATTATCTGGAACCATGGCGGTATAGTGGCACTTCAACCTCAAATGATATGGCCTGCTCTAGGAGCTTAACATAAGGATTGAAAACTGAAAGAACAAATATTTAAAGCATCCCATGCAAATCTGACCTTAATGCCAGGAACTGGAGTGCTTAAAGGAGCTGAAAGTGGATAAAAACACTTGGAAGCTCTGTGATTTCAATGATGGTTGTGCTTTTAATCTGTGTTGTGTGTCTTTGTATAGTCTGCAGATGTGGATCCTGACTCCTGTGAGAAGTAGCTCACCGTGACAAAGCTGCCTTTGTGTTTATTGATTTGCAAATCAGAGAAGGGGGACATGTTGGGAGCAGGCTCCCCAAAATCTGGCCATAAACTGGCCCCAAAACTGGCCATAAACAAAATCTCTGCAGCACTGTAGTAAGTTCATAATGGACCTAATGCCCATGCTGGAAGGTTGTAGGTTTACAGGAATGAGGGCAAGGAACACCTGGCCTGCCCAGGGTGGAAAACCGCTTAAAGGCATTCTTAAGTCACAAACAATAGCATGAGAGATCTGTGCCTTAAGGACATGCTCTTGCTGCAGTTAACTAGCCCAACCTATTCCTTTAATTCAACCCATCCCTTCATTTCCCATAAGAGATACTTTTAGTTAATTTAATATCTATAGAAACAATGCTAATGACTGGTTTGCTGTTAATAAACATGTGGGTAAATCTCTGTTCAGGGCTCTCAGCTCTGAAGGCTGCGAGACCCCTGATTTCCCACTTCACACCTCTATCTTTCTGTGTGTGTGTCTTTAATTCCTCTAGCACCACTGGGTTAGGGTCTCCCCAACCAAGCTGGTCTCAGCAATATACTATATTATACATACTTGGTATGTATATAATAAAAGAAAGAGAAAGTCTTATAATAAGGAATTGATTCACATGATGATGGTTTAGTTCCAATCTGGCTCCAAAGGCCTGAGAACCACAAGAGCCAATGATATAGTTCCCATCAAAATTCTGGCAGGCTAGAGATCCAGGAACAGCTAACGTTTCAGTTCAAGACCAAAGGCAGGGGGGAAAAAACCAGTGTCCCAGTCAAAATCAGTAAGCCAAGAATTTTCTCTTACCTAGGGAAGGGTCAGTCTTTTTGTTCTATTTAGGCATTCAAACTGATTGGATGGGGCCCACCCTAATTAGAGAGGGCAATCTGCTTTACTCAGCCTGCTGATCTAAATTTAATCCTGTCCAAAAACAGCCTCAAAGAAACACTCAGAATAATGCTTGACCAAATACCTGAGTTCCCCATGGCCCAGTCAAGTTGATACATAAAATTGACCATTACAAACTCACTCCATGTCAACTTGGCACCCATATACAACTCCTTAACTCAAATTTAACCTTCCAATAAATATAAAATAACATGGCTATAATTCTGCCTAACTTGATACAACTATCCCACATGCAACTAAAAATACATCAACTCCTTCCCCAGTTGAGGGAGTAAAGTCTTTGAATGATGTTTACCCTTCTTCTTGATATTCCATAACTTAAGTTCCATGATGTAAAGTTAACAACATTTCAGTACTATGATATAAAGTCAGTACATCCTGTATTATATGATAAAAGGATAAAGAGGGAAGAAAACAAAGATATTTGCAGAAATTTGTGATACCCACACACATATTCATAGCAAAATAAGGAGGAAATACTCATGACAATTACAATTCTCATTTCTGTAACTGGTCATGTGGTTACAACTTATATTTATAACTGCCTTCTTGGAAGTTATAAATGGGTAGTGTTTATACCCACCCATTCCTGTGTTCCTTTTACTTTAAGCAGGCATCTTGGCTGCTGGTGGTTTGTGTTACCTGGTGGACTGATCCAAACCTTCATTACTGAGGGGTCTAGGTCATTAGTAATCCTGCTTGGACTGGCTTGTTGTATTTTCTGGTAACTTTAGTCACAAGCCATGGTAATACTAAGAGACATGCTAAGGGATCTCTAGTATTCAGACATGCTCTATCTTACTTCCATTGACAAGTAGTTATCCAATTTCCTCTTGGTAGTCAGGATCAATCATCACAGTCAACACAGTAACTCTCTTCTTTGCCCGCTGATTCAGAGGCATGAGGAGTACAAAGTGGCTGGATGACAGTTCAGCGAAATTATTGCTACATATCTTGGTGGAAGCCTTCCTCCCTTTGGAGCTAAGACTGCTAGGCCAGCAAAGCATAAGGTTGTGGGAACAGGAAAAAAAATGTGTGAATATGTCAATAGGGGTAATAGTGAGTTATGCTACTTCCATTTCCCCATTGATTCCTGGCCTCATGAATCCTGGCTACAGGAGAAACACATCATATATTGCACACTGATTCAGAGCACACCTAACCATCTAGAAAACTTGCCCCGGCCCTGCAAAATACTGCCACCTAGCTGGCACTGTAACTGAGTCTTCAAAAGGTCACTATACCATTCTAACAAGACAGCCGCTTCAGAATGGTGAGGAACATGGCAAGATCAGGGAATTCCATGCATATGGGTTTATTGCCACACATTTTTTTTGTTTAATTTGTTTTTGCTGTGAAGTGAGTTCCTCAATCGGAAGCAATGCTGTGTGAAATACCATAACTGTGGATAAGGCACTCTGTAATTCCACAGATGGTAGTATTGGCAGAGGCATCACATGTAGGGAAGGCAAAAACATGTGTCCAAAATTAGTGTCTATTCCAGTATGAACAAAACTCTGCCCCTTTCATGATGAGAGTGGTCCAAAGTAATCAACTTGCCAGCAGATAGCTGGCTGATCACCCCTTAGGAATGGTACCATATTGAAGATTTATTGTTGGTCTCTGCTGCTGGCTGACTGATATGGTTTGGCTGTGTCCCCACCCAAATTGCATCTTAAATTCCCATGTGTTGTGCGACAGACCCAGTGGGAGGTAACTGAATCCTAGGGGCAGATCTTTCCCATGCTGTTTTCATGATAGTGAATAAGTCTCACGAGATCTGATGGTTTTAAAAAGGGGAGTTTTCCTACACAAGCTCTCTTCTCTTTTCTGTCACCATGTGAGATGTGCCTTTCACCTTCCACCAGGATTGTGAGGCCTCCCCAGCCATGTGGAACTGTAAGTCCAATAAACCTCTTTCTTCTGTCAATTGCCCAGTCTTGGGTATGTCTTTATTAGCAGTGTGAAAATTGACTAATACAGTAGATTGGTACCAGTAGAGTGGGACACTGCTGAAAAGATACCCAAAAATGTGGAAGCAACTTTGGAACTGGGTAACAGGCAGAGGTTGGAACACTTCAGACGGCTCAGAAGAAGACAGGAAAATGTGGGAAAGTTTGGAACTTCCTAGAGACTTGTTGAATGGCTTTGATAAAAATGCTGATAGTGGTATAAACAATATGATCCAGGCTGAGGTGGTCTCAGATGGAGATGAGGAACTTGTTGGGAACTGGAGCAAAGGTGACTCTTGTTATGTTTTAGCAAAGAGACTGGCAGCATTTTGCCCCTGTCCTAGAGAGTTGTAGAACTTTGAACTTGAGAGACATGATTTAGGGTATCTGGCGGAAGAAATTTCTAAGTAGCAAAGCATTAAAGAGGTGACTTAGATGTGGTTAAAGGTATTCAGTTATATAAGGGAGGCAGAGCATAAACGTTTGGAAAATTTGCAGCCTGACAATGTGATAGAAAAGAAAAACCCATTTTCTGAGGGGAATTTGAAGCTGGCTGCAGAAATTTGCATAAGTAACAAGGAGCCTAATGTTAATCCCCAAGACAATGGGGAAAATGTCTCCAAGGCATATCAGAGGTCTTCATGGCAGCCCATCCCATCACAGGCCCGGAGGCCTAGGAGAAAATGGTTTTGTAGGCCAGGCCCAGGAGCCCCATGCTGTGTGCAGCCTAGGGACTTGGTGCCCTGTGTATACCAGCTGCTGCAGTGGTGGCTGAAAGGGGCCAGCATAGAGCTTGGGCCGTGGCTTCGGAGGGTGCAAGCCCCAAGCCTTGGCAATTTCCATGTGTTGTTGAGCCTGAGGGTGCACAGAAGTCAAGAATTGAGGCTTGGGAGCCTCCACCTAGATTTCAGAGGATGTATGGAAATGCCTGGATGTCCAGGCAGAAGTTTGCTTCAGGGGTGGGGCCCTCATGGAGAACCTCTGCTAGGGCAGTGCAGAAGGGAAATGTGGGGTTGGAGCCCATACACAGAGTCCCTACTGGGGCACCATCTAGGGGAGCTGTGAGAAGAGGGCCACCATCCTCCAGACCCCAGAATGGTAGATCCACCAACAGCTTGCACCATGTACCTGGAAAAGCCACAGAGACTCAACACCAGCCCATGAAAGCAGCCAAGAGGGAGCCTGTACCCTGCAAAGCCACAGAAGCAGAGCTTCCCAAGACCATGGGAACCCACCTCTTGCATCAGTGTGACCTAGATGTGAAACATGCAGTCAAAGGAGATCATATTAGAACTTTGAGATTTGACTACCCTTCTGGGTTTCAGACTTGCATGGGGCATATAGCCCCTTTGTTTTGGCCAATTTCTCCCATTTAGAACAGCTGTATTTACTCAATGCCTGTATCGCCATTGCACACCCAATTTTATGGCTTGGTGGGTCAGATAACACCCAGTTCATGATGGGCAGCTCAGTTTGCATGGTACTTGGTGATCCATGGTTAAGCATTCAGCCTCTCCTAGAGTCCAGTAGGAGGTCAAGAGCTGTTTCTCAAAAAGAGAGTAGTTATCTGCAGAGGATGGAAAGGCTTTGTTCCAAAATCCTAAGGAACTATGCTGAAATCCACTTATAGGGGCCGGCAAAAGCTCCAAACAGCATCACTATCTGCCACAGACACTTCAAGGACCATTGGATCTTCTAGGTCATATGGTCTGAGTGGCAGAGTAACTCACACAGCAGCCTTGACCTGTTGCAGAGCCTTCTTCTCTTCAGAATCCCACTCAAGGCTAGCATCTTTTTGGGTCACTTGGTAAATGGACTTGTATTAGTGCATTCTCATGCTGCTATAAAGAACTGCCTGAGACTGGGAAATTTTAAAAGGAAAGAGGTTAAATTGACTCACAGGCCTCAGGAAACTTACAATAATGGCAGAAGGCACCTCTTCACAGGACAGCAAGAGAGAGAATGAGTGCCGAGCAAAGGGGGAAGCCCCTTATAAAACCATCATATCTCGTGAGAACTCACTCATGAGAACAGCTTGGGGGAAACCACCCCCATGATTCAATTATCTCCACCTGATCCGACCCTTGACACATGGGGATTATTACAATTCAAGGTGAGATTTGGGTGAGGACACAGAGCCAAACCATATCAGGCTGAAGTAACTCACTCAAATGAGGAACATTTGCCTCTAAACTTCAAAGATGCTCAGTAGGCATTGTGCCTCTTTTCTGGTTGTAGAAGCCAGATGTAACAACTTATCATTCACATTAGAAGGGATATCTCATCATGCCCCCACACCACTGGACCCTTAGAAATTTCACTGAGGTAGAAGATCCCTAAATTTTCATCTGATTTATTTTCCATCCTCTGACATGCAAATGTATTAATAATAAGTCCAGAGTAGTGGCTAGTTCTTGCTCACTAGGTCCAATCAGCATGTCATTGACCAGTGTAATGTCTTGTGGAAGGTCTGGCATGTAATGGCCCAAAGAATGGCAAGGTCATCAATATCCCTGTGAACTAAATTATGATATAACCTGTAGAGTTGATATTTGTGTAATATATAATAATAACATATTAAGTTGCTATTATGATATAAACTGGGAGAGATACCCCTGAGATAGGACAATGAAGGTATATTACTGGCCTTGCCAGCTAAAGGCAAACTGCTTCTGGTGGTCCTTAATTGACATGTATGGAGAAAAAGGCATTTGCCAGATCAATATCTGCATACCAGGTACCAGGGTATGTATTTATTTGATCAAGCAATAAAACCACATCTGGTATAACAGCTGCAATTGGAATCACCGCCTGGTTAAACATATTTGTCATTCTCCCAAGATTCATCTGCCTGCACGGGCCAAATACGTGAGTTAAATGGGGATATATTGGGAATCACGATTCCTGCATCTTTCAAGTTCTTTTATGGTGGCACTAATCTCTGCAATCTCTCCAGCAATGTGGCGTTACCTGTGGTTTAAAATTTTCCTAGGGAAAGGCAGTTTCAGTGGCTTCCACTTGCCGTTTCTCATCATAATATCCCTCACTCCACAGGTCAGGGAACCAGTGTACAGATTCTGCCAGCTGCTTATTTCGTCTATTCCAATTACACATTTCAGAACTGGGGAAATAACTACAGGATTGTTTCAGATCCACTGGGCCCATTGTGAGACAGACCTAAGCTAAAACTCCATGAAAGCACTTGACCTGTAAGCCCCTACTCTGACTGGTGGACCATAGTGACCTTTTGGGTCTTCTGGAATTCATGTCAGTTCAGAGCCAGTGCCTCAAAATTCCTGAAAGATCTGATTCTTTTCTTTTCCCCAATGCAGAGTTACCCTAATAAAAAGCTATAGGTACTTTTGGAGAAGAGTGGAAGAACATATTGATAGTATAGACTTTTAGCAGTGTGCCAGGGTTCTTCCTCAAGAAACCTGGCCTCCCCTATACTGTAGTGATACTGGGTCTGTAAACTGGATCAAGGTATCAAATTGGTTGTGGGGCTGTGATTCTTTGTTTTTATTATTCAGGTTAGACATTGATTCACTTGACCTAGAATGTTTTTGCTTCTTATCAAATCAGGTGAAAACTTAGTAAGTTTCTTATCCATTTCACTCCCAAGGACACCATGATCAACCAGCCAATGCCACAGGACTGCATGACTCAGACTATTCTGATTGCTGCTTTCACTCATCTGTCCATTACAGTAACCACGTCCACCTTGCCTTTGGTACTTGAGTGCTGCCACTTGGTCCCTGCCATTCCAGGATCCAGTTACTCTCCTTGCATTTAGGTTTACCAATTCAGGGATTGCCATTCCCACTGTAAGGTCTCTGTGATTGCAGAAAAGGGCAATCACAGAGCTCTTGGATGTGGGACTCCTCTGACAAATTTATTTCTTAGGCTTGATGAAAGGTGTGTTCTCTGGACCCTTTCAGGGTGGTTGAGTAAGTCTCCCAATCTCCCTAAGCCCCCGAATCCCTTCCTCTACATTAAGCTAAAGCAAGCCTGGCATTTCTAACTTGCTCAACATGGGTCACCTTTTGGTCTATGTTTTAGATTACCCATCAAACTGTTAGAGTTCTTTCTAACTCCCTGAGCTGCAACAGTAAATGCTAAATTTCTGCTTAGTGAGCCCATATCAATCAGTCTGATTCAACCTTATTTTTCCACCACCATTATCCCACACCTTTAATATCTATAACCCTACATATTCTCAGATATTTGTTTGTATTAATTTAAAAAACTCCAACAGTTATTTTGGAAAGTGCTATGCCTCTTCATGTGTCATGCTCTATACCTCACCTTTAGGGGCCTGCTGGAAATTGAGTCTAGTTATTTGTCTAAAAGCAATGAGGTATTGTGGAAGTGGGTTCTGAGGAGAATAATCATTTCTTGCAAGGTAATTGTCTCAGGGGAGGCCATTCAGTTTCCTCAAGCAATAAAGGGTTAATTCCCTCAGACAGGGGAGGGTAGACCACCCACTAGGGGTGGAGAGGCAAAGAAGGCTTAGAATTTAAGACTTTAGTGTCCCCATTTTCATCAAGGTCATCCCATACATTCCCATTCCAACTTTCAGGACCCTACTTCTTTTCAACCAATGACCTCACTTTAACAGTAGACATCCTTTGAGGCCAGGAGTTCAACTTGCATTGTAATCCAGCCAGTTGCAGGATGAGACTCTGGATTTATAACTCAGCAAACCTGGCTCTGCAGCTGCAGGAGATGAAGGTCTCCTTCAAGGAAGACAGAAACTTTCAGGTCATTTATGCAGCCTTTCAGCTGGGAATTTGAATCCTGAGCTCATCCTTTTCTTTCCCCACTTTGTCCAGCAACATTAGCAGCAACCAATTCACTTCATTTTACTCATTCGTTTGACTAAAATGTTCAAAAGTATTATGTACATAATTACCCAAATCTTTGCTTCTCAAAAGTGGTCGATTAGGAGCATCCAGTGGTCATATTTTCTGTTTATCTATTGCCAGAGCACACCATGATTATCAGTTTTCTCTTTACTACTGGAAATAAAGTCATCAGCATTTTAAATCTAATCAGATTGGACAGCCAATTACAGCAGCTATAAAACCAATTCAGAAAAACCCATTCTTAAAATTCTGTTCCTCTAAAACCACTCTCAGTTCCAAAACCTATATCAGTCAGGGCTCTCCAGAGAAATGGAACCAATAGAATGTATATATAGAGAGAGAAAGAGATTTATTATAATTGGCTCATGCGATTGAGGAGGCAAGCCAGTCCCCAGATCTGCGGGGTGAGCCAACAAGCTGGAGACCCACCAGAGCTGATGATTTAGTTTTAGTCAGAGTCCATAGGCCAGAGAACCAAAAATGCCTATTGCATAGTTCTTGTCTGAAGGCTGGCAGGATCCAGACCCAGGAAGAGCCAAAGTTTCAGTTTGAATATAAAGGCAAGAAAAAACCCAAAGTCCCAGTTAAAAGGCATTCAGCCAGGAATAATTCTCCCACTTAAGAGACAGGCAGACTTTCTGCTCTACTGGGCTTTCAACTGATTGGGTGAGGGCCACCCACATTAGTGAGGGCAATCTGCTTTACTTAATCTACCAATGTAAATGTTAATCTCATCTAAATACAACCTCACAGAAATCCAGTGAATAATGTTTGGCTAAATATCTGGGTACCCTGTGGCCCAGTCAAGATGGTACAAAATTAAGCATCATACACATCAAAATAACCCACCCTATATTAAGTTATTATATACTGAGTAATATACGGGAAATGAGAAGTTGTGACTTATAATAAGCATTTTTCACTCAAGCCAAGAACCACCTCAATATATGCCACGATCAGGGAAACAAGTTCTACTGTCAGATGTGCATGAGTTTCAGTGCTACTTCTGCCACATAGTAAGTCTCAGTTTTGTTTTCTGTAAAACTGGGCTAATGAATTGGTGTTAGCATTGGACAATGCTAAAATCAATTAATGTGAAAAATCTTATCATACTACCAGCACAAAGTAAGCTCATCTACCTTAAAGATCAGACATACCAAGAAGTAAGCCATGAATAAAACTGATAGCACACCTTCTCCCATGGAAGTGTCAGGACCAAATCTACTGTGACTCACACTTCTGTTTACTCGAGACACCATCAGCAGTCCCAAGTCCAAGCCTCTTCACCTGGAATTTTATTCCGACATGGCTCAATAAAGCCCTGAATCTATTCCAATCTCCCACCTCTCCTCAACTTGAAAAACTCATGGACTATAATCAACTAAATCTAAATCCTCAGCTCCTTCTTAGAACCTTTTCTTTCCCTCTTGTTTTAGGTCAAAAGTAACTTTCTCCTGAAGACACAGCTTTCTCCCCAGATTGTTTTCTCTTTCTACATCCCTTATGCCTCAGACCTCAGATTCTCCTGCAATGTGGATATCTTTACTTTTCAACATCCCCTCCTTGCTTGAAAAGAAATTCCCCTAAGCATCTGTCATACAATTGCGTCCCTCACTGCCTCTCCTTTTTGCAACCACTCTGCACCTTCTGTGAATATTTTAGCATCTAGCTCACAGTCTTTCTCTGCACCATTACACTTGTCATCATTTTTGATGCCTTCAAAATCACTGGAGACAGTCACTCACTTTTTCTTATTTCTCCAACTCAAGCAATTTTTTTCTCTAACACTGTTTCATGTCATCCTTTTCACTAGACAATTCAGGTCTCGTAGTCCATGATTACAATCTCCCAAACTTCCTTGCATATATTCTCAATCACCTCACCCTTATTTCCTGCCATTTTACCTACCTGGGAAAAGCTCAAACTGAATTAAAACCAATTCTCTCCCTAACCTGGACCTGTACCTGAGCAGCCAAAACTGGAAGGAGAAAAACACAAAACTCTGCTTACTGGTTTTCCTTCAAACTCATGGCTACCAAGTTCACATCGGTCTTCAGGGTTGCCTGGCAATACTCCTGCATTTCCCTAGTCAATTCACTCTCTCCTTCTCAAGACAGTTATTTCACACTATGTCTTCTCCATCCTTCTTCATCTCCAGCACTCTCCCTATTCCCTACTCCTGGCTAATGGCCTTGGTTCCTGTTGCATAGAGAAAACTGATGCAATCAGAAGAGGATATCAGATTTTCCCATTGTCAAATATACATGCACCCTATATCTGTAACTATTTTCTCTGCAAATTGTGGTGGGTAAGAGCAAGTGCTTTGGAGCCACACTGCCTAGGCTCAAATGCTGCATCTGCCCCTTCTCAGATCTTACAGAAGTGCCTGAAAAGCTCTATGCTCAGCTGTAAAATGGAGAAAATACTTACATCTACCTCAGCAGCTTGGGGTGAAGATTATATGAGTTGATTCATGTAGACAAAGCAGGTGTTCAATAATCTTCACTTCCTTCCTTCCAGTAAACAGACTGTCCTCTCCAAGGCAACTTCTTGTATCAATCTCTTGATCTGTACCCCTCTCACCTCTCAGGGTGCTGCTCTACATCCTCTCCCCCCAGAATCAGCATTTATCCTCCTGGTCACTAAGTCATAACCAACATAAAACATGCTGTATTATCTCCTGAAATTTAAAAATACAGCAAAAAACACGAACAAAATCCCTCCCTTTCATCCTATCTAGTTAAACTCTGTAAAAGAGATATCCATATTTATCATTCCCAGCTCTTTATCTTTCACCAGGTTTTTATTTCTGCCACTGCACCAAAAAGCTTATTGCCAAGGTCTCTGCTATTTTCCATTTGCCAGCTCTGTAGACAATTCTGTCTTCAACCTGACTGACGTTGGAAGCAGCACTTCATGCAGGTAATCTCACCTTCCTTTAGAAAGCTCATTTCCTTTACTTGGTTTCCGGCAGCCACACATTTCTGGTTTGTCTCCTGCCTCACTGGTTGCTCGTCTTCAGTCTCCCTTATGGGTTTCTTTTTTCTTTCTTCCAAGAGCATCTCTGGGTTTGGTCCTTAGGCTTTTTTTCCCTGGGCTCTAAATATCACCCATACTCTGAAGGGTGCTGAGTTGAATCCTTAGCACTGGCCTCTCTTTTAAACTCCAGACATGTGTACCTGCCTACCTGACATCTATGTGGATATCCAACAGGAATCTCACACTTAACATATCTTGTTATTTCCACACCATCTTCCCACTCCAGTCCAGATTCCTGTTATTCATCTCATCCCTACCTCTCCACCTCATTTTAGTCAATATCATCATCCACTCTAGCAAAAAACCTGGAAATCATTTATGATTCCTCTTTTTGTGTCATACCTCACATTAAATCCATTATGTTGGTCCTGCATCCAACATTTATCTGCACACTTTTCACTCCTTTCACCCTTTACGTAGTTCAAGCCACTATCTTCTCTCTCCTGGACTGCTGTCAAATCTCCTCAGTGGTCTCCTGGCTTCCACTCTTGAACCTCTAAATTCTATTCTCTCTGCAGCACCAAGAGTGATCCTGGTAAATATAAAGCAGGCATGTCAAGACTTTGTTTAAAACCTTAAGCATCTTCCTGCCATAAATAATGTCTAAGGTCCTTCCACTGACCTATGAGCTCTGTATGATCAGGCCTGGTCATCACTGTAACCTCACTTCCTCCATGTTCCTCTATGCCCACATTGGTCTGCTTGATGTATCTCCAATACATCACACTCTTTTCTGTTTTGAGACCTGAATCACCCTTCTCTCAGACATTTTCACACCTTACTTGTTAATTTCATTTGGCACGTTATCTAAGATAGAGTCCCTTAGAGTCAGTGACAATGCTATGTAAAAGTAATCTTTCCCTTGCAACACTCTCTATTCCTTTACCCTGATTTGGCACTCTCAGTAGTTATATTTCTTTGATTTTTTTTTTTTTAAGACAGGGATTTTGCTCTTGTTGCCCAAGCTGGAGTGCGATGGCATGATCTCTGCTCACTGCAACCCCCGTTTCCCGGGTTCAAGGGATTCTCTTGCCTCAGCCTCCCGAGTAGCTGGGATTACAGGTGTGCACCACCACGCCCAGCTAATTTGTATTTTTAGTGGAAACGGGGCTTCACCATGTTAGCCAGCCTGGTCTCAAACTCCTGACCTTAGGTGATCCGTCCACCTCAGCCTCCCAAAGTGCTGGGATTACAGGCGTGAGCCACCGCACCCAGCCTATTTTTTTTTATTTATTCACAGGAACGTTTACTGATGGCTCTTATTTTTATTTGTCTTCTGTTTATGTCTGCAAGTCTTAATGGGTGTGGGTGTGTCCATTTATTTATTTGTCAATTATTTATTGAGCATCTACTATTTGTCATATACTATATTATGTCTTGGGCATACACTAATTACATACACAAATTACATACCATCCTCATTCTCATATTTCTTAAAGAAACTGAGGAAGAAACAAACATTCATGAAATAATCACAGAGGTAAATATGTAATCAAAAACAGTGATGAATGCTATGGCAGAAAAGCATAGGGGGAATAAGAAAATACTTAACAGGAATGTGACTTATGTGAGGGGTTGAAAATGTTTTCCAAGTAAATAATGTCCACCAATTTCAATTTCCAATCTATATTTTTCCATCACCATCTTCAATTTTGATCATATAACCACTTGGTCAAAGTCTAGTCACACAGAAGCTTCCTGACCTTTTTTTCTCCATTTCCTGGAAGATTTTGTCATCTGCTTGCAACATAGTGTATGGAAAGAACTACAGATTCTAGGAATCCCAGTTCTTCCACTTCCAGTCCTAGGAATCTCAGTTCTGCCACTTGCAGCACTGAATACATAAACTCTGAGTAAATAATATAAACTCTCAGAGCTTTAATTTTCTTAATTATAAACTGACAAATTAAATATCCATATTCATAAATTTATAAATTTGATTTCTGTTTGAAGTGCTTAGACACCTCATTTGTGAACCTTACATGAGTTAAATGTTTGTACATTCACTACTCAGATATGCCTGAATGTATCTTTCCTTCTCTCTTTTTATTTTTTGAGGTCTCACATTGATATGCCTTGGATTTGTGTCCCGACTTAAACCTCATGTTGAATTGTAATTCCTAGTGTTGGAGGTGGGGCCTGGTGAGAGGTGATTGAATCATGGGGGTGGTTTCTAATGGTTTAGCATCATCTCCTAGTGCTGTCTCGTGATAGAGTTCTCACAAGATCTGTTTGTTTGAAAGTATGTAGCACCTCTCACTTTTCTCTCTCTCTCTCTCTCTCTCTCTCTCTCTCTCTCTCTCTCTCTCTCTTTCTGTCTCTCGCGGGCCATGTGAAGAGGTGCCTGCTTCCCCTTCACCTTCTGCCATGATTGTAAGTTTCCTGAGGCATCCCTAGAAGCAGAAGCCCATGTAGCCCACAGCACTGTAAGCCTGTTTGATTTTAATAAATTACCCAGACTCAGGTATGTCTTTTAGCAGTGTAAGAACTGACTAATACATCCCAAACTAAACATCATATTACAGATGCAAACACACCCATTTTGTACAAGGGAAACACAAAGTTTTCCCAGGAGTTTCTATATTCACTCCTGATAACATCTAGAATTCTCTTATTGTTGGGGGTTATGGCAACACAACGGGACAATATCTTCAAGCAATTCAGAGTGACTTTTGTGTTCTAGATTTTTTTCCATAAATACAAGTTGTAGTATTGATTGAAAGTTTACCTTTTGGTTTATAATCTATAAAACATATTTTCTTGAAAATATAAATAGGTTATATTGTATACCCTTCCCTTATTCTTGGTAAAACTGAGAAGTTTCCTTTCTACATTATAAATCTTGCTATCTTTCTCCTTATGAGTTGTGTTTGCTTTCAGTGTCTGGTGATCCTACTATCTTTCCTGGTATCATAGGAGCTAGCATTTATTCTGTGCCTATTAGGTACCAGGTACTGTTCTGAGTGTTTTACTGATATATTATGTAATCTCCACCCAATTCTATATAGGAGGTAGTGTTAATACAACCATTTTGCAGATGAAGCAATCTGCACCTAGAGGTAAATGAAGTTACCCAAGTTTGCATGGGCAGTAATAAGTAGAATAGCTGTAATGTAAATTCAAAGAGTCTGGTTCCAAAGGCTGTGCTTTCACCCATCATTTCCAGGCTGAGTAAGAAAGATGACAGTGAGACACCCAGGAGTCTGTAGTTCCTAGGGTCCTTTCTCTTTTTTTCTGGATAGTGTCTGAAAGACCATCTACTGTAAGGCCAGTTGGCTGTTTTAAACTCTAGTTAGGTTGCTTATCTGTGTTAGGTTCTATCATTACCTCATGTACAAAGAAGAAAGGTCTCTCCTTCTATGTACAACTAATCTCTCTCTCTTTAAAACCATTATTTAATTCCATCAAAAGAACCCCCTCTTTCCTGTATGGTCACTTTCCCTGTCTCTCCTAATTATTTTCCCATCCTACATAAATATGCTCAGATCTGTTCTATCTTTAACAACAAAACAGAAAACATAACAACAAAAAGCAAATTAAAACCTTCTTAAAGCCTATCTATTGCTCTTAGTTCCATTCTACTTTTGGCTTTGCCCTTGGCCAATTGAATATCTAGAAATAAGTATCTACACTTGCTGTCTTCACTTTTTAACCTCTCATTTCCTCTGTAACCCACTGGAACCTATTCTGTGCCCCCACTTTACCACCAAAATAGTTCTTTTCCTGTTCTCCACAGTTTCTTAGTTCCTAATCCAGTGGTTTTTATCTTCACTTGGCATTGTTGAGGCCCTCCTCATTCTTGAACCTCTCTTCTCTCTTGATCTAGGCCCTTTTCTTTTCTGTTTTTTTTTTTTTTTTTTTCTCTTTCTGGTTGGCCCTTAAATCTTGGTGTTCTCCGGGGTTCTGTTTATAGAACTGCTGATAACTTCCCGGTCAACACTACCATTCCAAAGCTCACTCCTCAGCTCCAACTTGGGTATCCAACTGCTTCTCAAATATCTCCATTCAGGTGTTCCACAGACACCTACAATTAACTTCTTCATTTTCTTACCAGAAAACCACTTTCTTCCCATTGATCCAGGTGCCAAAATCAGTGCCCAAATCTCAACACTTCCTTCTCCATTGCACCCAAGTTATATAAATTTTACCTCTTAAGACTATATCAAGAACACCCCTTCACCATTCCGCTGCACTTCTCTGCCTTAGGCACCCCTCCTCTCTCATTCACTAAGTCACTACAATGTCCTCCTATGTCTCCCTGCCTCAGTCTTTTTTTTTTTTTTTCCTTTGAGACAAAAGTCTCACCCTGTAGTCCAGGCTGGAATGCAGTGGTGCGATCTCAGCTCACTGCAACCTCCGCCTCCTGGCTTCAAGTGGTTCTGCCTGTCTTACCCTCTCGAATCTCTCCTCCAGAGTGGTCTCTCTAAAATACATTTGGTCACTTTTCTGGTTACAACTCTTTGATGGCTCACCTATTGTCTGTAGGATAAAGCCCATACTCTTTATCAGATCACAGTAAGTAATTCATGATCTCTTTTCTTCTATTTTGCCCCATCATTCCCTTCCCACAACAGCCATCCCAAACTTTTTGTAAATCCTATAACATATCATGCTACCTTATTTCTTTGTCACCCTTGTACACACTAGTTTCTCTGTGTGGAATTTGATCATTTGTCCAATTGAAGACGCTTGAGCAACCTTCAAGTCTCAGCTCAAATACACCTCTTTAATGAAGTCTTCATGACTCCCCCATGCTAGATAAAGCCTTCTTTCTTCCTTGCTTCCATTTCTTTCATAGTTATTTGTACATCTAGATCTGGCTTTACAAGGCTCTCATTTATTGATTCAACAAAAATTTATTGAGCCAGAGAGTAATAAACAAACCATATTAACCCTGTCCTCAGGATCCTTACATTGTAGCAGGCCAGGTGGATTGACATTGTAATAACTATTTGCTAAATGAGTGAACTTATAGACCCATTCTCAAACATGTCTATGATTTCACATTTGGAGCTTTCTATCAGGAGAGGCTGTTGGATCCCAGCAATTTACCTAAGCACTTCAGTCTCCCTCAATCATAAGAAAAAACCCCACAGAATCCTCAAGAACATTTTCAACTTGGAAGTCTCCTGGATCAGTCAGGAGCTGAGATATTTATGTCACTGTATGTGATAGGGGATGATGACCCTAGTGAAGAGAACCACCAAATACAGATGTTTCTTGACTTACAGTGGGGTTATGTCCCAGTAAACCCATTGTAAATTAAACATATCCTAAGTCAAAAATGCATTTAACACACCTAACGTACCAAACATCATAGCTTAGCCTAGTCTACTTAAGCACTTACATTAGCCTACAGCTGAGCAAAATCATCAAACACAAAGCCTGTTTTATAAAAAGTGTTGAATATCTCATATAATTTATAGAATACAGTACACTGTAAGTACAGTATGAGTTGTTTACCCTCATGATCGCATGGCTGACTGCGGCTGTGCTTGCCGCTACTGCCCAGCATCAGGAGAGCATATTGCACCACATACCACCAGTATCCTGGAAAAAAGATCAAACTTCAAAATTCAAAGTATAGTTTCTACAAATTGCATATTACTTTTGCACCATCATAGAGTGGAAAAATCATTAAGTTGAACCATCGTAAGTCAGGGACCATCTCTAGTTGTGAAGATAGTAATAGGCACTCAAAACTCTGCCCAAAGGAGACCTGCATCTTCAGAATTTCTCCAGAAAAGGTGAGGTGAGGGTAGGAGACAGGAAGGATGCCCTAGATGATAAAATTAATCAGAGCAAAAAAAATTAGTAGATAATTAGTGTGGTATACAAGTATAAGAGACACAAGGAGGAACTTTTTGCTACAAGATTCATATCCTGGCCCAAATCAACATGATAAATCCAATAGCCAAAGGAAGACTGAAAAATAATCTTGATCAAGGAGACATTGTGTGTCTACTGTGAGGTGGCCCCACTGTAGGTCAGATGCTCTGAGGAGAAGGAAGGCACAATCCTGCATTGTGCCTGCCCAACAGGAGCATGTGGGCCTCAATTAGCAAAATGAAGACATCCCAACACAAAGAAATTGCAAGTCTACACTATCCCATGTCATTTGGAATATGAGGTAGGTATTATTGCATTTACTTTACACACAAGGAACAGAAGCTGACAGAGATCAAATGTCGATTTCAGAGTCACACATCTAGCAGAGCTTGGATTTAAACCCAAGTTAGCCTGACTCCTAACACAATCTGATTACTGAGTCACTGGCACAGTCTAGATAACTTGAAGGGTTGGCATTTCTAGACTTGAGTGTATGGTGGTCTGTCTTCTCTGAGCAGGCATTTAAACCTTTGTTTTCAAAAGGGAACTGATTAGGCAACTGTGAATTTCTGGAGATTAACCTGTGAACAGGGACCCTTGTTTATATAACTCACCTAATGTGCATTCAATTGTGTTATAAAGAATTTGAACATGCAAATATTTTTGAAAACAATAACAACAAGAAAAACTCCTCCAGCTTACACTTAGACTTGGCACCTCCACCCTTCCCTGAGGCAAGATGTGAGAAAAAAAATATAATTATCATCCACTGAGCCATAGACTCAGGCCACAGTTTTTTACCCTGGTATTAATCAATGCACATTTAGCCCTAGCCAATGTACACAAACCCAGGGTTCACAGCTTCTCCCTCTTCTCCACTCCACCCACTGGCTCAGACACACACTGGAGCTCAAAAGAGCTTTCAGGTAGAGCCCTGGTCCTGTTACCTCACTCTGTGGCAAAAGCAGGGAAAGTGTTTGGAATGGCAGGCTTTCCAAAACTGGGGGAATCCAAATCCAGACAGACACCCAGAAAGTGGCCAAGCATTCTTTGGTGGGGAGGATTCCAGCAGGCAGCTTCTTAGCTTGGTAATTGCTCATGTACCATGCAGAGCTCCTCTGGCTGAGCTGGGGCTCCCTAGCTACAGCTGTACCATGATCTCCTCCGATCTAGACAAACTGAGTGCGGTGCCTCCCTGGATGTGCTCCAGGAACACCAGGACCCACAGACAGAGCCCAGGCACAAGCAGAGGTCCTGTTTGTACCCTTTGGTCATCTGATGAAGGCTAAACTCCTTCTGAGAACAATTTGTTTAAATGCTTAAAATAAAGTGCAGAAGATTACAAAGAAAGTCCATTATGTTAAAGTGATTATCAGGTCTTTGAAAAATCAAATTTATCATGGGCTTATATAATACTGAATTAAATAACAAAATCTTCCTTCCCCTTTTTTATTTAAACTAGGTTTTTCAAGATTATACAAAATAATCTCAATATGCATAATTACACCCAGCATTTTTTCTCTTTGTGATGAAATTCTAATCATTTCACTCTCCTAATGATACATAGTTTAGTTCTTCCATACTCATTCATTCATTCCACTCAAAAGTATATACTGAGCAAGATATCATGATCATTTCTAACCTGGGATCAAAAAATGATGCCAACTAGCTAATGCTATCCACAGTCATTCACCTACATATGGTCTGTGACTGCTTTCACATTCCATCAACAGGGTGGCAATAGCTGTATCTGAGACTACAGGCTGTCAAAGTAAAAGATATTTATTACATAGCCCTTTTTAGAATAAGTGTGGCCACGCTTTATGTGAAGTGTACGGGCTTATTAGAGTTTACAGTAACTTTCAATGCAGTGTTATGTCAATTTACCAACAAAAATCTGTCTTCAGTATAGAAATTACTACAAGAGGAATGAATGGTAAGGATCATGGAAGGTTTCCTAGAAGAGGTAACATTTTAGTCGTTTTTGAATCGACAGAAGTTGGCCACAGGAACAGGTTTTCTGTGCAGAGGATATTGCATGTTCTGCAGTCTGATAGCATGAATGGCATTGTGTTTTGGGGAATTTTAAGCATTTCACTATCACAGACATATAGAGCTCTAGAAGGGAATGGCAAGAGATGATGAAAGAACAAGGCAGGGATCAGACAATAATACATTTTATGTGCCATATTAAGGAGCTCAAATATTCTCCCATAGATGTTGATAGCACTGCTCAAGAGAACATTCTGCACTGACAGACATGTTCTAAAGCTGTGCTGCCCATGTGATATCCACTTGTTATGTGTGGCTACTGAGTACTTGAAGTGTGGCTACTCTAACTTAGGCACTGAATTGTTTATTTCCTTTAATTTTAATCAATTTAAATTTATATAGCCACATCTGGCTAGTGTCTTTCATCTAGGAGATAGAAATTGAATTAAGTATTTAAATAGACAAATGGAATATCAACTCTTCTGTTTAACAAGATTAGTCTGGTTGTGGATGAACTGAAAGAAAGCAAGACAGGAAAGCCAGTTAGAGACTAATCAATAGCTCTGAAAAGACAAGATAAAGTTCTGATCTAAGGTAGTAATGGTTTAAATAGAAGGATAGTTTTGAGGTATGTTAGGAAAGAGAATTGACAGGTGTCTTTGTCCACTTAGTGTTGCTGTAAAGGAATATCTGAGGCTGGATAATTTACGAAGAAAAGATGTTTATTTGGCAGATGACTCTGATGATTGGAAAGTTCAAGATTGGGTATCTGCAGCTGGTGACGGCCTCTAGCTGCTTCCACTCATGATGCAATGCTGTGGTGAGCTGGCATGTGCAGAGATTACATGGTGAGAGAGGAAGCAAGAAGGGCTGGGGCAAGCCAGGTTCTCTTTAACAACCAGCTCTCCTGGGAACTAATAGAGTGAGGACTCACTGACCTCCAAGGGAGGACATTAATCTATTCATAAGGGATCTGCCCTATGACCCAAATACCTCCAACACTGGGGATCAGATTTCAACATGAGGTTTGGAGGGGACAAACAGCAAACCATAGTGACAGATCTTGGTGATCAATTAAACATGAGCTATGAAGAATAAAGGAGGAGCTAAAACTGTCTCATTGGATCCTGACTGCACAGAAGGGTGGGTGCTAAGACAGGTGTGAAGGATTAAGAGTAGGCTTGGTGTGGCAAGTAGAAACGGAAAAATGAGGAGTTGCCTGTGGGCAATATGAAGATGGGTACCCAGGTCTAGTGAGGGCTCTGTGTTGATGGTACAGATTAAGTACATTAACTGGTGGAAAGAACAGTACCATGTGAGCCAAAAAAAAATTAGCTTCTTGTCTTAGTTCTACTCCCAACCAGCTGGATGATTTTGGACATGTCTTTCTGGCCTCAGTTTAATCACCTGTACAATGAGAGGGTGATGGACCATAGAGTTAAGCAATTTTTTTTTCTCTAAAGGGGAAGATAGCAAATATTTTAAGTTTTGAAGATGATATATGGTTTTTGCAGTATATGCTCCTCCTCCTTCTCCTCTTTCTTTTTTTACAGCCCTTTAAAATATAAAATCATTCTTAGCTCATGTTCCGTACAAAAACAGAGCTGCAGTTCGCTGATCCCTGGAATAGCTAATCTCCAAGATTCATTTAAACTATAAATTGTTTTGATAAGATAATATGTGAGCTTCCCTGAAAAAAGTAGCTTTTATTCCAGTAGTTTAAGTATATTTTTAACTGAAACATAACACACATATAGAAAGGTACACAAATGATAGGAGATCATTTTGATGACATGTTATAAAGTGAATGCACTCATGGAAATATCACTGCCCAGATCAGGAAACAGAACAATACCAGCACCCCAGAACCTCCTCTTGTGTCCTCTTTTGTCCATGTATACTCAACATTTAGCTCCCACTTATAAGTGAGAATGTAGTGTTTAGTTTTCTGCTCCTGTGTTAATTCACTTAGGATAATGGCCTTCAGCTGTATAAATGTTGCTACAAAGGACGTGATTTTTTTCATGGCTGCGTAGTATTCCCTGGAATATATGTACCACATTTTCTTTATCTAGTCCACCATTTATAAACATCTAGCTTGATTCCATGTCTTTACCATTGTGAAAGTGCTGCAATGAACATACACATGCATGTATCTTTAGGATAGAACAATTTATATTCCTTTGGGTATATACCCAGTAATGGGATTGCTGGGTTGAATGGTAGTCCTCAGTTCTTTGAGAACTCATCAAACTGCTCTCTGCAGTGGCTGAACTAATTTGCATTCCCATCAGCAGTGTATAAATGTTGTCTTTTCTCTGTAACCTCACCAACATCTGTCATTTTTTGACTTACTAATAATAGCCATTCTGACTGGTGTGAGATGGTATTTCATTGTGGTTTTGATTTGCATTTCTCTAATGATTAGTGATGTTGAGCATTTTCTCATATGTTATGGGCCACATCTATGTCTTCTTTGGAGAAATGTCTGTTCATATCCATTGCCCACTTTTTAACAGGGCTGTCGTTTTTTGCTTGTTGATTTTTTTTTCTTTTTTTTCTTTTTTTTTTTTTTTTTTGAGACAGAGGCTTACTCTGTCATCCAGGCTGGGGTGCAGTGGTACTATCTTGGCTCACTGCAACCTCCGCCTCCTGTATTCAAGTAGTTTTCCTGGCTCAGCTTCCCTGGTAGCTGGGACTACAGGTGCGTGCCAACATGCCCAGCTAATTTTTGTATTTTTAGTAAAGACGGGGTTTCACCATGTTGGTCAGGCTGGCCTCAAACTCCAGACCTCAGGTGATCCAGCCACCTCAGCCTCCGAAGGTGCTGGGATTACAGGCGTAAGCCACTGCACCTGGCCGATTGTTGATTTTTTAAAGTTCCGTATAGAACCTGGATATTAGACCTTTGTTGGATGCATAGTTTGCAATTATTTTCTCCCATTCTGTAGGCTATTTAATCTGCTGATAGTTTCTTTTGCTGTGCAGAAGCTCTTTTGTTTAATTAGGTCCCACTTGTTACTTTTTCTTTTTGTTGCAATTGCTTTTGGAGTCTTTGACATGAAATCTTTGCCAAGGTCTATGTCTGGAGTTGTATCTCCTAGGTTTTCATATAGGGTTTTTATAGTTTTAGGTTTCATGTTTAAGTCTTTAATCTATCTTGAGTTGAGTTTGGTATGTGGTAAAAGGAAGGGATCCAGTTTCAATCTTCTGCATATGGCTAGTCAGTTGTCCTAGCATGATCTATTGAATAGAGAATTCTTTCCCTGTTGCTTGTTATTGGAAACTTTTTCAAAGATCAGACGGCTATGTAGGTGTGGCGCTTTATTTCTGGGTTCTCCAACCTGTTCCATTGGTCTATGTGCCTGTTTCTGTACCAGTACCATGCTGTTTTAGTTACTGTAGCCTTGTAATATAGTTTGAAATTGGGTAGTGTGATGCCTCCAGTTTTTATCTTTTTGCTTAGGATTGCTTCAGTTATTTGGGCTATTTTTTGGTTCCATATGAATTTTAAAATAATTTTTTATAATTCTGTGAAGAATGTAACTGGTAGTTTGATAGGAATAGCATTGAATCTATAAATTTCTCTGGGCAGTATGGGCATTTCAACAATATCGATTCTTCCTATCCATGAACATTGAATATTTTTCCATTTGTTTGTGTCATCTCTGATTTCTTTCAGCAGTGTTTTGTAATTCTCACTGTAGAGATCTTTCACTTCCCTTATTGGCTATATTCCTAGGTATTTTATTCTGTTTGTGGCTATTGTGAATGGGATTACATTCTTGATTTGGCTCTCAGCTTAGACATTATTGTTGTATAGAAATGCTACTAATTTTTGTACAGTGATTCTGTATTCTGAAACGTTACTTAAGTTGTTTATCAGTTCTGCCTTTGGGCAGAGACTATGGGGTTTTCTAGGTACAGAATCATATAGTCTGTGAAGAGAGATAGTTTGATCTCCTGTCTTTCCTATTTGGATGCATATTATTTCTTTCTCTTGCCTAACTGCTCTGGCTAGGACTTTATATACTGTTTAGTATTAGAATTTACCTCAACAGTATGTTTACAAGATTCATTCATGTTGCACATAAGAGTAGTTTGCTTATTTTCATTTTTGTTCTATACTTTGTTATATTAATATGACAATTAATTTATCCATTCTATTATTGACATGTATTTTGATTGTTTCCTGTTTGCAATCACTGTGATAGTGCTTCTATGAAGATCCTTACATCAGTGCTTTGATATGTGACCATATATACGGAAATGGAATTGCTGAGTCATAGTAGTATGCATATTTTTAGCTTTTTAGATACTGCCAAACAGGGTTACAAAGATATTATACTAATCTTTACTGCCTCAAGCAATTTGTAAAAGATATAGTTGTTCTTTATACTGCTTCAAGCAATATATGAAAGATCTATTTTATCACAACACTTGGTAATGTCAGCCTTTTTAATTTTAGCAATTCTAGTATAGGGTATGTCTGTGTAGATTTATTCAAATTTCCCTAGTGAGAAATGAGGTTCAATATCTTTTATATATTTATTTGCCATTTAGATTCCTGCTTGCTCATTTTTCTATTGGGTGCCTGCTATACAGGTTCTTCATATATTCTGGATATGAGCACCTTATCTAATACATGTATATTACATGTATCTTTTCCCACTCTTAGGTTTGACTCTTTATTCTCTTAAGGTTATCTTTTTATGATAGAAATTTCTAACTTAAACATAGTCTAATTTATCAATCTTTTCCTTTATGGTTAGCTTTTTTGTGTCCTGTTTAAGAAATGTTCATTCATGTATACCCTGTTGGCGGGAATGTAAATTAGTTCAGCCACTATAGAAAGCCACTTTGAAGATTTCTCAAATAACTTAAAATTCCCATTCAACCCAGAAATTCAACTACTGGCCATATACCCAATGGAAAATAAGTCATTCTACAAAAAAGACATATGTACTCATATGTTCATTGCAGCACTATTCACAATAGCAAAGACATGGAATCAACCTAGATCCCCATCAACAATGAACTAGATAAAGAAAATGTGATATAGCCTGTAATCCCAGCACTTTGGGAGGCCGAGGCGGATGGATCACGAGGTCAGGAGATAGAGACCATCCTGGCTAACACGGTGAAACCCCGTCTCTACTAAAAATACAAAAAAAATTAGCCGGACATGGTGGCAGGCACCTGTAGTCCCAGCTACTCAGGAGGCAGAGTTTGCAGTGAGCTGAGATCACGCCACTGCACTCCAGCCTGGGTGACAGAGCAAGACTCCGTCTCAGAAGAAAAAAAAAAAAAAAAGAAAAAGAAAGTAAGAGAAAAGTATACTTTAAAACACAGAAATAAGCAGCTTTTAAGTCTAGCCATGATTATTATGACTCCGTCTCAAAAAAAAAAAAGAAAAAAGAAAATGTGATATATACATACCATGGTATACTACACAGCCATAAAAAGGAACAAAATCATGTTCTTTGCAGCAACATGTATGTAGCTGGCGGCCATTTTCCTAATAAACTATTGCAGGAACCAAATACTGCATGGTCTCACTTATAAGTGGGAGCTAATATTTAGTATACATGGACATAAAGATGGGAACAATAGACACTGGAGACTACTATAGGTAGGGAGGAAGGAGGGAGGCAAGGGTTGAAAACTACCTATTGGGTACTATGCTCAGTACCTGGATGATGGGATCATTCATATACCAAACCTCAGCAACATGCAATTTATCCATGTAGCAAACATGTACTCCCCAAATCTAAAATAAAAGTTGAAAGAAAAAAACTGAAATGTTCATCTACTCCAGTGTCATGAAAATATACTCTTATGTTGCCTTCTATAAGTTTTATTATTTTATCCTTCACAATTATATATACATTGCACCTGGAGTTGGTTTTTATATACAGTGTGAGGTGGAAGAGTCAAGATTTATTTTTCCCATATAGAGAGCCAATTGACCCAGCAACATTTATTGAAAAGACTATCTTTTCCTCTGTTTGCAGCATTACCTTTGTCTAATATTGTGGCCATACACATGCAGGTCATTTTTTGGAGCCTCTATTTATTTCACTTTTCTAGTTATCTGTTCATAAACATAGTACCTCATCCCTCTAATTAGATCTTCTTTAATTTCCCTTAAAAATATTTTATAATTTTCTCTATTGAAGTTTCACATTTCTTTTGTAAGATTTTATTTGTAGATATGTGATGCTGTTTGATGCTATTGTAAATAATATCATTTTAATTTGTTTTATTCTCCAGTTTGTTTCTAGAATATAGAATAACAATTAATTCCACATCTTGATCTTGTTTCTAGTGGCCTTGCTGAATTCACTTACTAATTCTCATCTTAGTAATTTTTAAAACCACCATCAGCTCAATGGCTGGGCATCTGAACGAACCACAGCTGGATTTCAAAGATTCACCCAGGCCTTAGATATTCTCAATGTCATTCATGTAGTGTCAGCAACTGGGACACAGTACAATCATAAAACAGCTCTAACCCAATCTTAGTGTGACCTCAAATCATGTATGTTTGTATCTACAGATATGCCTAATTTCCAGAGAAAACATCACTTTGCATAATTACAAATTTAATGATCAGTAAAACAAAGAATGGATATGTTGTTTTTGCTGTTGTTTCTGTTTTTTTTTATTCTTAAGGAAATTCTTTAGTAGCGAATATCATCAAGTAAATGGTGATAACTACTGATGAAATTTCAATTAGTTGTCGGGCTCTATTAGATCCTGTGGAGATACTGATCATAAAAGCAGACAGTTGTTTGAAATCAAAGAGGCCTAAGAGATCAGCCATTCCAATATACTTCTTTTTACAAATGAGGAAATAAACCCAAAATGGTAGTGATTTACTCAGTTTCAGAGCTGGTTAGCAGCTCTGAACCAAGCCAGGTGCCTCAATTTCTCAGCACAATGGCCTTTACCACTAAAACCATGCAAATTGACCAGCATCGTTATTTTAAAAAATAATTCAGTTAGAGACATTAAATAGTTTTTTAAAATTCTGGGCTTGAGTCTTGAGTCCCACCTACCTTGATCACTGGGCTCTCTCTTTACCTGAGAGTCCCCAGCAGCATCACTGCAACATCTCCAAACTGACTGATGGCAACAGGAGAGCACCTAATTAAATTAGTATGTTCTGCCTTGATTATTTACAACTTGATAGTTACCCCATAAAATAGATTCAAAATTCAGCTTGCCAAATGATCCCTCAGTCAAAATATCTTCAGGAAACTTGCATACACTTACCTACATAAGCCACTTTCTCATTCTGCTTGAATTTAATTAATTAATTAATAAAAGACTTCCCTAAGTGATCTGGGACAATCCACAAAGCATGGGAATTAAAAATGGGTATAGGGTCACAATTGTAGAATACCAAGCCCAGGGCCACTTCATTCATTCATTCACACATTTATTACTAAGTACTTCACTGAGCACTTATTATGAATCAAGCCCACTACTAAGTGCTGAGAGACTCAGATGGATAAGGTGTAATCTTTGTAACAACATAAATTTTGTAACAACTCATGCATTTACATGGAGACATGCAAGCAAACATTAGACTCATCAGGCCCCAACTAATAAGTTCTTAAGAGAGGTATATGCAAAATGCTATAGGAAAACTGAGAAGGGACCAGTTGTATCTTCTTGTAGAGAAGGGGAGACAGTGTCAGGAAATGTTCACAGAGGAAGGAACTTTTAAATTGGTCCTCGAAAAGGAAGAATAATTTCACCCATTATCTCTTACCTGGAGACCATCATCCACCTTCTCCCTGGCCTCACGTCAGTGAGGAATAGACCTATTCATGCTTCCTGCCCACCCACTCACATAGCAACAATGTGAGCTTTGCACAACAATTCAGACTGCACCTTCTTTCATCAAGCCCTCCAATGGCTTCCCAGTGAAATTAAAATGAAATCCAAAACTTTTAGATAGTCTTCAAGACCTTATATGATCTAGGTCTTGACTGCCTCTCTCCTCATTGTACTCCAGTTTCACCTCCACCAACCTCTATCTCTATACCCCAGCTACTCTGGTCTTCTTTATGTTTACGTGTGAGTTCTTTCTGAATATCACATTTATGCCAAAGTAAATTTTTAGGCCTTCAAAATATTTATTGTGGAAAAAGAATCCAACACCATGAAATTAAATGTCAAAGAATGCTGTCCTCCTTCTTGTCTTTGCACTTTGCACTTGTTCCTTCTGCTGAGGCTGCTCTGTCCCAGATCTCTGGAGAGTTGAGGCCTTCTCTTCATTAGGATGTCAATTACTGAGAGGTCTGCCCTAATTATCTTAGCTAAAATACCACACCCCTCCCATCTGCCCCATACACATACACACTAACTTACTCTCTCCTTCATGATTCTGTTTTACCTTATTCATTACTCAGTAACAAAATAATTTTATTTATTTATTTTCTACATTCGCTCATCTTCATAATTAGAACATAAACTCTCTGAAGTCAGGGACTTTATTTTTTTTTCCACTAATTTTCCAGGGCCTAGAACAATGTTTAGCAGATAATAAATGCTCAATAACAAATGAGCAAATGAAGACAATGTAGGGAGGTTACTGTAAGAGTTCCTAAATACTCTGCTTTTATTCTCTAATTACACAATAAACTAGTTTTGTTGGTATCAAAAATTTTAGGGAGAGAAGCACTAAAAATATGCAAACTGTTATGTAGCAACCTCTTGAGCTTTTCTTGGTTCAGATGACATCAGCTCACCGGAATGATTGAGGATACAGGGACTACATTTTTCCCATCTGGATCAGTAAAAATCTCAAAGTAAATCTTGGCTTTTTAATTCTGTTTTCATTGAAGTTCTTTGATTTTAACAGCCAATTGCCCAGCCTTTCTGTAAAACATTTTAGGACATGGGTATGATGTATTTAGGGAACTGTCAAAATGTAAATTGATGTTGTAATAGGTTTTCAGCAGTCAGTCCCTATGAAGCAGTAAAAGCAGTGTTCAGAAACTTAACTGTCAGAAACTCCAACCAATATTCCAGTGTGTGCCTTGTAAACCTTAAAAGGCCTTTCACCAGCTTTAAATATGACCTTATGGGTCTTATAACGCTCCTATATAATCCCCAAAGAAATCATAAACATGGCAAGCTTTATTTCCATCTACTAAGATTATCACAGAGCTTTCCACTAGCACTGGTTCCTGTAAGGTTCCCAGAGCTGTTTATTAATCCTTTATGCCCCCAATCATAGTTGAGTAGGGTCTGGTGCTCACCCACAATCTGGGTGGTGAATGTCTTCAGACTTTGGATGAAGGGGAACAACTTAAACATAGATTTTGGTTTGAAGAAATTTTCTCAGTGTGTATTTCCAATTTTATTCACTGCTTGGAGTTGAAAAGGAATTAATAGATAAAGCAGTTCATGAAAAGATTGAATGAACTAAGTCACAGAAAGTAATCAGTAAAATGTTCTGTGAGTTCTCAACAAATGGTAGCAATTAGCTATGATTGCATTATATTTATATCATGCCATTTAATTCATGGTGATAAAATATGATTTTGTGTCTGTCTCCCATCAGATAGGGAACTAATGTCCAGGGGACTGATTTCTGCAGCACCAGAAATTAGCAAATTACCTGAAATATATTAGTCATCCAAATTATGCTTCCTGACTTGACCTGGTTCAGAACACAGAGCACTGGCTTCTGGGTCCCACTCTTTCACTGATTAACTGTGAAACATTGGGTAACTTTTCTTAGCTCTACCAGGCCTCACTGTCCTCATTTGTAAAAGGAAGAGGTTGGATTTTATGGTCTCTGAGGTCTTTTCCAGTTCTAACATTTCATGGCTCTATAAAGCATTGCTGTTAAGGAAGATTACTAGGAAATGTTGGAACTGAATCCTGTTTCTCTTTGCCTGTCCTGACCATGTCCTCCACATAGATGAATTATCCAGGCTGATTTCCATGCAATCCGAGTGATAGTCTTGCCATTATTAAGATTTCATCTTAGACTTTAATAGTTTATTCCAACCCAGAAAACATGGTGGGAGGTGGAGATGGCTATGAACCAAATGCTACCTTGGCCACTTTGCCCCACTCTACTTCCTAAGAGCCTATGTGTGGGTTATGGAGGCCCATGGTTTCAGTTAGCAAATAGTTATTTGATAGTTTAATTTAAAACTTATTTAATTCAAAAAGGTTTAATTCAATTCAGCAAATAATTGTTGCATGCCTACTGTGTGCCAGGTACTCATTAGACTCTACAGATACAGAGATAAATGATAAAAGTCAAAATCTGTTATGACTACAAAATGCTATCTATAAGATTAATAACATCTTATTTATTTATTTATTTATTTAGATGGAGTCTTGCTCTGATGCCCAGGCTGGAGTGCAGTGGCCACGATCTCGGCTCACTACAACCTCCACCTCCTGGGTTCAAGCGATTCTCCTGCCTCAGTCTTCTGAGTAGCTGGGATTACAGGTGCGTTCCGCCACGCCTGGCTAATTTTTGTATTTTTAGTAGAGATAGGGTTTTACTATGTTGGTCAGGCTGGTCTTGAACTCCTGACCTCAGGTGATTCACCCACCTCAGCCTCCCAAAGTGCTGGGGTTACAGGCATGAGCCACCGCACCCAGCAGATTGATAACTTCTTCACAGCTAAGTTGGACTTATTTTTTTCCCAGATAAAGACAACTAGATGTAGAGATACGAGGCTGTCTTTGTTTGTTTGGTGTGGCTATAACAGAATATGTGAGACTGGGTAACAAATAATGAAAAGAAATTTATTGTTCAGTTCTGGAGAATGGGAAGTCCAAGATCGAGAGGTCAGCATCTGGTGAGGGCCTTCTTTCCAAGTCATCCCATGGCAAAGGTCTCAAAAAGTAAGGGGGGAGGGAGGGAGGGAGAAATGGAAGGAGAAAGAGAGAAAGTAAAAAGGGGCCGAATTTCCCCTTTTATAACAAACTCACTTCTGCAATCATGACATTAATCCATTAATTCCACCCTCATGGCCTAATCATCCTCATTGGGCTCTACCTTCCAATACTCTTGCATTGAGAATTAAGTTTCCAACACACGCTTTTTGGGAGATACATTTAAATTATAGAAAAGGGCAAATCAGTTAAGTCCTAATATAAGTAAAAGAGAAAATAGAGGCCTTCTGGGCTCCACATGATCACAGATATAAATAATTAGCACAGAGCATAGGATTCAATAAATGTTATTTTTCTTCTCCATCTTGTTTAGGTTAATACCTAGAAGTCATTCTGCATTTCTCTGCCATTCATTCCCAAGTTGTCAGGTCTGCCTTATTAATATTTCTAGAATTTAGCCACTTCTCTACATTCCAATCTAAAACAAACTTCAAGTTTCTACTATAAATCTCTTTGTATTAACCTCCTAAATTTTTCCTATTGCCAGTCCTGCCTCCATCAATCCATTTTCCATGCTGAGACTGAAGTGATTTTTCTGAAATTTAGATTTGGTCATTCCTATTTCCACTGCTTAAACCAGAGATGAGGAGCAGGGGACAGAGTCTAGAAATGTTTAGACATGTAGCAATCAATAACTAGTCATCTAGGGTGAGGAAGTAAAGGTTATGAAGAAGAAGGAGTCAGGAATAATTTACACACTTACAACCTCATTGAATAATGGGTGGTGGTGCTATCAAAAGAAATGCAATGCAGGAGAAGCAGATTCAGTGGGATGATGGTATAAGGAATGCTATGACTCACTGCCCAAGATTTAGACTCTTATTTCCCTAGTTGCTGGGCGTGTGACTGCTGATGGCTAATAACAAAGACTGTCTGTAGGAATGGCCATCAGCAACTGCCCTGGTGTCTTTCCTTCAACTCACACCTACGCCTTCATGAGAGCTCCTTTTGACCAAGTAATGGAGGAAGAAAAATGCCAAACTAGGAGCACAGATGGGTTAACTCAGTCTATAGGTACAAGCCAAAAATGATTGCTGCTGCAATGTAGCTCTACTCAGAGGTATCTCTAAAAGATGGTGGTGAGAAAAAAAAAATCCCCCCAATGAGTAGAGCTTAAGCTTAAGATTATCCGCTTGATGTGGAAAGAGAGGTGGCTTCAGAAAAGATTACTTATGGATTCACAGGCAGTGGTGAATGGCTCAGTTGATTGGCTCAAGGCCTGGAAGAAAATCTGGAATATCATAAGCAAGAGGATCTGGAGAAAAGGTATATGGATTGGTCTATGAGAGTGAGCACAAAGTGTGAATAATGATGTATTAAGGCCCACAAATGAGTGTCTAAAATGGAAGAATCATAAATAATCAAGTACACAGAATAATTCAGCCAGTTGACATCAGTGATTTGTTAATCTGGTGATGGCACAATAGGCATTTGAATAGAGTAGCCATGGTGGGGAGTATAGAAGCTATGCATGGGCTAACAGGATGGGTCCTCATTCTTTTCGCTACTCTAGCTACCATCATTGCCAAATATCCCCTCTTCCAACAACAGAGACGCAACACTGAAAACCCAATATGAAACAATCCCATAAGGATCATAACCAGTCACTTGGTGGCAAGTCAACTGAATTGAACTCTTTTCATGCTAATTAGGAAAACAATTCATTTTCACTAGAATGGACACATATTCCAGTGATGGGTTTACCTTTCCTGCCCACAGAGCCTTAGCCAGCACTATCAGGAAGCATAAAGAGTATTTGATCTCCAACGTGAGATCTTCATGACATCAAATTCTCCTGCCCTATCCTGCTTCCTTCACTCCCTCTCATGAGTTCTGCTGCTAATAGCACTTCGCAAAAAACTCCCAGCATGCATATCTTCTTTTAAGTGTCTGTTATCCAGGAAAACCAATTTAAGACAGGTAATGAATTCAGTCTAGGTTGAGGTGATTGCAGGACACTCAAGCAGAGATATTGCATTTTTGCATATTGAAACTACAAGAATTAGACAAGATTATTCAGTGAGAATGTGCAGAGTAGCAAGAGTGGTACACGGAGAATAGAATATGAGGAAAACCACAAAAAGGAGGAAAAGGAAGTAAAACAAACCAAGAGAGGGTCAAGTTGCACCAAAAAGTCCAAATTTAAAAAAAAGACTGAGAGATGCGGCAAGTTGGAGGTTATGGATGACCTTAGCAAGAGCTCAAATTGTGGGGCTAGAAACAAAAGTGAGGTGAGTTAAGGAACACATGGGAGGTGAGGAGGTAGTGGCAGTGAGTAAAGACTAGGGGTCAGATATTCAAATACAGGGGCCAGATAGGTGGGGTAAATGGATAAATTAACTTCAATAAATAATATGTGTCCAGGCCTACATGGTCCAGGTACTATAATAGGCACTTGAGTTTTCAGTAGTGATGTGAGAGGAGACAGAAAAAGTAAGAAAAACTGTAGTTTCAGAATTCTTTAAAAATGAAGAAAATAAGAGGGAAATGAAGCAAAGAGCAAATTCCAAGTGAATGAGGGGGAGTAAGGAAAGATTTCTCTGAGGAGATGACATTTCAATGAATTCCTTAATAAGAAGTCAGCCATGTGAATACTTTGGGAAAGCATATTATAGGCCAAGAGAAAATAGTAAATGTGAAGACTCTGAAGCAGGAATGAGCATCTATATATTCCTAATAAAGAAGTCAGTATGGCTGGAAACTGTTAGCAAAGAGAAGGGTGTCAGGAGATAGGGTAGGAGAGCTAGACAGAAGCCAGCTTAACTCAGGCTAGTTGGCCATAGTAAAGACCATGATAAAGTGCATCTTGGAAGCCAACTGTTGAGAAAGCCAAAGGTCAAGCATAAGAATGAATCATGATGGTGATAATAGGAAGTGGCGGGAACTGTGGCAGAGTGGAGAGCATTTATCTAACTTAAAGAGGACAGTTGCTGATCAACAACAGCTAATCAGCTCTACTTAAGAATATGGACCCAGCCTGAATATCACAATTCTAAGAAAAGTAGAAATCTGGATTCTTAAATAAAATCTTCCAATTTCTAAGTGATGTCATTCAATTCCAATCTTGTTTTTTAACTAATCTGATCCAAAACACTGTGCTGATCAAACAGTAAATCTGAGGCTAGACTTAGCCAGCAGGTCTCCAAATGCAAGTCCTGGTTCTCAACATTGTTCTTCCAAATTTAGATGAAAAGGGGAGACAGAGGGTAAGAAGTAGCTAAAAGAATAATATGCTGCTGTTTTAGTCAGGGTTCTACAGAGAAATAGAATAATAGAATTTACATATATCTATGTATCTCTATCTCTATCTATCTATCTACATGGGGTACTGGGGAGAAATACTGATTTCATTGTCTCATGTGATTATGAGGGCTGACAAGTACAAAATGTATAGAGGAGGCCAGGAGGCTGAAAATTCAGGTAAGAGTTGATGTTTCAGTCTTCAGTCAGAATCCCACAGAGCAGCAAAATGGAAGCACAGGCAAGGTTTCTATGTTGCACACTTGAGGAGAATTCATTGTTTTTCACAAAGTGTGTCTTTGCTTTTAAGACCTTCAACTAATTAAATGATGCCCACTCATCTTATGGAGGGTAATATCTTTTACTTAAAGTCTACTGATTTAAATGTTGATGCCATCTGAAAAATATCTTCACAGCAACATTTAGGCTAGTGTTTTTACCAAACAATTGGGCATCATAGCCCAGCCAAGTTGGTACATAAAATTATATATCACAAGGGCCAAGAAAGCTTTAATTTATAATGAGATAGGTTTGAACATGTTTATACTCTGAGAAGACTGTAGTAAGGAAGACAGGAAGAAAAAGGAAAGGAAAGAAAAGATATACATAGAATGAGTGAGGCCTCAAAGGAGCAGGAAGTAGGATCATGGGATAGAGTGAAAGGATTGGCCTTGAATAGGAGGAGGACACCCTCACTCTCTAGAATAGGAACTAACAAGCTGTGCCCCAAAGGCCAAATCAGTTAGTTGCCTGTGATTTTGTTAGCAGCAGTGAATCTATATGGGTCTGCAGCAACTTGATCTTTGCCTCCTCAGAAGAAAGAATTTAATAGAGGAGTGAAATGCAGAGGGAGAGACCAAGGTAAGTTTTAGAGCAGGAGTGAACGTTTGTTAAAAAGCTTGAGAGCAGGAATGAAAAGAAGTAACATAAAGAGGGCCAAGAGTGCAACTTGAGAGATCCAAGTGCCTTGTTTGACCTTTGACTTGGGGTTTTATATGTTAGCGTGCTTCCAGGGTCTTGCATCTCTTCTCCCTTGATTCTTGCCTTGGGATGGGTTGCCTGCATGCACAGTGGCCTGCCAGCACCTGGGAAAGGCTGCATGCACAGTGGGTTTACTGATGTTGTGCTCATGCTCATTTGAGACATTTTTCCCTTACCAATTGAGCATTCCTAGAAGAAAGTCATATACCAGTTAAATTCTGCCATTTTGTCTCTAAGTATACATGTTTGGGCCCACTTGCCCAACTCCTGAGATCTTATTGGGAAACTGCTGATCATCAGTTTCAGATGTTTTCTACATGTTGGGAGACTGCCTATCCCTGGCACCAGCTGTGACCAATTATTATTTTAGAGAGACAGTTTAACAACTGCCTGACAATCACCTGATTGTCCCCTGACATTCTTGGTAGAGAGGAGGCCCTTTCCTGCCCTGCCTATGTCTGCCTAACTACATATTCTAACAATTGTACAGATTCTAGAGCTAAAAATAGTCACTGCATTTTTAAAAGGTTGAAAAATAGTAAAAAAAAATTTTCAGGAACATGAAAGTTATATGAAATTCAGATTTCAGTATGTATTAAGTTTTATCAGCACACAGTCATGCCAATTCATGTAACTGACTGTATTAGTCAGGGTTCTCTTGACCTATAGATTCATATTGTCCACTGCCCAGAAACTGCCAATTTATCAAGACAGGGGAATTGTAATAGAGAAATATTTTAACATGCAGAGCCAGCTAAACAGAAGATCAGAGTTTTATTATTACTCAAGTCAGCCTCCCTGAAAATTTGGAGGCTAGAGTTTTTCAAAGATAGTTTGGTGGGCAGGGGTACTACTGATTGGTTGGTAATGCAGTCATAGGGGTGTAGAAAATGGTTGTCATGTGCCTAGCCCTCTTCTAGGTGGGGGCCACAAGACTAGTTGAGCTGAGAGTTGTGGGTCCAGGTGGGGCTATTCAGTCGTCAGAAATGCAAAAGCCTGAAAAGACATCTTAGGTTCTACAATAGTGTTGTTAATTACAGGAGTAATTGGGGAAGTTGTAAAGCTTGTGACCTCCAGAATAATGGTTGGTAATCACTTAACTATGCCTACATTTTAGCAGAATTCAGGCCCCTCTCATCCTCCTAACCTGGTGGCTTTTCATTAATTTTACAAAGGTAGTTTAGTTTTGGGAAAGGCTATTATCATTTCAACTATAAACTAAATTTATCCCCAAATTAGCTTAACTCATGGCCAGAAATGATCAAGGGCAGTTTGGAGGTTAAAGGTAAGATGAAGTTGATTAGGTCAGATCTCTTTCACTGTCCTACTTTCCTCATGTTATAATTTTTGCAAAGGTGATTTCAATCATTTACATATTGTCAATGGCTACTTTGTTTTTTCAATTTTTAATTGATACATAATAATTATATCTATTTATAGGATACATGTGATATTTTGATAAAGTATACAATGTGTAATGATCTAATCAGGGTAATTAGGATATCTATCACATCAAACAGTTATCATTTCTTTGTATTGGGAAAATTCCAAATATTTTCTATTTTGAAATATACAATAACATATTGTTAACTACAGACAACCTACTGTGCTATCAGACACTAGAACTTATTCTTTCTATTTAACTGTATTTTTGTACCCTTTAACCAGCCTCCCTTCTCTCCCCCTTTATCCTTCCCACCTTCCCAGCCTTTGATAACCATCATTCTACTCTCTGCCTCCAAGGGATCAACTTTTTTTTCTCCCACATGTGAGAAAGAATATGTGATAATTGTCTTTCTGTGCCTGGATTATTTCATCTAATGTAATGACCTCCAGTTCCACCCAACTTGCTGCAAATGACAGGATTTTCTTCTTTTATTAATGGTTGAATAATGCTCCATGTCAATGGCTGTTTTCTTAATACAGCAGCAGAATTGGGTTTAATGCCCTACAAAGCATAAAAGATTTACTACCCAGTCCTTTATAGAAAAAATTTCCCAGTCATCAAGGGTGTGGTCACAGGCATGTTGACAGTATAGAGAGCACATGTGGAATGGCAGCATAAGTGCTCCAATTAGGCTGTAGCTGCTGAGCCTGCTGAGAATCTTACAAAGACTGGTAAGGAAGCGGGCTCCCATGAGGGCTGCAGGGCAGTCCTGAGTCTCCCACTAGACAATAATGGTGGAGGCCTCATAATCAGGAAGATGTGGGACACTGGTGTTATGGACCCAAATCAAGTACAACTTCCTTGTGTGCTTTTGCTCAGAAAGAAGCCTCAAAAAAGGGAAGGGAGGGGAGTCAAATGCATATGCACTCTCTTTTTTTATTCATTACTGAAAAAAAAAAGTTAGAAAATAGAAAAGAAAAACTATAATCTCTTGGTAGACATCATGAAAAACAGTGCATACATGTATCAAAATATCACATGTATCCCATAGATACAATTATTATGTATTAATTAAAACTTGAAAAAATAAAGAAAGCAGCCATTGACAATATCTAAATGATTGAAAGCACCTTTGCAAAAATTTTAACGGTGAGAAAAGTAAGACAGTGTTTCTCAAAGTGTTGCCTGAAGATGATAGGCATTAGTTTCACTCAGGGATGCTTCAGGTTTGCTGAATTAGAACTTCCAGGGCTGGATACAGGAATATTCATTTTTAACAAGTGTCTTGGGAGATTTTGAGATGCATTAAAATTTTTGTGATTTATTTGTAGACTAATAAAACAAATAATTATCAAACAATAATTGCAACATTCTGTTAAATAAAACCTCCAAATCCAAATTCATTTGAACATGTAATACAGGTTGAAAGTTAAATTTACATCTGATTCCATGAAACAGAGAATATGGCAGGCTATAGCATCATTTCAAAAAGTCTAGTCTGTATGTGGACAATCACCACATAGTTTGGTAGGGGCACAAATGAATGTGGGTAGAATGGGAATTATGAGATTTTCTGATCTAACTGAATAATGTAATAAAAAGTATCAAATCAAGTCAGTGTGTAGAAACTAGTATCCAAAAAAGTAAAATAATTTTATTCCTTCCTGTTTGCCTAGCTAGAATTTTTTATGGTTAAAATCAATTTCATATGTCTTAGCTGCAAAACATTTAAAAGCCCCTGCTATGGTATAAATGTGTCCTCCGAAATTCATGTGTTGGAAATTTAATCCCTAATGTAATAGTGTTGGGAAGTGGGGCCTAATGGGAGGTGTTTAGGTAATTCATCCATCTTCATGAATGAATGAATGCCAGTATAAAATGGGCTTTCAGGAGTGTGTTCACTGCCTTCTGCTCTACTACCATGTGAGGACAGAGTTCCTCTCTTTTTCCCTTCTGCCTTCTGCCATGTGACACTGTCCCCTCCATCTTGGTCTTTCCAGCTTTCAGAACTCTGAGAAATAAATTTCTATTTTTTATAAATAAACCAGCCTCACATATTGCATTATAGTGGCACAAACAAACTCAAACAGTTTCCTCAAATAATTCATTTTTCTTTGCCTACTCAGTCTTCATGCATGGCAGAAATAACCTTTCCATTATTCCATAACTAACATCATTCTTTGAAGGCAGCTACTAAGATGAAAAAAAAAAAAAATCAAATGGTTCTCAGAAAATCCTAGCACAATGTAAACAGTGGAAGGTACAGAGAAGACACATGTTGTAGGCTGAAATTACAAAGCAACAATTAAAAGTTGGATCACTGGTTACCTTGAGTTAGCCATGTTTACCTTAGTTATGCTGGATCTCAATGCTTTGTGGGAAAAAAAGTAGAAAATGAGCCTTCATCATGGATGTCCAGAAAATTAACAGATGACAACGGATACCCTCTCCATGAGGTTTGCTGCATGCCAGACACTGTGCAAAGAGCTTTACGTGCATTGTCTCATTTATTTTTGCCACAACTGTGTGAGGTCAGTACTATTATTCTATCCATTTTTTTTTAGGTAAGGGATCAGAGATTTAGAGAATTTAAGTGACTTGAACAAATTTAAACTGGCTAACAATGACAAAACTAGACTTTAAATGCAGGTCTGATTCCAGAGCTGCTTCTTTAAATCACTAGGTCAGGTGACTACTGGAATATCTTAGAAATTCTCTAAAATACCCAACCGAGTTAAAATGAATGTTTGGACTCTTAAATCCTGTCCTTTAATTTCCCATTCAATATATACAAGAACAACTCATGGGCCTGATGTGTAAGCCAGAACTCCAGTGATTGGTACCTCCGTGCATCTATAGAGGATTTTTGCAGTTCAGTATTGAGCATCTATCAAGCCATTTGGGGAATATAAATACATTATCTCTGCCTTTAAGAACCTCACAAATGTATTATGAGTAATTGTACAAGAAAACAAATGGAGAACAACACAAAAGAGTCATGTGTTCAAGAACTAAAAGTCATAGATAGCTTGGTTAGTTCACACATTGACACACTGAACTGGTTCATAGGCCTGCTCGTCAAATTATAAGAGGAGAAAACCAAAAAGACATAGCTGAACTATTTTTTTTTAATAAAATACGAACATTTTAGTGCACTTGAAGTGGAACAGAAATGCTAAGTTATAAACTAGTATACTGGGCTATGGGTCTACAAACTGGTAACAGGGGCCAGAAGTTTGGCTCCTGTGGGGTAATGATACAAAGGCTGCATGTGAGAATGAGCAGCTACAATTAGCCTTCCACTAATAAGAATTGTCCCGGATGTAAACACCCTGTTAGCAACTGGTGCCTACTGCTCTAAGTTTGTAAGACATTGAGGTCCAAGGCAAGAAGAAGGTCATAGATGTAGCTTTACTACCAGAAATTTTAACAGCCATTCAAACTTGGTGTTTGGATAGCTGAAGACTCCAAGAGCACCACAGCACAAAAACTCTACACAGTCACTAGCAGACCTGCTTCTTTTAATTGGGATTTAAGAGACAGATTGAGCCCATTGATATGGAAGGATGAATACAGAGAAAGACAAAACACTCAAAGAAATCTAGTGAAGGGCAAGAGTGCTGTGGAAAATATTGTAGATTGGCTTAATGTCTATTCCCAATCTCCCTTTTACTTATCTTTCTGTACTATAGAAGCTAGAAAAAGAAATACTCATTATTCCAGCTTCTGTTGCAGCTATGGAAGGCCATGTGACATAGTCATGGATGGTGAAATAAAGCAGAAGTGCCTAGGAAGACATATTTTTTTCCTGGAAAAAAAAAAAAAAAACAGACAAAGCCTCACTGGGATAAAGTCCTTTTGACCTTCACCCTTTTTCATATCTAGAATGTACACATTATGCCTAGAGGCACACACCCATCTTGTGAAACTGAGAATAAAAGATTACGGCGCATAAAGGCATAAAGGAGCTGGATCATTGGTGACATTCTTGAATAGTTGCACAGCCCTATACTGTCTACTTTGAAATCTCTTATGTAAAACAAAAATTCCTATTGGTGAAAGCTAGACTTAATGAGGTTTTTCTGTTTATCTGAGGTATATTTGCAGTATCCCTAACCAATACAAGAACTAACAAAATTAACTATATAAACATAAATTGACTAAAGAGGAAATAATGTTTGTATATAAATTCTGACAAAGGCTTTGAAAGAATTACTTTTAAAAAGTATAAGAAGATAAATGTTAATAAAAGAGTAATTAGGAGGCAGAAGGCAGAGATGGAGATGTCCAACACACTTTTACAGGGAATTCTGGAATAAGCAAAGAATAATAGCTGAAAAGCGATATTTTCCAGAATTAAAAAAAAGAATGGAATCCCCAGCTCAAAAATGTATATGAAAGATCTATTAACATATGCATAATTTAAATGTTCAAAGAGAAAAAAAAGAATGGAAACTAAAAGGCAAAATAAAACTTTTTTAAAGAAGAATCAAGTTTGAAAAGAAACCATGTAGAACATTTCCCCCTTCTGAATAGACCTTATATTTTAGAGCATTTTTAGGTTCACAGCAACATTCAGCAGAGGTAGAGATTCTATATATCCCCTGCTCACACAAATGAACAACCTCCTTCACTATCAATATCTCACATCAGAGTGGTACCTTTGTTACAATCAATGAACTTACATTGACACATACTTATCACCCAAAATGTGTAAACTACATTAGGACTCACTCCTAATGTTGTATATTCTATGGGTTTTGACAAATGTAAAATGACATGTATCCACCATTATAATATCATACACAGTAGGTTTACTGCCTGAAAAATCTTTTATACTTTGCCTATTAATTCCCACTTCCCTACTTAGTCCCTGGCAACCACTAATCCTTTTACTGTCTCCATAATTTTGCCTTTTCCAGAATGTCATATAGTTGAAATCATATAGTATTAGTATTTTCAGATTGGCTTCCTCCACTTTGTAATATGCATTAAAGATTCCTCTATGTCTTTTCATGAATTAATCTTTCATTTGTTTTTAGTACTGAATAATATTCCATTGTTGGGATGTACTACAATTTGTTCATCTATTTACCTATTAAAGCTTTTCAGGGTTGCTTTCAAGTTTGTCATATGAATAAAGCTTCTATAAACAGCCATGTGCAGGTTTTTGTGTGGACATAAGTTTTCAACTCATTTGTGTAAATACCGAAAAATGTAATTGGTAGATCATACAGTAGGAGTATGTTTACTTTTATAAAACTTGTCAAGCATCTTGCATAGGTGGCTGTATGATTTGCATTCTCACCAGCAGCCAATGGGAGTTCCTGTTGCTGCATACAACCTGCTAAACATTTGGTCGTAGACAGAGTACTAGCGTTGTGACATTCTAATAATTGCGTAATGGTGTCTCATTATTGTTTTAATTTACATTTCCCAACGACATATGATGTTGTGCATCTTTTCATATGCTTGTTTACTATCATATACTTATTACATATCTTCTTTGGTGAGATACCTGTGCAGGTATTTTGCCTATTTGAAAATTAGGTTATTAGTTTTCTTATTGTTGAGTTTTAAAAATTCTTTATATATTTTGGATAATAGTCCTTTATCTGATATGTCTTTTGAGAATATTTTCTCCAAATCTGTGGCTTGTCTTCTCATTCTCTTGAAAGATATACATTTTTAAAATAGAAAATGGCACTGAAACTTGAAAAACACACACAGACCTATGGATGGTAAAACAATAAAGTCATTGTAGACATAGCTGAAAACAGTACAAGAAAATTAGAAGACAGGTCTGAGCAAATCACCCAGAGTTGGAAAACATGTAAATGCTATTAAAATATGTGAAACAAAGGGTGAGAAGTTCAAACAAATATCTAACAAGAGCTCAGGAAAAAGAGAAGGTGGGAAATAGGCAAGAGGTAACCATCAAAGTAATAATGTAATAATGGCTAAGAATTTTCTACAATTGGAAACAATTTTTTTAAAAATCCATCTTAATACACCATGGGAGTATCAGAGACAAATAAACTAAATTTAAAATTACAAAAACCAAAAAAATTGATTATCTACAGATGAATGAGTTCTATAATTAGGTCTATATAAACATCTTACCTGCACTAAAATTTGTCAGAAGACAATGAAATAATGTCTTTGAAGTGAGGGGGGAAGGGATATGTGAGGGTAGAGCTCTATATTTAGCTAAACTATTATTCAAGAGTATAGGTAAAATGAAATCATTTGCGTATGCAAAAACAGAAAATTTACTATTCACGTACCTTAACAGAAAGATTTAGTAAAGGCTATAAAGAAACAAGAAATTTTACCCAGAAAGAATGACAAATAAACAATGGTAAAGAAAGAAATATTGACTGCAAAAAAGGGGATATGTTGTTAATTTGAGAGAGCATAAGGGTGGATGAAGAATGTTAAAAATCTAATGGAAATATAGTCTTCTAGGTGAATAGCTTTTATAGCACTCTTTATTAAATAAATCTTCATCTTCATCTTATATTAAATTCCTATATAGATAATTTATTTTGGGCTTCCTATTATCTTCCTAGTGAGCTATTTGCTTTTTGCCAAATCAATATCATACTATTTTGATTATCTAACTCTATAATATATTTAAAAATCTGCTTGAAGTTTGTCACCCTTTTCTAATTATTTTCCAAAATTTTCTTGGCCACTTTTATTTTTCATGCACTAAACCTGAGGTCAGAATACCTTCTCTGTAGAAAGCCAAATAGTAAATATTTCATACTTCTGTGGCATACAGTTTATCACAACTACTCAACTCTGCCATTACAGCATGAAAGAAGTCACACACTGTATGTAAATGAATATGTATGGCTGTGTTCCAATAAAGCTTTATTTACAGAATAGGCAACTGATTAGACTTGGCTAGTAGGCAGTTTGTCAGTCCCTACACCAAACCATTTCTTACTTCCAATTTATTTTCAATACTAACCTGACTTTCCCATATTCCTTTGCCATATTCCGTCACTTCAAGGTTGGTTACTTTAATTATCTAAGTGTCAGTTTTCCCTAATATTTTGGATACTGCACCACAGTAATAGCGTCATACTACTTTGGAAGTCTGTGTATGAAACTTCGTCTAGTTGAAGACAGGAGAAATCCTTTCCTCATCTTTATGACTCCAAGATCTAATTGAGTATTTAACACAAAGTAGATGCTCAATGAGCACTGTCAGAAGAAGGTAGAGAGCTAGGATGCTGGAATCTATTCTAATACCCTTGTTTAATACTGGTAAAATCAAACAAGATACAGATATCTTGGCCATAAAATCTTTTGCTCAAATTTTAAAATTAAGTTAATGAAAAAATGGAGAGACAAGTATAAAGACGATTACAATACAGAGAAGTAAGGGCTGAATTGGGGTCAAGCTCTATGGGAACCAATGATTGGCACATAGAGGTCAGAGAGGATGTCATACATAGGTAGGAATTTCAAGGATCATCAGGAATTAACAAGGAAAGGGGGAAAGGGAGAAAGGAGAATGCTCTAGGAAGAAGAAAAGTCACTTAAGAAGTCTTAGAGGTGAGAGAGAACATGGCTGGAACTGCAATAGTGCAGAGGGGCTGGAGCTGGGGTGAGAAGTGGGATAGGGAGTGAAGCAAGGGGTAGAAAAAATAATAGACAAATGAAGTGAATAGTAGGGAGCAACCTGTATCTAAAGGCTAGGTTTAAGGGCACAGTCTTTTATCTAACAGATTTTTCCAGGCTTAGCAAGCAAAGCTCTGGATGAAGTAAGGGTGATGGTTGTATCTAGGCAAAAAGAAATACTAGAGTCTTGGGTAAGTTGTGGTTAGCATGAAGCAGGGGAGGGGGAAGAAGCCTTGGTGCGAGGGGGCCAGAGAAAGATCAGCCAGTTGGACAGTCAAGAACATCTGCTCACAACTGTAATGGGAGCAAAGGGAGGAGGAACACACTTAAGCCCAGGAGCTCGCCTGCCAAACAGTTGTCAGTGTGGGATTCTCTTGTTCCTGCTTGTACTCTCCTGATCAAACACACAGCAGCAACACAATGTGCTCTCCCAAGAAGGGAAAGGTTTCAGCATTTGGGGACTAGGGTTGAGGGGGGAGGTGAAAGGGAACATCTGCTCTGTGAAGCCACTTGAAAAGTAATCCTCTGGTCACTTGGGGAAAACATCTGGGCTGCACACCCCAGACCACCAGTGGTGCAGTAAGTGGAGAAAGATTGGAGGAATTGATGAGGAAGGAGGCAGAATGGACACAGAATGTGCCGTAAGCTAGAGAACAATGACGTGGGTTTCGGGAGAGTGATGTGGCCCCTCTGGAAAGGTCAGTCACTTGGGGACTCTTTCAGGCAAGGATAAAAGGCAGATGGGGTTTTCACCCACTGAGTTCACTGAAAAGGCTTACTTGATTCATGCCACCCCTAGCCTCTCAATCTGCAGGGTGCAAAAACACCAAGTGGTGAGCAGCTACCATAAGAAGAGAAGAATAAAACTTCCGAAGGCTTCCCTCGTGTTTAAGAAGGTATGTGTGGACAGGAAGGAAGGGAGTCAGGACTATTTTTGAGATGAACAGAAGGGCTCCTTGAATTCGACATGTTTCTCAGGCCTTATCTTTAATCTCCAGTCAATCTATTAATCTGGGAAATTCAACTTGACTTACTTCAGGTAGATTAGAATATCACAGGTTTTCTTCAGTTCATCTAAAAGTATTATTTGAGTTTTTATCCTTTTCCTAGGACTATGCAATACTCTAAGCAAATTTAGAGGACTGTCTCTTAGTCATTGGGAGTTGTATAGAGTTTTTCAATCCTCCAAGGTCAGGAATTTGAGGAAAATGACATACAGAGAAGCAAATTTCCTTTAAAGGACCATGTGACTGATAAGGAAGAGATCCTGGGCTGGACTAGATTTTCTGACTTTGATTCTGATTTTTTTTTCATAAGCCCATGATTTTTTTTTCTATGTAGAAGGACAATCAATAAACTCTTTCTTGCTGAGAAGGTAAGATGGCCAAGCAGAGGACAGTTAGGGAGACATTGCAAAGCCAAGTCTAGAATAAAGTGTTTGCTTCAAACCATGTGACCATTCAACATTGAGAAAAGTGAGGGGCCAGAAGGGAGAAGAGAAGAGAGAAAATATTCTCCTTGGATGAAGGAATCAAAATGAAGTTGGACATGGCTAGTCTTTCCCTACATATGAAAAAGATTTAATTCATACACATTTTTGTACTACAAAGTCTCATTTCTGGAACTCCAAGTTGGAACAATGGGGGACCTTTAGACACCTGGGTCTCGACGCAGTTGTGAGAAGTAATGGCTGCAAAAGAAAATTCTAGAGCCAGGAAAAGGCATAGACATGGTTACTCTGCATTGTACAATCATTAAGTCCAGGCACTCTGTTGGGTTCTTTACATCTTCCTAACAACCTTTGAGGTGAGTGTTACCTCCCTCACTTTATGGAAGAAGAAACTGAGGCTCAGAGAGATCACACATCTAGTGAGCAGGAAGAGAAAGACAGAAGAGATCTCCAGCCTCCTCTGCCATAGATATTTTGTATGACTGGGCTCTATAACTGGGGTCAGCTTTACTGAAGTTCAATGCATATCACCTGTTACTATAGAAATGTAGTCTCAAGTCACATCTCATCATATTACTCACATGTTACCCTTGTTTCTGGACCCAAAATTTTATACTGGACAGATCAGGTTAAAAGGAACCAACAAAGACCAGCAGAAGTAAACAAGTCCCAAAGGGCAGGCTGGTATGTATCTGAACCTGATTAGGCAATGCTCTATTCATTCCAACTGGTGGCACAGATTGGGTGGAAATGGACGGATCCGGAATCAGAGCTGTCACCTGGGAAGAATGAAGGTAGGAGGACAGCTATAGGAGCTGCAAGGAGTTCAGTCTCATGTTCAGGATAGCACCATGAAGGAATGGCAACAAACAACAGGTGGAATCCACACAAAAAGGCAGAGGCAGCTGGCACCTGGGGAGCAGGGGCCCACCCACCAGAGATGAGGACTGTAGTTCTTGTGAGGGAGCTGGCAAAACAATGCAAGTTCTGCAGCAGTGGGCAGTTGAGCAATGGAGAGGCTGATACAGAGGAACAAGATAGGAATCCAATTTCCAAGAGGATAGATAGTATAGGCATATCTCTTTACCTGAATTTAACCTATTTCTAAAAACCTGTTAAATAGCAAATGTTCAAATAATTGGAGCTTACAGGAGTCCCTTATTTTAAAATAGAATAATAATAATAATAATAAAAATACATTAGCAGTCCTTCCTAAAACCTCAATGTTCTGACATGGCACGAAGAAGTCATATTGCAATCCATTAAGGATTTGTGCATAATATAAACCAACATACTTTAATAATTTTTCTATTGTCTCATGTGTAGAAAAAAATTGTATGCATGGCATATGAGAACAAAATTATAATAAACATACATTTGTATGCAGTCATTTGCTTAGTACGCTTTATATCTTCCAAATTTTCTTTCAATGAAAGGACTTCACACAACATTTCAGGCTCACCAAATTTCCCTGCAGTCTTTTCTACTTTCTTAGGAGACATCACCACTTAATTTGGGGGGATGACCATGACAATGTATAACATACTCATTTCTGTAGCCTGAAAGTAACCAGAGACAATACATAAACAAATGGGTGTGGCCGAGCTCCAATAAAATTGTATTTGGCTGGGCACAGTGGCTCCTGTAATCCCAGCACTTTGGGAGGCCGAGGTGGGCAGATCACCTGAGGTCAGGAATTCGAGACCAGCCTGGCCAACATGGCGAAACCCCGTCTCTACTAAAAATACAACAATTAGTCAGGCATGGTGGCGGGTGCCTGTAATCCCAGCTACTCAGGAGGCTGAGGCAGGAGAATCGCTTGAACCTGGGAGGCGGAGGTTTCAGTGAACTGAGATTGCGTCATTACACTCCAGCCTGGGAAACAAGAGCGAAACTCCATCTCAAAAAAAAAAAAAAAAATGTTTTTACAAAAGCAAGTGGTGAATTGGACTTGGCCTGTGGACCATAGCTGGCAGATTTATCTTTTAAGAAAAAAAATTCTGTCTTGATACCAATGGACTTGTTTCAGGATTCTCAGAATCCATGGACTTGAGTTTTAAAAATTCAGACTGAATTTTATGCTCAAAATATGTTCTTATGTCATTAACATACTTTTGATTTGTCATGGATAAAATGATGTTTTTCTTTACAACTGGCAAGAGTTGTTTTCAAGGTTATCTTTGAATGAAGAGACTAAAATCTATGTATGTTTGTGTGTGTGTGTTGTCATTCGACAGTATCTTTAGATATCTGATTTTGAAGGCAAAAATACAAGGATAATGCAATGGTTATGCCTATAATTCCAGCACTTTGGGAGGCCAAGGTGGGAGGATCACTTGAGTCTGGGAGGTCAAGTCTACAGTGAACAATGATTACACCATTTCACTCCAGCCTGGACAACAGAGGAAGATCCTGTCTCAAAACAAACAAAAAAAAGAACAAACAAAACCCTCACAAAGATGAAACCTACCTAGCCTAAGTACTTCAGAAAAGTTCTTCATCCCCCAATTTCTTCCCCATGAAAAACATAAAAAACAAACAAAAACACTACAAATGTTTGTAACTCAGCCAGGCATAATGGTTCATGCCTGTAATTCCAACACTTTAGGAGGCTAAGGCAGGAGAATCACTTGAAGCCAGGAGTTCGAGACCAGCGTTGACAACAAAGTGAGACCCCCACCTCTACAAAAAAATTAAAATATAAAAAAAAATTTAAAATAAAAAAATTAAAAAAAATGTTTCCAACTCTTGGCCAGTTCAGCCTACTTCTTTCCTAACTTGGCATTTATGAGGTGCCTAGCATCTTGGTAGGCTGGCAGTCAGATAGAACTATTATATTCCTTCTCTTTCCTGCCAAAGAAATGATTTCATGTCTACTGTCTACTACTAGTTTGGCAGCACACAACCACAGCAACGAGCTTTTTACATTCAGGCATAGATAGGCTTGCATACAATTTCTGATCTGCACTTTCAAAGCTGCTCCCAAAGAAGCAACAAAAACACATGAAGAGGATGATGAAAAGAGATAATGATTTCATCTCTTTTGATGATATTGAAAAAGAGATGATAATGAAAAACTAACAATGATACTCCTTACCTCCTCTGAAATCCCAAGGTTAGAGCTGATTGTAAATCAACTCCTGGGCAAAGAAAAATTCATTAGAGTGTTCAATTCATCAATTCTTCCATTGCATATTTATTGGATACCTCTTTTGTGTCATGTGTTCTATAATCATTGGGTATAAGAAAAATAAATAAGACACAGTCAAAATCCTTAAGGAATTTCTGGTCCAGAAAGAATAACAGCAGCCAAGGATAGTTGCAGTTTTTGTGTGAGTTTTGGCAGTTTGTGTTTTTCAAGGCATTGGTGTATTTCATCTAAGTTGTCAGATTTATAGGCATAGAGTTGTTATTATTCTTTTAATGTATGAAGATTCTGTAATGATATTCCCCTTTATTCCTGATATTGGTAATTTATGTCTCTCTATTTTTAAAAAGGGTTTTCTCGGTCATTTAGATAGAGCTTTTTATTAATCTCTTTTAAAATATATAATGGCTTCATTTTTTTCTATTATCTTTATTTTCCATTTCATTGCAATGTATGCTCTTTATCATTTCTTTTTTTTTTTGCTTTCTTTGAGTTTAATTTTATCTTCTATTTACTGTCCCTTTAGGTAGAGGCTTTGATTGCTTGTTGTTCTTCTTTTCTAATACACACATTTAATACTATGATAATACTAAATGCTAAAATAAGTATTTAATACTATAAATGGCCCTTGAAGCACTACTTTAGTTGCATCTTACAAATTTTGATATATTGTACTTTCATTTTTATTAAACTCAAAAATGTTTTCTAATTTCTCTTCAGACTTCCTCTTCACTCACAGGTTATTTAAAAGTATGTTGTTTAATTTCCAAATATTTGTAAAATTCCCATATATCTTTACGTTATTGATTTTAATTTTATCCATTTTATGATCAGATAACATACGCTGTATAATTTAAAGTTTTTTACATTTGTTAAGTTGTTGGTTTTTTTATTCTTCACTGTGGTCCAGGATATGGTCTATTTTGGTGAACATTCATATAGAGTTGAAAAAAATGTGGTTTTAGTTCTTGTGTTCTATAAATGTCAATCAGATAAAGTTCATTGGTTGTGTTCAAGTCTACTATATTTTTGTCAGTTTCCTTCCTAATCCTTTATCAATTACTGAGAAAGGACTGTTGAAACTTCCTATACTTATGGATTTGTCCATTTCTCCTTTTGGTTGTATTAATTTTTGTTTCATGTATTTTGAAGCTGTTTTTGGTATATATACACATTTAGAACTCTTATGTTTTCTCAGTGAATTAACTTTTTTTTCATTACGCAATTTTCTTCTTTATCTCTGGTAATTTTTTATGAAGTCTACTTTGTCCGATATTAATATATTCACTCTAGCTCTCTTTTCATTAGTATTTGCATACATTTTCTATCCTTTTACTTTTAACCTATCTATAATATATACATTATATTTAAAGTGGATTTCTTGTAGATAGCATATAGTTCTGTCTTTTTTTAACAACAACAAAAAATCTATCTCTGTCCTTTAATTATTGTATTTAACTATCTACATTTAACGACATTGTCGATATGGTTAGATTTATGCCTACCATTTTATTATTTTTTTCTGTTTGTCCTCTCTGTTTTTCTGTTCCTCTGTTCCCCCTTTCCTGCCTTTTTAATTATTTGAATACTGTTCAATAATTTCATTTTAATTTCTCTGTTGGCTTTCTGGATATATCTTTTTGTATTATTGTTTTAGTGGTTACTGTAGAGATGAGAATATTGATGCCTAACCTTTCACAGTATGGTTAGAGTTAATATCTTACTACTTCAAGTAAAATATAGATGCCTTGCAACCAAATAGCTTCCTTTACTCTCACCCTTTATGTTATAGTTGTCACATGTATTGCATCTGCATAGACTGAAAATCCCATCAGACAATGTTAGAAATTTTTCTTTCAACAGTTATATAAATTTTTAAAGAATTTTAAGATGAGAAAAAAGCTTATTATATTTACCCAGCTATTTGCCATTTCTGTTGCTCTTTCTTCATTCCTGAAGTCTTTAGTATCTGGTATAATTTTCTTCCATCCTGAATAACTTCTTTTAGCATTTATTTTAGAGCAGGTCCGCTGGTGACAAATTCTCTCCATTTTTCTTTCACCCGAGAAAGGTTTCATTTTTGTTTCTCATTCCTGAAGGATATTTTTGATGGATACTAAATTCTGGGTTGATAGTTTTTTTTTCTTTCAGTGCTTTAAGGATGTCATTCCACTATCCTCTAGTCTCTGTGCTTTCTGATGCAAAATTATCAGTTACTTGATGCAAATCAGCCTTTTGTATTTCAAAGCCACTGCATTTTGAGGTGTGTTGTTGGATAACAATAGATAACTGAAAGATCCTCAAACTCTGTATTCTGGTCACACTGAACCTCTTTTAGTTTTTTGAAAGCCATTCACTGTCTTTCTTCTGAGGCTTCACACATATTATTCTCTCTGCATGTGAGCTATACCCTTACACCCATAGCACACATCTATGGCACTCTTTCAAATGTGCCATATTACCTCCTCATCTTTCAGGTTTCAGGCTGTTTCTTCCACCTAAAGGATCTTCTTTGATGCCCCCTGCTCAATGAGTCTAAATCAAGTGCTCCTCCTACATACTCTAACAACACAAACTGTGCTTTCCATATCACAGTTCTAAAATAAAATAAAACTTGTATGAGCACCTACTACATGCTAGGTCTTGCACTAACTGTTTTGCATGAATCTATGAAACAACCCTGTTATTGCTTCTATTTTCTCAGTGAGGAAACTGAAGAACAGAATGGCTAATTTACCTGCCCATAATCACAGAGTACAGCTAATTAGTGGTTGAGCCAGGATTTGACCCAGACGGACTGGATTCA